>NC_000002.12:190519921-190822951 GCF_000001405.40 Homo sapiens
TCATGTCTTTGTGTCAGCATGTTTTAGCAATAAAGTATTTCTTAAATTAAGGTATGTAGGGTTTTTTTAAAGATATAATTCTATTGCACCCTTAATAGACTAACAGTATAGTAGAAACATAACTTTTATAGGTACTAGGAAACCAAAAAATTTGTATGACTTGCTTTATGGGGTATTTATTGAAGTGTTCTGGAACCAAACCCACAGTCACATTATCTCTGAAGTATGCCTGTAATCAGTGGCAAACTATATGAGTAGGCATAGTTTGAAAATAGGGTTTATATTTACACCATTTTCTACTATGATTAAGAAAAAGCACTTCCTTTCTCTGGATCAGCTGAGCATCTGTAATTCAGGCTTCTCTCACCATGCCTGCTAAAGGACCAGATCCCAACCTCAGGTCCTATTCACATCACAGAACAAAGCACTAGCTACAAGCCGATGGTGACAACCCAGTGGTCATTAAATGACAATTTTGCTGCTGCCTTTGTCTGTCCTTTTCTCTATTCCTCTTCTTTTTCTAAGAGTAGGGCAACCCTGAAAAGGGGAGTAAGAGCACCAGCTTTGAATCTCAGGCATCAGGTAATATCACTCACTATCTATCTACCAACCCCTGCATTTCTCTTTGACTTTGGCTTCTGGCTCACTGTGGCTCTCTCTTCAATACCACTTCCTGTCATTCTTCTTAGGTATTTCAGTATGTACAATATACACACCAATCCTTCCAGTATCCTGACCTCTCAGTTCCTGGGACTCCTTTCCTCTTATGCTCTTGTCCTCCCTACCTCAGCTCATCACTCCATGGCCATATCCTGGACCTTGTCAGTACCAGACTGCAGCCCCTCCATACATTGTGTTTCATTCATCTCACTGTGTGACCACCATCTCCTATCTTTCCAGTGTACCCATCTAGTGCCCCAATCCCACCAAGGATCTGAACATCCTTCTCCTGCTCCTTACCCTCCTAATATCCTCAATCTCTTTTTAGCCACCTAAACTCCATGATCAATTATTATACACCATTCCCTGGCACATACCCTTGACTCCTTTGTACCCCTCTTGCTTTGTCATGCTCACTTGCAAAATCCAACTCTCCAGCATTCTACTCCTGCATTTGCATCACCAGTGTGCTAGAGAAGTGCACACTGGTCTCACTTCAAATCCATGACTGTGAACTTAAGAGAGGGACATGAAAGTTGCAGTCATTCATACCACATATTACTATTCATTCATTCTTCCACCCTCTGCAACAAAGGATTTCACAACTTCTTCCTCAATACTCAACACCTTCTCCCCATCCTCTTCTCCACTGTTGATCCTTCCTACTTCACTGAAAATGGAAGAAATCAGAAGTGAATGTCCACCAGCTCCTATCTGCAAAGCCACCTACCTGTCAGCACCTGCAGGCACATGCTCTGCTTCCTGCCTGTGGGGAGGAAATTTCTTCCACAGAGGAAATTTACAGGCTCCATAAAGGTAAGTCCCGACTTGGGCACGGGATCCTATCCACGTTTGCCTACTCAAGGACATCCCAGCAGCAGTTCTTCCCTCTCTACGAGATTATTTCTCTCAGCATACAACATTTAAAAAAGAAGAAACAACCTTCTGTGGACTCCACTTTTCCCTCCAACTACCACCCATTTCTTTGCTTCTTGTTGCAATAAAATTCCTTTAAAAAGCTGCCTGTGCCTGCAGTCTCTAGTTCCTCTCCTTCCATTCTCCCTTTAATCCACTTCAATCAGGATTTCATTCCTAAAAGGCCACCCTGACAAGGTCACTGGTGCTTCCATGTTGCTAACTCAAATGCCCAATTAATTCTCAGTCATCTTATTTGACCTGTCAACAGCACTTGGCATTGCTGATTATTCCCTTCTCCTTATTATACTTCTCCCTAGGGCTTCCAGGACATCTTCATTGTCCCTCCTTTTATTTCTCCTCTGCTTGCTCCTTCCTTCTCCCTGAACTCTTAATATAAGACTGACCCAGGCTTAGCCATTGGTCCTCTTCTCTTCTCCATCTAAACTCACTCAGTTTCATGGCTTTAGGCACCATCTATATAAATATGCATCGCTAATTACTTTGCAAAAAAAGACACAGGAAAGATATACCAGAAACTACTTAAACTGATTGTCTACAAGGGTTGGATAGGAATTAATAGAGGGAGGAGGGAAAGTGACACTTATCTGAAAATACCTTTGTATAGAGTTTTAACTTTTAAGCCATATTAATGTTGTAGATACTTATAAATAATGATAATAACACAAACATAAAGATGGAAACAACAGACAACTGGGGACTTCAGAAGGTGGTTGGGAGAGGGGCAAGGGTTGAAAATCTACTGATTGGGTACTATGGTCACTAGTTGGGGGATGGGTTCAGTAGAGCCCAAACCCCAGCATTACACAATATATCCATGTGACAAACCTGCACATGTACCCCCAAATCTAAAAAATTAAAAATTAAGAAGGTTTTTTTTAAAAAAACAAAATCTCACTTAAAAAACCCACTATGATCTTTTCTGAGAATAAAAAGGTAAACAAAACTTGTAAACCAAAAATAAAATTCTAACACCCCCGACCCCGCCAACTATCTGAATGAAACCCTGTTCTCGGCCAGGGCACTCCAAAGTTAACCTGAAAAATTGGTTCAGGCTATGCCAGGAAGCAGGGGTTGGACATGCCCCATTATGCCCTCCTCCCTTTTGGAATTCAGGAAAAACCAACCAGCATTTAATATCAATACAGACCTTAAGTCTGATAAGAAGCATTTATAATCTATTCTCTCTAAAGCCTGCTACCTGGAGGCTTCATCTCCATGATAAAACTTTGGTCTCCGCAATTACTTATGATAACCCAGACATTCCTTTCTATTGATAATAACTCTTTCAACCAATTGCCAATCAGAAAATTTAAAAATCTACCTATAACCTGGAACACTGCACCCCTCTCTGCTTCAAGTTGTCCCACCTTTCTGGACCTAACTAATGTATACCTTAAATGTATTTGATTAATGTCTCATGTCTCCCTAAAATATGTAAAACCAAGCTGTGCCCTGACCACCTTGGGCACATGTTCTCAGAATCTGAGGGATGTGTCACAGGCCATTGGTCACTCATATTTGGCTCAGAATAAATCTCTTCAAATATTTTATAGAGTGGCTTTTTGTCAACAAACTAAAAAAATAAAAATAAAAATGATAATAAAATTGACCATGATGGGGGAAAACCTTGAAATTGAAACAAATAAAAACAAACTATATTTTGAATGAATAATATAACCAGACTGAAGGGGGAGTGGATTGGGATGAATTAACCTAAAATACACAACCTCCGAAAAAGATTTTAAAAAAACACTATAAATAAATATTGAACTCCTGTTACTAGGTTTGTTTTTTGTAATGGTATGACTTACCAATTCTGTAACTACTTTTAGTGTATTCTGGGATTAGGCAAATAAATAAATATATTTGAGGATAATGGGAACTAAGTTTCTCATTATCAGAGAAGGGAATTACAAATACGAAAACTGGAAAACTAGCATGAACCCTGTGGTATTGGAGATCTCAGAACTCACGGTTTCTAATAGGTAGATATAGATGTATGTGCAGGCCTATGCGTGTGTATGTGTTTGTACACACATGATGATATGCTAGTAGCAATGAACACACCTAATGTTGACTGTTCCTTGGAAAAAAAATGTTATGATTCCAGAGCTAAGTCTATGAAATTACACACGCCTAGAACATCTTGTTTGTTAGAAAGTAAAGTAGTGCTCAAAAATGCTAGGCACATGGCAGAAGGACACAGGAGCTAGTTTGAAGGGGCCCTGACTGGCTAAATCTAGGACAATTTGAGTATCAAAATAAATAATGAGAGTAATGGATTGTAGTTTCCTGAAATAACTGGCAATTTGTGAGACTATATGGATATAAATAAATACATGGGAGGAGGAAAATCTCTTCTTTATAGTAGAATGCCAATGAATGTAAATGGAATAATGGTGCCAGGCGCAGTGGCTTGCGCCTGTAATCCCAGCATTCTGGGAGGCTGAGGCAGGCAGATTGCTTGAGTCCCGGAGTTCAGTAGACTCATGGGCAACATGGCAAAACCCCATCTCTACTAAAAATACTAAAAAAAAAAAAAAAAGTCAGATGTGACAGTGCACACCTTTCAAGT
The DNA here is from genome assembly GCF_000001405.40 of Homo sapiens. Lineage (NCBI taxonomy): Eukaryota > Metazoa > Chordata > Mammalia > Primates > Hominidae > Homo > Homo sapiens. The sequence goes on from NC_000002.12 coordinate 190,524,096, forward strand.
AGTTCCAGCTACTTGAAAGGCTGAGGTGGGAGAATCACCTGAGCCCGGGAGGTTGAGGCTGCAGTGAACCAAGATCGCACCAATGCACTTCAGCTTGGGCAACTGGAGTGAGTCCCAGTCTCAAAAAAAACAGGACAGATATAAAAAATCAACATTTGATAAATATCATCATGATTATTGATTCAGTAAAGCATCATCAATGAATGATAAACTAAGGGAAGAAAGTTTGATGAGGAAGAGGTTATCTACACAGTCTCAAATCATCACCTCAAAATACTCATTAAAGGGAAGAAAACAGTAATTTTAGTGGAAGAACCTGACAAACACTACCTTAACCATGTGATTAAAGTGGTGCATATTATCAGCAATGGTATCAATTGACATCAAATGCTTGCTGATACAATGTTCCAGCTATTCTCTCAGCCTAGAACACCCTTCCCCCCAGTACCTTGTTGGTTAACTCACTCCACTGAAATCTTCCTCAAATGTTACCTTCTCAACGAGAACTACCCTGGCCAATTTGCTCCCACTTCTCTCATCCCACTGATATTACTCTACATTTTCTTTTTTCATAGTACTTACTAGTTTTACCATTTTCATCCCTATTTTATTTATTGTTTACTATTCCCCACCCTAGATAATGTAAATATCCACAATGGCAGGGATCTATTTTGTTCACTGATGTATCCTAGGAGCCTAGAAATAGTTCCTGGTACTTATAAGGTAGGTACTCAATAAGTATTTGTTAAATGCTGAATGAAGGAAAGTACTAGGCAATTAAGAGCAACTGCTATCTTGGCCATATTTGGGATAAGTGGTTATTCCAGAATTTCTATTTGGAGGGGCTTTGGATAGCAATTGTGGAAAGTAGGAGGAACATGTTGTCTTAAGACTGCCTGAACAGCAGGCATGCTGTATACATTTAGATAGTATATTCATTGGGAGTGGCTTGGGAGGGGCTGAGGGAGAATATGAAGGAGTTAGTGTCCTCTTCTCACACTGCTCACCCATTGAACCACTGTGTGTGATCCTCAAGTCAGCTTTCATAGTGATACACAGATCTGTGTCATACCAAAAATACTTTCTATTCCTGAAGTGGTACATTTCCTGTCCCCAGGACATGGTAATTCTCTGTCCCTAAGACATGAGTTAAAAGTAGGCCCTTACCTGCATAGTTGACCATATGTATTTCCACTCCACTTGGGAATTTTGATTGTAGCAGTAACAGTCTGACTCAGACGTTCTAATTAAATCTTTTTCCTTCAAAGCTTTACACCTACGAACTGAGAGATGGAAAAGGGAATGCATTTTCTAACTGTTTAATTGCCCAGAATCTTTTTTAAAAAAAGTTTGCAGGGAGGTAACAGTAGCAGTTTTAACGTTCTATGGCCAATAAATTCTCCTATATGATAATTATAGTCCTTCAGTGTTTCCAACCAAGGAGGAGACAGATAGAAAATACGATAGCCCAAGTGTCAATATTTATGACATTGGAGGGCACTATAAGAGCACAGAGAACAAGTACTTCTTCAATTCTGAAGCAGAAGGCAGAATTATGGGCACCTTCTCAGAAAAGACAAAAATATGAGTAAAGGGCTGAAGGGCAAGGTAGAGGCAATAAGACAGAAACTAGGAGGTGGGAGTGGGGGTGGGCAGAACCAGCAAGTATGTACAGAATCATGAAAATGAGATAAATTATGGAATTAATTCAGTTTAGAGATATTGGATTCTTATATTGGTAAGGGAGCATGGATGGAAGGTATAGGGATACAAGAAGACATTTGAACACCTGTAGCTGGAGTGGTAAACCATAGCTACTACTATACCATGTGGACTCCATCTTGAAAGCAGAGCATTGGAGGATTTTAGGTAAGTATCAGTCTCAGCAAGAAACTATTGACACTCAAAAGGATTTAACTGAAAATAGTTCAGTAAAGATATGGACAGGGTTAAGGCACTAACAATAAGGCACTAACAATAAGGCACTATGAAGTTCCTAGGCACCAACAAGAGCAGGAAGCTTTTAGCAGCCCAAGTCCCAAAATGGCAAGGAGGATCCCATGTTACTGGAGTCATTGGAACTGGGAAGACAGTAGTCTAAAGGAATGCAGTCACTGCCAGGACTCCCGTGGAATGCAGGGTGAAGGTATGGGTACCTCAACCTGTCTCTCCTGCTGTCCCCTCAGTGCCCTGAATCAGCCAAACCCAACAGGAAGACAGAGGGCAATGAAGCCCATATAATGCAGTCCACAGAGGTTAGCTTCCAGGCACTAAGCGGGGAAGAGAAGGGCTGAGAATAGATCTACACCAACAAACAGGGAATACCAGCTCAATAAGGAAGTGACAGAAACACATTTGTATTTTAGAAAGAATATTCTGTAAGTAGTGTGCAATATTAAAGAACAAAACTGAAAGCAGAAGAACCACTAAGGAGGCCACTGAAGCAATCTAAACAAGAAATGGACTAAGAGAGGCGGGAGAAATAACAGATTAGGAAATTAAATCAGCAGGCTTTACAGATTCATTTTATCAAGGAAAACAAGAAGATGATGTAAAGGTTTCTGATAAGCGGAGAGATAGTGAGGCCCTTTACTCAGATAAGAAATACTAGAAAAAAAGCAAGTTTGTACAGGGAAGTGGGGGTGAGTTCAATTTCGGATATACTGAGTTTTCATTGGTGGGATTCTGTGAAGATGGACAGATCTTCACATCTCCAGCAAGGAGAAATTTGGCTGGAGACAGATGTAGATACCTAAATATATATGTATGCTATATATAATGTATAATACAACTCAACATAACTGAGAGAAAGAGAGATATATATTAACCCTCTGTGTTACAGAGGGCTAATGTAAAATGCCACAAGAAAACTAGAAAGTAATGATGTTCATTTTCTTCTGTGGTCGTTGCTGTATTTGGATTTGAAATGAAGTGGAATGAAAGTCGTAAGTTCTTCCGGATTCAAGATAGAGTGTCACCTCCACATCTGTTCTTTAGGAAACAGGAACAAGGAACACTTATGGGTACACAAAGAAATGGGCTTTACATCCAACCCCTGACTCCTTTAAGGAAAGTGTGGTCAGTTGTTCCTCCTGAAAAACCTGAAATGAAGCTAGAACAACTTGCTACACCAAAGTTGGGGAAGGACTGAGTAAACAGTAACTACTAGTAAACAATCACATCCATGTAGGGAATAATACTGAATATGCTCACACAAGGCCCTGGTCCTGGCCTGAAATATCCTTAGCATTAAGTTGGAGAAAAGTGAAGACAGACTTGGGGAAAGGATCCTGGGAATGCTCGCCATCTCCCAGAACACAACTCCATAAAAGGGAGGGTTTTCCGGTGGCCACACGAAGCAGCAAAATTACACAAGGACCCAACGTATTCAACTGTGACAGTCAAATCAGTCATCTTTACTCTTCACATTATGATAAAATGCATATGTTTCTAAATATATCAAGAAATTTGCAGAGTTTGAGAGTCCAAGATGCAAATACAAGAATCCAGGTGAAAAGCCAGTAAAAACCACAAGAAGGAACCTCTAGAGCAAAGGTCCCCAACCCTGGGGCCAAGGACCAATACCAGTCCATGGTCTGTTAGGAACAGGGCTGCAGGAGGTGAGCGGTGCGCGAGGCGAGTGATCATTACCACCTGAGCTCCACCTCCTGTCAGATCAGCAGTGGCATTAGATTATCATAGGAGCGTGAACCTTACTGTGAACTGAGCAACCTAGGGATCTAGGTTGCATGCTTGTTATGATAATCTAACTAATGCCTGATGATCTGAGGTGGAACAGTTTCATCCCAAAACCACCCCAACCCCACTCCTATCCTGTGGAAAAACTGTCTTCCATGAAACTGGTCCCTGTTGCTAAAAGGTTGAAGACTGCTGTTCTACAGGCTCTCTGTTAAATACAGGATACTAAAAATGAAAAACATGCTCCTGCATGGTGTGTCCATGCACAAGAGCCAAAAGAAGAATTCACAACCAGGGCTATGAATACACAAAGCAACCAATGCTGAGGCACATTTTTGAATATATCTGAGATGCAAATGACTTCTGGCCAAGGGCAGCATAGGGGGAAGTGCAGTCCCAGGGATATCAAAGGGCTGGCAGCTACCTATAGAAAAGAAGAATGTCAAGGAATGTAGTATATAACCTGGAAGATCCTGAGCAACTGCAATGAGAAGACATGAGAACACATTAAATGCTCCCAGTTAGTAAGCAGCAGAGGTGTGGGGATCAGATCTCTGGATTCACCTTGTCATGTTCTGCCTTTGCACAGCCTCCTCGGGGGGGTCTCTAAGCATGGCTAGAGTTAATAACTTTATACTGGGAGTCCTCAAACAAAAGTGATTCCTACCTATCGTTGGAAAGGGAGTGCATTCCAGCAGGGCAGGTGAAGAGCATGAAGTCTCAGGTACACGGACCCAGCAGCCCAAACTATGATAATAATGTTTACTTCCAGACAGGTCTTTCTTCACCACCCATGTGCTCAATGCTAGATGGGCTTTTCTTGTGGGTGCCTCCAAAGGTCCCTCACTGCAATTCTTCTAGTGAGTGCTGCTACTTCAAGGGCTAAATCAACTCTCATAGAACAGTTCCCTTTTGTTAATGGTCTGAGGAAATAACCTTTTGGTGGGGCCTGAGTTTTGCAATCAAATGCTCTCTTCAAATAAGGTTCTTTCCACTTGATCCTAAGACTGTCTCCTAAATCATTCCAAACCTGGAGCTCTTAAGAGCAAGATGATGCAATTTAAGTATAGTGTATACTGCAGTTTCAACATAGGAATAAATGCTTCTCTCTTACCCAAGCCACATTCCTCTTGCACTAGGATGATGTAATAGCCTTCTATCTGGCTGGTCTCCCTGCTTCCAGAATTGCTGCCCCCCAACTACCATGTTTTCCCCTACAACACACTTTTCAATTAGCAAATAGATCTTTTTAAAAACATGAATTGGGCCCGGGTACAATGGCTCATGCCTGTAATTTCGCTTGAACCTGGGAGGCGAGGTTGCAGTGAGCTGAGATCACACCACTGCACTCCAGCCTGGGCGACAGAGTGAGACTCTGTCTCAAAACAAAAACAAACACAAACAAACAAAAACATGAATGGGAACCCATCATTTACCTGCTTAAAACCCTCCAATGGTTTCCTTTTACACCATTAATAAAATCCCCCTCCCTTCCAGGGACCTGAGTGCCTCTATGACCTTCCCTCCTCCACCTTCCCTCCCAGCCCACTGCTCCAGCCACAGCTGGCCTTCCTGTCCTCAAGATGCCAGCGAGCCCCCACATAAAGTTTCCTCAGTCTGCTGCAACCTTCTTCTCCCAGATCTTGGCAGAGCTCATCCCTTCCAATCACTGATATACTCTATCAAACACTCCCTTCTCAGAAAGGCCTTCTTTGACCCCACTGTCTAAACAAACACACCCCAACCACTTCCACCTGCTTTATTCTTTCTTCATATTACATATATATTTATTAGCTTATACTCTGTCTCTCCATGAAGTCAGGGACATTGCATGTTTATCACTGTAACCCCCAGAACTTAAATATTTATCTTTTGTGTGTAGCTTGTGGTTCAAGAGGACTAGTGGGTTATTTAGGCATGTGTGGCCTACCAATGGAAGTCCAGCCAATCTTTGTAAGAGCCTGGCCAGGAATAGTCAGCACCGTAAAAGAAGGTGCACTCTGGCCCTCCCTTGAAACCACCTGATGTAGTAGGATGCCCTTGCCAGCCTGTGCCACTGCCATCCCATTTACAGAACTGACAAAGCATGAGGGCCAGTCTGGAAGCCACAGGCTGCACTTCCCCCTTGCCCTACCCCATGGCCAATACATCCATAGCTAGAGGGTTGAGTACTGTAACCCTTAACATCCTCTGGACTGGGGATCATCTTCTTGCCCCTCACTGGATAGAGGAGGTCAGAAAGAATAGGTGGCATTAAGCTTCTTTTGTTTGACTCATATATGATACATCAGTGTATTCTGGGTAAGGGATCTGCCAGTTAGAGGAAAAGAACTTGTTCTGCATTTCCCCTCAGTCTTCAACCAGATTAAGGACAGCATAGAAGGAAGGAGGTTGTCCTGACTGTTCATGCCTATAGACACGCTAGTAAAAGCATGTTGCAGTGTTTTCCCTCGAATTCTCCAGAGTGGCCTCTGGCTTTTGAGGTGAAGCTGATGTGGAATTTACACAATCCATGAGATTCCACAAAGTGTCAGTGCTTCATGGTGTCCTCTGGCTGCCCTTTTTTCTTATCACCTCTCTCCCGAGGTGAATGAGTCTCAAACAACCCACACAGGAATTCCTAAATATCTAAGGGACCATAAATTCAGCCATAAGAAGCCACAAGCCTAGCTTCAAGTCAGTTCATTAAGCCACGGGCTATTTGGACTAGGCAAAAGACAGTGATTGTCACAAGACTGTTATCACAGCTGGCCCACTGTTCTCTCTAGAGAGAACAGATCTTCCAATCTTAGATTGATTATAAAGGCTGTATCTTTCTTAGGTCTCTCCTCCCTTTAGCAATCTTCTTCTAGAGCCATTTCACTGCTCGGTTTCAATCATGTCCAATGGAAACAGGAAACAGAGCCAGTTTGACTGCTTATTTGAACTCTATGGCTGATTATGCCCTGACACTGAAGGCTATGAAGCTGCCTGCATGTCTGCGGGTTTCATTTATTCATGAGGCCCCAGTTATTGCTGGTTAATTCTACTAGGATAGAACCTCCGGTAGCAGATGTAGGCAAACTCAAATGTATCAAAACAACAACGGGCCAGGTGCTGAGGCTCATGCCTGTAATCCCAGCACTTTGGGAGGCCAAGGCAGGTGGATCCCTTAAGGCCAGGAATTTGAGACCAGCCTGGGCAATATGGTGAAACCCTGTCTTTACCAAAAATAAAAAATTGGCCAGGATCATAATTCAGTCTCAAAAATAAATAAACATTTAAAAATTAGAACAAAAACAACAACAATCCCCTTACAATGCAATCCAGGAAATGAAACAGAATTTCTAGGAATTTTTAAAAATCTAACAATAATCATTCATTTGGTCAAAAGGGAACAATACCTGCCTAGGGAAAGCTACTGCTTCTACTTGAGGCTGAGGTATTTAATATGTCCGTACCCTGGAAGGTGCTCCATAACCTAGGTAATCACTTCCTCAAGCCTGAATCAGATCGGGAGAAAGATCTGGAAGTGTAGGCTATCCCAGGTTTGCCTCAACCCTCAAGGACTGAGGAGTATCTGTGGGATCAACCCTGAATGCCATCCTTACTATGGAAAGACAGGTTTCTAAGCCTGGAAGGGCATCATTTTCCTTAACTTCTTGCAATCCTCAGCAGGCTCTTTGATGCTTTCAATTAACCTGACTTCTAGAGAACAGTATATTTCTGGATAGTTGTGCCCAAATTTCTAAGATGTTACAGGAGGCATTAATTATTTACATTACCAAAGGATTCAGAAAGTCAGGGTTCCCTTAACCAATGAGATAGATTCCTTAGTTCATTTTAAATACCACTCAATTTATGAATATTCAATTAATCTAATTTTAGAATTACATATCTAGTATAAAAAAGGGACAGCTACATATCACCTAATTATAAGCTCAATTATCTCCTTTGTAGTACTTTTGTCATTTATTAGTTTTCCTAAATGTAAGTATATGTTTAAGTTAAAGAGTTGAGTCATATATACGGAAAAAAAAACCTCAGTCAAAACATCAGAAAAGAGCAGGCAGTACTTAAACCTACTTACAGAATATGCTAAAAATAAAAAGCACAAACACCTCAAATCTTAGCAGAACCTAACTCCCAACACAAAAATATCTCACCAATGTTCCTCCTGAAAACTGACATGGCCCTCATATGGGGAAAAAAAATATCTTCAGATGAAACTAGAATGGAATCATAATATAAACACTTATTAACTTATATGACAAATTTCCCCATTTTCCCTATAACTGTTTTTCTTTGGGGACAAGGAAGGGGAGGGAGAAGAGTAGGAAACACAAAAAGCAAAAAACCAACAAGTCTTAACTTGTGAGAAGTCAAATGGACTCAGGATTTTTCTTACTATTTGTTTTTTGTAAATACACATTTTCAAAGGTGTTAACGTGAGGCACCAAAGTGATAAAGGTAACTATTCTCTTAACCTCAGTTTTTTTTAACCTGAATATTCATCTTTTTCTTTCTCCAAGAATATGAGAATGAAACTGGAATTAGTATATACTCATGCACACTCAGGTCTTTAACTTCAAGTTCAAATCTTCACAGATGAATCTTAAAGCTGTGGTGTCAAATGGACTGTTATAGTTTAAGCCTGGAAAGCCACTGACAGGGCCTGAACTTCATCTCAGGACAACACATGGTTTCTAGGGACCTCACTAACTGGGTGAAAATTATGGGAAACTCTTGAAGTTTCTCCTCTCAGTCAGACAACTACCTGCTCCTCCTGTGTCAACTGTCTCTGACTTTCCTCCAAATAGAGTGACAGAAAGCTGGGGTTGGTCTGAATGTTCTCCATTCCATTGAAGTGTGTGTTATTCAAGACAAAATTTTAGAACAGGAAGGCACCTTAGGTATCACTAATCCAAGCCCCTCGCTTAAAGGAAGTACCAGCTGTTTCCTCTCAGGGTCCTCAAGAAACCATAGACTTTTAAAGAGCAGCTATGGTTCTTAAGCCTAGTCTAATCCAGGGCTGCCAACAGTGTCACTGGCACACTACCAGATGCTGGGCGCTTCACAGTCCGTATTGGAAAGCCTACCGGAATGGCAGGCATCCCTCTAAGGCTACAAAAGTTGCCATTCTTCTTAGCTGTGGACTAGTTTTATCAAGTCAGTGGGCATCCTGCATGTCTCAGGCAGAACAGAAGCTCCAATAAGTATTTATGTGTGTCTTTGATTAACAAAGCAGAGAAGCAGGCTGTTACTATTATACTAAATGCGGTAACATAAAAACTTTAAAAACACCAGGTTCACTGAGGTGAGGAAAATACTGGAAACTCTTCAGTAAAAACATCTTCATTTTACTCAAGAGAAAACTACGGTCCATAAAGACTCTGTGCCTGGACCAAGGTTATACCACAAGTTGTGGCTGAAGGAATGAGTGGTCTAGAACCCAAGGTGCTGGGTGCTGGTCTAAGGCTACTTCTAATTTTCTCGCTGTTGCCATGCCCAGAAACCTTCCTGCTTAGACAGATTTGTGTTTTATTTTTTCACCAGCATAAAATTGTTGTATTTCTTACTACCAAACCTTCGTTTTCTCATCTGTAAAATGGGTATAAAATGGTGCTTTCCCGCATAGGGCTTCTATGGGTATTAAATATGATAGATACTGCAGTTAAAGCACTTATAACACTGCCTAGCACATACTGAACACTCAAAAAATTTCTCTTCAATGAAAACTGGAATCCAACACTTCCCCAACATATAACTCACTGCAAGATTCCCTCAGTTGGGAGCTGTGGCAGAATCTGATAATGACCTCATCAACATCCAGTCTCTCATTCATCCTTAGATAAAAAACCGCGGTATAACCGGAGGGAGGGCCATGCCCAGCTAAAAGAATACACTTGGCAGCCTCCCTTGAAACCAGGGTAGCCAAAGCAAGGAAGGGAAGTTGGTAGACAGTGCACCCAGGAAATCTTTTAAAAGATTTTATGAGGGGAAAAAAAAAAAGAAACAGAAATGTGAAGCTCATGGTAAGTTAGCGGCAGGTCTGGAGTTGGAACTCTAGGTTTCTGACTTCCCCAGGTGTCCTTCCCAGATCCTTCCCCAGTGTGCCAGCATCTTAAGCCCACTCCGTGGCGAGCCCCTACAGCTAGCAGCCGCTACCAGTTCTTGCTTCCTGTGTGCCAGGCATTGTGCACACGAACACCACAAGAACCTTGTGAGGCCTCATTACCTGCCGCTCACGTGGGACCGTTATGTTTACTCGCTCAAGGTCACAACAGTCAGGGGCAGAAGAATTTTCGCTCCGATTCTGAAGCTGAAGCTGTTACCTTCTCTAGTCTTGAGACCAAAGGAATGCGAGATAGTGAAATAACAAGGATTTCAACACGCATTGATGTACTGTACAAAAGGCCGTGTGCTGAAAGTCTGGAGACTAGGGTCAGCTGTGCCAGTGACAAGCTGTGTGACCCTGGGCAAATCAAAACCTCTCTGAGTTTCGGTTGCTTCTGTAAAACGAGGGAATTGGGCGACTGGATCGCGCGGTTGCTTCTAATTCTAAAATTACAAAATGTCCAACTGCCAGGCGAGAGACTACGGAAGCCCAGTAAGACAGGAAGGGCGGGCGGGGCCTGCCCGGGAGACCCCAAAGCGAGAAAAGGGAGCGCCCGCCCCAGTGGGCCTCGCGGTGCCGCCCGGGCCAAAGAGCGCGCCCTCAGGGCAGCCGCGAAGCCGGGGAGCGAGCACGCACGCGCGCGCCGCCGCCGCCGGTCCCGGGTTACCTGATAACGCTGCCGCCGCCGCCTCCCCGCGCACGGGCAGTGTGGCCAGGGGCGGCAGCCAGAGCAGCAGCCACCACCGCCCTTGGCGCGGCCCCATTTCGTTAGGGGTCAGCTCCGTGCGACCCGAGCCCTAGGGGACCGGCTCCGCTGCGAGGAGCGGAAGTGGCGCGGGGGCTCAGAGAAGGCGGAGGGGGCGGTGAGGCCCGAACGCGGGAAAGGCGGAGACCCCGCCTCCCCGGGGCGGAGGGAGAGTTGGGCTCGTTGCTCCAGCCTCCGCCCGCGGCCTCGGGGCACGGCGGGCCCAGGCCGGAGGAGCTTTCGGTGGCGCGACCCCGCTGGCATGCTCCCGGCCTCGGCCTCGGCCTCGGCCTTGGCCTCCGGGCCTCCAGCGCACGCGGGGCGTCCAGGGCCTCATCTTCCCCTGGGGACCGCCCGGCCGTGTCCCGCTGCCCTCGGCGCAGGGGTGGGAGTTGCAGAGAGGAAGAGTCGCTAACCCGGAGTGTTTCTTAAAACTTGGCTGACCTGTGACCTGCGGATTTGGAGGCTGAATTCTCCGAGCACCTGTGAGTGACAGCCCGTGAATGGGAAGGTCCTTCGGCAAACGCCCTTTTTGTGAATAAAATACATAAAAGCCAGTTTCTTTATTTTACCTTTCTGTTTATCTTTTTACTTTCATTTGGTAACAAGCAATAACAAATTGGAAATTTGGCCGCTTAAGTAACACTGACTTGTATGTCTAATCTCGGACACGGCATTTCAGAGTACAGAGGGGCTCGTAAAATGTTCCTTCACCAACATGACAAGGTTCTCTTAAAATTACCTTATGTTAAAAAAAAGTTTCTTAATGTAATAGATATATTTTTAAATTAACATATAACCTGAATGATCTTAATACTGATAATTAGGAGATATACATATATTTTAAAGAACATTCCCTCCACAGGACCTGGAACCCATTAATTTGACTCAATATTCCATACTTAACTAGGACAGTCTTCTCTAATTCTGGTCTTTTGGTGAGATATCTTAGAGAACCCAAAGTAACAGAAATTATCCTGTTAAAAATAGATAAGCCTCATTTTTCCTAAAAGTCTGAGTAGGATGGACTAGGCTTTCCTTGCCCTCAAAGAAAGGTTTAACCAACTGCCCTTAAGCACTTGGCACCATGTGTACACCATGTATGGCTTTTAAAAAGTTAAGAAATTTCCTTGTAAGGGACTCTTCAGAGGGATGGTTTTTAAAAATAAACCATCATTACTTGAGTGAAGCCTGTCTTCAGAGAAACAGCAGAGCCCTGATCCAATTCTTTCCTGTATTCCCAGGTGCGGTGTGCACTTGCTTCTTGCAAGACAGCTTTTGTACCTAACCACATTCATTTTGATTTGGTTTAATTTTGGATGGCACTATGGAAAGTAGCTAAAATAAACAGGTGGGTTGTTGAATGATGAATGTATTTTCTACAGATATATCTGGTGGAGAAACAAAAGGGCAGGCAGCAATGTACTAAATATTTAAAGTGCTATTTATATCACAGATCCTTAGTAAATATCTGTAAAGAAGCTATATTGAAACACCACATTTTTCTCTATAAGCAATAAATATTTTTCCGGAGATAACAAGAATGTTAGGAGGTGATAGTTCTGTCACTGGGGGACAATCATGAAATTCCACTTAACCTCTCCAAACTTTTCTTCTGTATGAAAACCTTATCCACTGGGGGAAGGGCAGGAAGCTTTACCACCAACAGGATCCTGGCAAAGACCCCCTGCTTCTGGAGAAGAGATAGAAGCACAAACCTTCTGCCCTTTGGGGAGCAGCAGGAGCAGGAAACACTAGGGCTCTGTGTCCTGAACCAATAGAAAATTGAAGTTGGCTACTGCTGGGAAACCCTCTCTCACTCAAGACTCACCACAGATAAAGGAAGGATTTGGCTGCAATGGGAAAGTGTCAGGAATACTGGGAAAGCCCCACATCTAAGGTTCAGGTGCACAGGGCCTGCCTAAAACCAAGGCAGGACCAGGAGTGTGAAAAACCCCTTTTCCCCACTACAAGCCAAGCACCAGTGACAACACCAGTCAACTAGTGAGGAGGAAAAAGAGTGGGGAGAGACCTCTCTGTAACACAGGCATGCAAACACTGCTAAAAGCTGAGTGAGGGACACTGAGAAAAACTCCCCAGCACTCTAGGTTCCACACTAAAACAATGCAATAGTAACCCCCTGCTAGAGGAATCTGAATGAAGCCTGTGGTACAGAGTGAAGGCAAGGATAACAACAACAAAACCCAAATTCAGCACAACTCCTGACTAGATTGACTCAACTACCCACATTATTGACTGGACAGAAGAGGCATGTTTATTTCTGGACATTAATATTATTTACCTCAGTTGTTACTATTCTCCTACATGTGATATCCATCATTTGATCAAAAATTAAAAGACACCCAAAAAAGCAGAGAGGAGAAAAAATCAAGAGGTAAAACAGAACCAGATTCAGAAATGACCCATATATTGGGCTAGAATTAATATGCTTATAAAGCTAGTGGAAAAGGTGAACAATATGCATGAATATATATAGAGAATTTCAGCAGAAAGAGGAAAATTACTTAAAAAGTGAAATGGAAAGGCTAGAAATTAAAAACACCGTATCAGAAATGAAGAATTCTTTCAATGGGCTTATCAGCAGACTGGACATAGCTGAGGAAAGAACCGGTGAATTTGAATATAGGTCGATATGGTTTGGCTGTCTCGCCACCCAAATCTCATTTGAATTGTAGTTCCCATAATCCCCACACATCGTGGGAGGGACCCAGTGGGAGGTAACTGAATCATGGGGGTTATTCTTATGCTAGTGAGTGAGTTCTCATGAAATCTGACGGTTTTATAAGGGGCTTTTCCCCTTCACTCAGCACTTCTCTCCTGCTGCCTTGTGAAGAAGGACATGTTTGCTTCCCCTTCCACCATGATTGTAAGTTTCCTGAGGCCTCCCCAGCCATGCAGAACTGTGAGTCAATTAAACCTCTTTCCTTTATAAATTATGGGATCTGTGGAACTTTGAACTTGAGAGATGATTTAGGGTATCTGGTGGAAGAAATTTCTAAGCAGCAAAGCATTTAAGAGGAAGCAGAGCATGAAAGTTTGGAAAATTTGCAGCCTGACGATGCAATAGAAAAGGAAAACCCATTTTCTGGAGAGAAATTCAACCCAGCTGCAGAAGTTTGCATAAGTCACAAGGAGCTGAATGTTAATCAACAAAACTATGGGGAAAATGTCTCCAGGGCATGTCGGAGACCTTCTCAGCAGCCCCTCCCATCACAGGCTCAGAGGCCTAGGAGGGAAAAATAGTATCATGGGCTGCACCTAGGAAACTTCACCCCATTGGCTCCTCAGCCAAGCACATACAACAAATGTCTGAAACTGTGGTTCCTTTTATACTGAGCAGGATTACCATGGCAACAACACATCAACAGTAGGGTAAAGCTAACCTGTCTCATGATGGTCTAAAGTGACTAATCCACTCTAGCATTCCAAACTAAAACAGGGAAAAAAAGGCAATCTCTCTTCAACCCCTCCCACCATCCCCTTACCTCTGGTAACCACCAACCTACTTTTTATCTTCATAAGATCCAGTTTTTTTTTAGCTCCCACATATAAATGAGAACATGTGATATTTGTTTTTCTGTGCTTGGCTTATTTCACTTAGCATAGTGACCTCCAGTTCCATCCATGTTGCTGCAAATGATAGGATTTCATTTTTTTTATGGCTGAATAATATTCCATTGTGTATATATGCCACATTTTTTAATCCATTCATCTCATTGATGGACACTTGGGTTGATTCCATGTTTTGTCTATTGTGAATAGTGCTTCAGTAAACATGAGAATACAAATATCTCTTTGATATACTAATTTCCTTTCTTTTGGATATATACCCAGTAGTGGAATTTCTGGATCATATGGTAGGTCTAGTTTTGAGAAACTTCCATATAGTTCCCATAGAGGCTGTGCTAATTTACATTTCCACCAACAGTGCACAAGTATTCCCCTTTCTCCACATCCTTACCAGCATATGTTATTCCCTGTCTTTTTGATTAAAAAAAAAACTGAAGTGAGATACCTCATTGTGATTTTGATTTGTACTTTCCTGATTATTTTGGATGTTGAACATTTTTTCGTATACCTGTTAGCTATTTGTATGTCTTCTTTTGAGAAATGTCTATTCAGATCTTTTGCTTATTTTAAAATTGGATTATTTGGGGTTTTTTGCTATTCAATTGTTTGAGTTCCTGATATATTCTGGTTATTAATCTCGGTCAGACAAGTAGTTTGCAAATATTTTCTCTCATTCTATGGGTTGTCTCTTCCGTTTGTTGAGTATTTCCTTTGCTATGCAGAAGCTTGTTAGCTCGATGTAATTCTGTTTGCCTATTTTTTCTTTGGTTCCCTGTACTTTTGTGGTCTTACCAAAAAATCTTTGCCCAAATCAATGTCCTGAAACGTTTTCTTCTAGTAGTTTCATAGTTTCAGGTCTTAGATTTAAGCCTTTAATTCATCTTGAGTTGATGTTTCTATATGGTAAGATATAGAGGTTAGCTTCATCCTTCTGCATATGGTTATCCATTTTTCCCAGCACATTTTATTGAAGAGACTCTCTTCTCCCCATTGTATGTCCTTGGTACTTCTGTTGAAAATGAGTTGGCTCTAAACATGTGGATTTATTTCTGGGTTCTGTATTCTGTGCCATTGGTCTATGTGTCTTTTGTTATGCCAGTACCCTTCTGTTTTGGTTACTATAGCTTTGTAATATATTTTGAAATCAAGTAGTATGATGTCTCCAGCTTTGTTCTTTTCGCCCAGGATTGCTCTGGCTATTTTGAATCTTGAATGGCTTCATACAAATTTTAGGATTTTTTTTTATTTCTGTGAAGAATGTCATTGGTATTTTGATAGGGGTTGTATTGAATTTGTAGATCACTTTGGGCAGTATGGACATTTTAATAATATTAATTATTCCAATCCATGAAATCTTAAATTTCTTTCATCAGTGTTTTATAGTTTACTTACATAGATTTTTCACTTCATTGGTTAAACTGATTCCTAGGTATTTTATACTCTTTGTAGCTATTATAAATGGGATTGGTTTCTTGATTTCTTTTTCAGATTGTTTGCTTTTAGCATATATAAATACAACTGATTTTTGTATGTTGATTTTTGTATCCTGCAACTTTACTGAATTCATTTACTACTTCTAACAGGTTTTTTTGTGGAATCTTTAGGTTTTTCTAAGTAAAAGATCATGTTATCTGCAAATAAGGCTAATTTGACTTCTTCCTTTCCAATTTGGAAGCCCTTTATTTCTTTCTCTTGCCTAATTGCTCTTGCTAGGACTTCCAGTATTATGTTGGCTAAAAGTAGTGAAAGTGGACATCCTTGTCTTGTTCCAGATCTTAGAGGAAAGGGTTTCAATTTCTCCTTATTCAGTATAATGTTAACTATGAGTTTCTCATCTATGGCCCTTATTATTTTGAGATGTTTTTTCTATATTCAGTTCGTTGAAGGTTTTTTTCATAAAGGGATGAATATTTTATTGAATGTTTTTCCAGCATGTATTGGAACGATCATATGGTTTTTGTTCTGGGTTCTGTTAATGTGATGTATCACATTCATTGATTTGCATATGTCGAACCATCCTTGCATTCCTTGGATGAATTCCACTTGATCATAGTGAATGATTTTTTTTTTTTTTGAGACAGCACCTCACTTTATCACCCATACTGGAGTACAGTGGCACGATCATGGGTCACTGCAGCCTCAACCCCCCAGGCTCAAATGATCCTCCCGCCTCAGCCTCCTGAGTAGCTGGGACTACAGACGCATGCCACCAAGCCCAGATAATATATTTTACTTTATGTTTGGTAGAGATAGGGTCTCACTATGTTACACAGGCTCCTTGAGTTACTCCTGTGCTCAAGCAATCCTCCTGCCTTGGCCTCCCAACTTGCTGGGATTACAGGCATGAGCCAGCATGCATACCCAGCATGCATGATCTTTAAATGTTGTTGAATTCAGTTTGATAGTATTTTGTTGAGCATTTTTGGGTTTGAGGTTTATTAGGGATATTGGCCTGTAGTTTTCATTTTTGTGTGTGGGTCCTTATCTGGTTTTGGTGTCAAGGTAATGGTGGCCTCTTAGAATGAGTTTAGATGTATTCCCTCCTCAATTTTTAAAAAGAGTTTGAGTAGAATTGGTATTAGTTTTTCTTTCAATGTTTGGTAGAATTCAGCAGTGAATCCATTAGATCCTGGGCCTTTCTTTGATGGGAGATTTTTTATTATGGCTTCACTCTCATTATTCATCATTGGTTTGGTGAGGTTTTTAATTTCTTCAATCTTGGCATGTTTTATGTATCCAGGAATTTTTCCATTTCTTCTAGGTTTTCTGATTTGTTGGTGAATACTCATTCACATTAGTCTCTAATGATTCCTTGTATTTCTGTGGTCTCAGTTGTTATGTCTCCTTTTCATTTCTGATTTTATTTATTTGGGTCTTCTCTTCTGAATTAGTCTGGCTAAAAGTTTGTCGATTTTATCTTTTCAAAAAAACAATTTCATTTTATATATATGTGTATATATATATATATTTGGTCTCCATTTTATTTAGTTCTGCTCTGATATTTACTACTTCTGTTCTTCTACTAATTTGGGGTTTGGTTTGTTCTTGTTTTTCTAGTTCCTTCTAGTTCCTTTCTAGTTCCTTCAGGGGCATTGTTAGGTTATTTGAAGTCTTTCTACTTTTTGATATAGATGTTTATTGCTATAAACTTTCCTCTTACTACTGTTATTGCTGTATCCTATAGATTTTGGTATGTTGTATTTGTACTTTCATTTGTTTCAAGAAATTCTTACATTTCTTTCTTAATTTCTTGTTTCATTAATTTCTTCATTTGTTCATTTCTTAATTGGTCATTTGGAAGCAAGTTGTTTAATTTTAACAGGTTGATGTAACTATTATTGTTTTTCATAGATATGTCTTTTGGGCTTCATATTAAAGCTGTTAGTAGATTGCACACCACAGTTACAGTATTAGAGTATTCTGGGTTTGCCCACATACTTAATTTTACCACTGGGTTTTAAACTTTCAAATATTTTCTATTTGCAACTTAGTGTTTTTACCTCTCAGATTGAAGAACTCCCTTTAGCATTTCCTGTAAGATGGGGCTGGTGCTGAATTCTGTGAACATTTTTCTGGGAAGGATTTTATCTCTTCTCTATATTTGAAAGATAGCTTTGCAGAATACAGTATTCTTGGATAGCAGTTTTTTTTTTTCTTTTTCTAACAGCACTTTGAAAATGTCCCATTTCCTCCTGGCCTGTATGGTTTTTGTTGAGAAGTCTGTTGCCAGAAAAATTGGAGCTCCTTCATATGTTATTTGTTTCTTTTTGCTGCTTTTGGGATCCTCTCTTTGTCGTCTGAGTTTGATTATTACATGCCTTGGGGTAGTCTTACTAAGGTTAAATCTGTTTGGTGTTCTCTGACCTTCCTGTACCTGGATATTTATCTCTTTCTGTTTTGGAAATTTTTCTGTTATTATTTCTCTGAATAAGCTTTCTACCTCTTGCTCTTGCCCAACTCCCTCTTGAACACACATAATTCTTAGATTTGTTTTGTGTTTTTGAGGTGGAGTCTTGCTCTGTTGCCCAGGCTTGAGTGCAGTGGTGCAATCTTGGCTCACTGCAACCTCTGCCTCCCAGGTTCAAGCAATTCTTTTGCCTCAGCCTCCCTAGTAGCTGGGACTACAGGAGTGCACCACCACACCCAGCTGAGTTTTGTATTTTTGGTAGAGACAAAATTTCGCCATGTTGGCCCGGCTAGTCTTGAACTCCTGACCTCAAGTGATCTGCCCACCTTGGCCTCCCAAAGTGCTGGGATTACAGGTGTGAGCCACTGTGTCCAGCCCTGAGATTTGATTTTTGAGGTAACTTTCTATATCTTGTAGGTGATCTTCCTTTTCATTGTTTTTTTACTTTTTTTTTTCTTCTGGCTGTGTCTTTTTAAATAGCCTGTCTTCAGGCTCACTGATTCTTTCCTCTGCTGAATCTATTCTGCTGTTGAGAACCACTAATGAATTTTTCAGTTTAGCAAATGTGTTTCTCAGTTCTAAGATTTCTATTTGATTTTTAAAATTATTTTAATCTCTGTTAAATTTCTCTGATAAATTTCTGAATTGCTATTCTGTGTTATCTTAGAGATCACTAAGTTTCCCTAAATCTGCTGTTTTGAATTCTTGGTCAGAAAGTTCACATAGCACTGTTTTTGTAGGTTTAGTCACTGGTTCTTTGCTTTGTGTGTCTGGAGAGGTCATGGTTCCCTGTTTACTATAGTTTCTTGTGAATCTATATCTATGTCTTTGTAATGAAGAATTAGTTACTTATTCCAGTCTTCTCTATCTGGCTTGTTTGGGTTTTTACTGTACATGTTTGCTCAGATTCTTTGTAATTTATTTATTGATAGTCTTCCCTCCACCCGTGACTAGGCTGCTATCTTCTTTTCAGCCCTGGATGGTGCCTTAAGCCCAGTTTGCCTGGCACTAATAAATAACCAGAGTGCCACCTGTCCCAAATGAGGGAGGTCCCAAAGTGGGTAGCCTGCTACTGTGAAAAGGCTGGCTAGGAGTTTGTGCCCAGGGTACCTGTGGAACAAACCTCCGACAGCACAGTGCTGATGAACAGTCACTCTCATTTGATATCTCTTTTGGCCAAGTCACTGAGCAGAGTTTTTAGGTGGGATGGTTGTCCTCTCTTTTTGCCCCTGTCTCTGGCTGTTCTCAAGGATATTTCTCCCTGGCTCACAGTTTTTACACTGGAAAAGTGAGATTGAGGTGGACAATCAGCTTTCTCACCATCTTGGGTTCCCTGGCAGGAGTCCTGTTCCTGCCTCAACCCTTGGGAAGCATCAGCAGTGCCTGAAATACCACACACTTGGTGACAGGCAGATTGAGGAGAGGTGCATTGTAAATATGTAAGTTCAATTCTCTTACCACCTGCTTGTAATTTTTTCACTTCTCTGTGGCTTCAGGAACTGTCTCATCCTCCTATTGGAGTTCAGGAATTTTGCTGGTGATAATGTTAGGGGCTGTATATTTGTTTTTGGGTTTCTGTAGAAAAAAAGTGAAGCCAGCTTGCTTATAACCCACCATTTTGGAACCAGAAGTCTCATAAATTCTTTAATTCCATTAGACTATTTCCATGTGATGTGAAAAAGATGACAATTCAATTTTCAGCCTCTGCTTTTTTATTTCTATGGTTCTTGCTCTTTATAACTAATTAATTTTCAGTAACTGTCATGGGCTATAATCAGTCACTATGAATCAGAAGTAAAATTCAGCTCATGTGAGAAATTATTTAGGAGCTTTCACTTAGCTTTTAGGTAGAACATTTAATTAAGTTAAAAGAAAATGGCAAAGTTCTACTACTTTAGGTTCTTTGATAAAGAAAAATTTAGTCTGTTACTGCAATAATACCAGCCAATGCCATAAAGATTACAGAGGCTATGTGTCATCATTTCTTTCTTTCAAAAATCCCCAGTTTTAGAATTTTACTCATTAAAAGACAGAGTATCTGAGACTTCTCCATAAAAGAATAAAAATAGAAGTTGATTTGTTGTATCACGTTTTTCTTAGCATATTTCATTTAGAAAATATTTTGAAATTGACTTGCCATATACTAGTTCAGTAATTTTAATAAGTCATGTCAAAACTAATAAATAGGTTATTTCAATAAAAATAAATGATATTGTATAGGATTAGAATAAATATAATTTATTAAGAAAAAGGTAATATGTCCTCTATAATAAATTGCTAAAGCTCTTGGTAAAAAAAAATTGGTTAAATTCCTGTAAGTTGAGAGATGTGGAATTTTTTTAAGTTGTGATTCTCAAATTTTGGTGTGAATGAGAGTCCCATCTCTAAAGATTCTTATTCAGTAGGTCTGATATATAGCTTGGGGATTTACATTTATGATTCTGAAGCAAATATTCTTTTGACTATACTGTATTAGTGGTGAGAAAAAATACTCAAAAGTGATTGGTGATTACTGAATCATGGCTGGAAAATAGTATTAATGGGAAAAATAGTATAATCAGTTAATCTGAAAAAAGCAAAGTTGAACAAATACAGTGCATCTAAGAGTACATTTAAGGTAACTAAGATACAGGAAACTGGTCACCAGTTATTTATTATTTTTTTAAAAAGTAGCCAGGTGTGGTGGTTCATGCCTGTAATACCAGCACTTTGGGAGGCCATGGCAGGAGGATCACTTGAGCTCAGGAATTCTAGACTAGCCTAGTCACCATAGTGAGACACTGTCTCTACCCCCGCAAAAAAAAAAAAAAAAAAAAAAATTAGCTGGGTGTAGTGGCACACACCTGTAGTCCCAGCTACTCAGGAGGCTGATGTAGGAGGATCACTTGAGCCAGGAGTTCAAGCCACAGTGAGCTATGATTACGCCACTGCATTCCAATCTGGGCAACAAATCAAGACCCTGTCTCAAAAGTAAGTAAATAAATAAAACAAAAAAGTAAGAAAAAAAAAGATTTATTTTTCAGTTAGTAGGTTTAGGATTACACTATAAATAAAATTTCCCAGCATTGGGACTCTAGTTTGTCTCTTGCTTTGACACCATCCGATCTCACCAACTCCACTTCACTTGATTCCTAAGGAGCCTCTGCCAAAGTTTTCTTTGCAACTAACACACCATTAGGAAACATTTTTTTCAATCAGCCATTCTCTACTATCTAGCGTTCTCTTTTTTCCCCCCACTGGGGTAATTTCTTTTAAGATGATTTACAGTGAGAGAAGATGAGTTATATTTCAAAGTTTATTTTCTTTCAAGGAAACCTACAAACAGCAGATATCCGTTTAGTTTAAGTTACTTAACTGCCTTTCTTAGTCGTTTTTTGATAATGAAAGAGATTTATGTATGATTCAGGAACCTTTCAATTCAGTTAAGACATCGGGATTGTCTCTTCTAGCTTTCAGTTCTTGATCATGCACTTCAGAATATCCCCAGCAATCACAATCTATGCAGAAAATTCTTCAATCTATTTTCTTTCATGTGTTTTTGGAAAGAACTCAAATATTTTTAAAAAGGGGTGGGTGGAGGTTGGGGAACAGAGATATAACAGTGTCTCAGATTTTGTTCTGCTTCTATGTTCTCTCTCTCTCTTTCCCTCTCCCTCTCTTTCTTTTTCTTTTTTAAAGTCAGTTCTCCAGAGCCTCTGTTTTCATTATTGCTGTCTCTTTGTACTCCGTATCTGGCTACATTCAAGTATGTTACAGAGTTTTTATACAGATCTTTCACTCCCTATTTTTCTAGCACATTATTGCTGGTCATAGGAGTGGAATGTCAAAGAAAACGCAACCCAGTGTGGGAAAGAAATTTATAATCTAGATACTCCTAGTATTTTATTTTACAAAGAAAATTGACATAATAGAATCTATTTGTTCTACACTGTTTCTATAACAAAATCACAATTTCTAGATTAGTCATGTTTCAAAAGAAACCGTGGAAAGTGGAATGTATAAATAATTCAACAAATACACAGTCAGCCCCTCCATATCTGTGTGTTCCGCATCCATGGCCTTACTCAACCACAGACAGAAAATTTTTTTTTTTAAAAAAGAAAAGATGGCTGCATCTATACTGAACACATACAGACTGTTTTCCCTTGTTAGTCCCTAAACAATACAGTATAACAACAATTTGCTTGGGATTTACATTGTATTAGGTATTATAAGTAAACTAGAGCTAATCTAAAGTGTATGGGAAGATGAATGTAGGCTATATACAAGTACTTACTGCAACATTTTATATCAGAGATTTGACTGTCTCTGGATTTTTGTATCATGGGAGGTCCTGGAATAAGTCTCCCACAGATACTGAGGGACGACTATACTTCTAAGTTTTGCTAATGTCGTTAATCATATTTTGCCAATAAAGTCCATCTACCTGAAATTAGATATATTTTTGCTTACACTATGCAAAGTCTCTAACGTTAGATGAAAATGAATAATTATTATTATTTGGTACATTTCAGTTACTTCCCCTACCCCCACCCCCATTTTATTACATCTGTTTACTGTGATTTATAGGTCCTGTCCTTAGCAATAGAGTCAAGAAATCTACCTGTATTGTTGAGGTATATATTAGCTAGGATATTTCCAACTACAAGTAACAAAATGTATAACTAAAAGTGTCTTAAACAAAACATTTATTATGTTGTGTGCACGGAAGTCTCAAAGCCAGTTGATTCAGTAGCTTAAGCATGCTCCCAAGGACCCAGGCTGTTTTCAGCTTCTTTCCACCACTCTCCACTTGTTGGACTTTGTCCTTAAGCTTTTGCCTTCATAATTGAAAAAGGCCGTCCTTGCTGCTGACACTGGGTTCTCACACAATCACAACCAAATATAGGGAGGACTATCTCCCTTTTCATCTCTTGAATGGGGAAGAAAAGACTTTCTTGAAAGCTCTCATCTTCACCTTCTCGTCAGACTCCTCAGACTTTCTGGTCCCATGTATTTTGGTAGCCTATACCCTTGCTAAAAGCGGTGGAGCGAGTGTCTGGTATTTTTAAACTTTATAGTGGGAAGTGGTTTCATAGAAGACAAAAACTGGAATAGTAATAGGCAGTGGAGAAAATCACTATGGTGATATTTTTGACAGCTCCCCAGAGCCTTCATAAATGTGTGAAAATGGTAATCTGAAACTTTATGGTGACTTAATAAATGAGTTTTATTCATTATTCTAAACTTTGACAAATGTATTTTCTATTTTGAAATATACACACTGACTCAAAATGGGAGTTGCTTCTGCACCAATTATGTATTTTTCCCCTATTAATCCTGTTGAGTAGATTGAGATAACATCTTTATTTTAAATCATTCAATTTCCTAAATAGCAAAATTGCAAATACTTTTTATTCTTTTGTTTTTGAGATGGAGTTTTGCTCTGTCACCCAGGCTGGAGTGCAGTGGTGCCATCTTGGCTCACTGCAACCTCCACCTCCTGGGTTCAAGCGATTCTCGTGCTTCAACCTCCTGAGTAGCTGGGACTACAGGTGCACTGCACCACACCCAGCTAATTTTTTTTCTTTTTGTATTTTTTAGTAGTGATGGGGTTTCATCATGTTGGCCAGGCTAGTCTCAAACTCCTGACCTCAGGTGATCCGCCCACCTTGGCCTCCCAAAGTGCTGGGATTACAGGTGTGAGCCACCGTGCCCATCCACAAATACTTCTTATTCTTATAATAAAATAAGAAAAATTCGATAAAGGAGGATGGGTTATCATGAGGAAAGTAAGGAAAAGATAATAGGAATGGCAGAAAAAGAAAGAGGAGATAAAAAAGGAGAGGTGGGGTGGAAAGAGCAGTGACTAATCCAGATGGTCCAGTGTGAGAAAGCTGGGTTAACTAGGTCACTTGCCACTTGGAATGACAGGCAGGATAAGCCATTAAGACAGTGGAGCAAATAGAAGGAAAGAGGGAGGATGTAGACTCCTTTTTCAGGCATGCATTCTGCAGGTTAGAATTTGTCTCTCCTAACCACATTGTGGTTGTGTCCCTGGAACTACATGTTCATATATCTTGGCATTAGGATTCTGATGGCACTCCTTTTTTTTTTCTTTTCACTTAAAGATAATTTGCCTAACACTAATGTTTAAAACAATCCATTTAAAATTTAAGCCTCTTAACTTATTTCAGCAATAATTAAAGCAAGGTTAGAATAGGCCAAGGAAAATTTTATACCCTGAGTTTCAAAGGGCCAGACCTAAGTAATGAGGGCTTCATAAATATGTATTCCTCTATGTAAAATCTAAGCCCACTTTAGGGCAAACAGCTCATCTAAACATACTAATTTTCTTGGATTTGTTTTAAGATTTAGAGGTTACTCCTTCCCCTCCATTTCACTGTTTCACCTGATTCTTGCCTTTTCCTAGTTTTCCCTCTTTCTACTTTTTGCTGTATATAGTAAGTACTGAAATATTATAGGTACTTTTCATTATTTTTCAATCTTGAGTAATACCAATGAGAGAATCTTGTTAAAATTCTTTGTTGTGATAGCGATCTTTTATGTTAAACAGATTTTTGTTACTCTTAATCTTTATATCTATCATGAAGTAAAACAGATTTAGAAAGCTATACAAAAATAAATGTGTGCTTAGTGGGTTATTATACAGCAGACATGCTGGTAGCCATCACCCAAATCAAGAAGTAGAATTTTCCAGCTACTCCAGCTCTCCATGTGCCTTGTCCCAATTTCAAACCTCTTCCTACTCCAAAAATATCCACCATCCTGATTTTTATAATAATCACTTTCATGTGTTTGTTTATAGTTGTATGAACCAAGTGTACATCCATAGACACTATATTTTTGCCCATTAATAATTGTTTTGGTTGTCCCTTAAGTCTCTCATATCCACCTGTTCACCCCTCCACTTTCTCTTTTCCTTATGATATATCTATTGAAAAACTAGAGCTGTTTGATATGTAGTTTCCCACAGCTGAGTATCACTGTTTTCATACTTACAGTGCAGTTTGGCATGTGCCTCTGTTCTCTGTTCCTGAAAACTGGCAACTGGATTCAAAGGCTTCCGCAGACTTGGGTTTTATCCCTTTCAGTGAGGCTATAGGTTTTGTGTGTGTTCTTTCATAAAATGTCTGACTGACTCTCTTTTTGT
Source organism: Homo sapiens (assembly GCF_000001405.40). Lineage (NCBI taxonomy): Eukaryota > Metazoa > Chordata > Mammalia > Primates > Hominidae > Homo > Homo sapiens. Next base: position 190,549,288 of record NC_000002.12, read on the forward strand.
GACATTAGGAACTATTGATATCTAGATCCACTAATTCATTGGAGGTTGCAAAATGTTGACACTCAAATTCCGTGATTTCTTTTTCATATATTAGTTGGAATACTTTTATAAGGAAATGGATCTCCTCATCTACTATTTGGCTACCCAATGGTGCAGTTCATGTAGAAAAGGCAGGATAAGTGATTGGTTCTTTTCCCCTAATTTACCAGTTTTCAAGATAATTAATTGGTTCCTTTTCATCCTCTGAAGCTGAACAATTCTTTGTTTTTTTGAATAATATTATCATGAACTCATGGATTTCTATATATTTAATAAGATTTCGATGAATAGCAATTATTACTTTTTTTTTCCTGAAGCTCAAATTGTCCTATCTTCGACCAATAGGATTCTCTTCAAGTTGGCTCCTGAGCCCTTTTGACATATCCTAGTAAATTTTTGCCAGTTTCTTTGATATCTGATATCAGATATTCCAGGATCATTTGTATGGTTCCTTCCCTAGACATGGAATCCGTCATGTCTCCAAAAAGTCCTGATATATTTGAAATTAGATTTCAAAGCAAAACGTTTGGGAAATAAAATTTCAAGACTACAGTCCAGGCATTAATGCTTGGTTCTACCTGGTTGGTTATTGTTTCTGCAACTTTTCAGTAGCAGAACTAGAAAGCCTGTCTACTGATAAGTATACATATTGATATAACTCTACAAATAAAATATCTAATGATCACACTGATATTTCTAATGAAAGTTCAGGACTATGGGGTTTTTTACATAGCTTTATTTATACTACATTGCATCTCTTTTCCCCATATCAAGATTCCTAGTTCCCAGGTATACAGTAGATGACAGTGTCTTAATCTGTTTGGGGTGCTATAACAAAATACTATAAACTGGATAGCTTACAAAGAACAGATATTTATTTTTGACAAATCTGAAGGTTGGGAAGTCCAGGATCAAGATACCGGTAGATTCCATGTCTGGTGAGGGCCTGTTTCCCAGTTTATAGGTGGCTCCTTCTTACTATGTCCCCACCTGGTGGAATGGGTGAACAAGCTACCTGGTGCATCTTTTATAAGGGCACTAATTCCATTCATGAGGGCTCTGCTCTCACAACCTAATCCCCCGACAAGGCCCTACCTCCTAATACTATCACCTTGGGGGTTAAGATTTCAACATATAAATTTTGGGGGGACACAAACATTCAAACCATAGCGATGAAATTAGAATATCTCATAATTACTCATTAACTTTATTCCACGTTACACACACAACAGGATCAGAATAATAATACACATACTACTACCAATAGCATAAGAACAAAATACAGCTTAAAGTACTTTTTTCATATCATCTCCCTTCTCTATTTTTTAATAGCAGTGCTATATCTGCATTTTGTACAAATGTAGCCTTTACATGTTATGCTCTCTCTTAACTCACACTTATTATTAGTTTCAGGTAACTGTCTTTAATGTATACCATCAGTCCTCATGTTGATATATCTTTTAATGATCTGAAACTCATTCACTAGAATCTTTAGGAAGGGCTAAAAAACAGTATTCTCAAAGTTTTTGTCTTCACTCGTTTGTGTGGATGCCTGGTAACCTAGTCATTGTAAATATTGTTCAGTGGCTTTTATAGTTGAGCATTTTAATGTTGGTTCATATTGTATTCCTTGAGTCTCTTTAGTATGTTATTCTGTTTTCTTTTGGCATAAAGTATTGTTGTAAAAAATATGATGGTAATCTAATCTTCTTACCCTTACAAATCACTTGCTGGTTTTGACTTCATAGCCAATGGACTTTTTTTTTTTTTTTTTAAGTTCATCCATCTTACTAGAAATACATCTTGGTGTTATTTGTTGTAGGTCAATATTCTCAGCTACATAGTGTGCTTTTTCAACATATAGTTTCATATTATTGTTTAGGGAAAATTTTCTCCAACTATAGTTTTAAATATTTGTTTTGTCCCCTTGTTTTACTTTTCTTCTTCATAGATTCTGGTTATTTGTGGTTGAATCTTCTCATCCATCTTCAATATTTGTCAATTTCTCTCTAATGGTTTTAATCTTTTTCTTTATTTCTTTTTCATTTAATTTTTTTTTCTTCTTTTTTCAATTTTCTATTTCTCCTAGGGCAAAGTTTGTTTTGTTTTCTTTGCTCTTCTGTTTCTCCTAGTATAGTTTCATTTCTGAAATAATTTTTATTTTATTTCTAATTGTCCCCTGAGTTCTGCCACCTCAATTCTGAGTTTTTAAAATTTGGATTAATGTTTGCATTTCATTTCTTGTATCATTTTCTTAATGTATTTTAGCTTCTTTTGAAATAGAAAGTTATAGTTTAGATTTGTTCTGTGAGCATGTCTTTCTTGTGTAGGGATTTTTCTGCTCATTTTTTCCCCTTAGGAATAAGTGCAAGAGATTTCGCCTCAATACTTTTCTGTTTTAAATTTTTACATGAAAGTGTCTTTCCATAACTGTTAGTAGGACTGATTCGTGATTTTTGGGTAGCTTCTCTAACTTCACACAAACTCCCTCTTCTGTTGTTTTTATGTATTAAAAAGAGTCAGCTTGCCGTATAAGATTTCCTGGTTCTATTCCCTCCTCTCCCGTTATCTGGGCCTCCTTTATCAGTTGTTCTGCTATCCATGTCTCTGTCCAGCTCCATTTTGATTCCACTTGGTATTTCTCTTTAGTGTGACCCAGTCCTGGAAGGGAATCCTGGAAGGGAGCCCGGGCAGGTCATGTTTCTAGAGAGAAATCGTAAGATCTAGATTGCTTAAGCACTCTCAGTCTTTGTAGCAGACCTTTTGCACTCACAACTTGTGGGTTGGGCAAGACCTACCCACGTGTTTCCCAGTAAATAGCTGTTGCTGTTTTGGGCTTCCCTCATTCTCAAGTCTGTCAAAGTCTGTCAAGTTTCATTGCTTCCCCCCTTGCTTCCTCCTGCTCAGATGCTGATATAATTCAGGTCTTGTGGCTGTTTGGTGGTTCGTCTTCATTCATCAGTGTGGATGCCTGGTAACTAGTCATTATAAATATTGTCTCTGAGTTTTTTATTTTGTTAAGTAGTTACTCTGTTTTTATGTTGAGATTTGGATTTTAAAATATACTGCTGCCACTGTCATCTTCCCAGAACCCACTGAATAGATTAAAAATATTCTCTTCTTTGGCTGGTCAAGGTGGCTCCTGCTGTAATCCCAGTGCTTTGGGAGGCTAAGGCAGGAGGCCAGGAGTTCAAGACAAGCCTGGGTAACATACCAAGACCCCATCTCTACCAGTGAAAGAAAAATAGCCAGGAGTGGTGGCACACACCTATAATCCCAGCTACTTGGGAGGCTGAGGCAGAAAGATTGCTTGATTCCAGGAGTTCGAGGCTACAGTGAGCTATGATCCCACCACTGCACTCCAGCTTGGGCAATAGAGTGAGAACCTATCTCAAAAAAAAAAAAATTCTCTTTGCTACGTAGAATCCCCATTTTCACAAGAATCAGAAATGGTAAATTGGTATTAACTTTCTAAGCTTTGATAATGTAATTGTAACTTCAACAGTTTAGGGAATGTGTTCTCAATGTTATAAAATCCTCTAAGAATTGTATAGCAGTGTATTTTTTTCAGTCTACTGCTGGTATGGTTAAAGAGAGAAAATATCTGTGTCCTAGAACCAGTTAAAAAAAATTAAGTGTTCCAAGTATTAATGGAAACCAAATTTACACAAAACTTTGGTACAAAGCAGTTCGTAAGCAGAATATTATAAAAATAACAATTTCTTTTTTTTTTTTGTGAGGGGTTTTCCTGGAAAAGCTGCTAGACAAATTCTAAAAGAGCTGTAACACTAAAAAACAACAATTCTTATTATTGTAGAGGAAGAGGTCTATTTACACAGTGTTTTCACATACACTACCTCATTTAATCCTCAAAATAGTCCTCTTAGGGAGATACTGTTATTATGCATTCCATTCTTCGTCAGAAAAAAAAAATTGAACTTAGAGAACTCAAATGACTTGATTTAAGATTGTAGCAAGAAGGACTCTTACCACCTCTACCTGCAAAGTGTTCACTTTTCCACCAAGGGCTCAGCTTTGGTGAGATCCCTGTGTAGCATGTGGAAAGAAGTAGAAACCTGCCTAGTCAGCTCTATCAGTCATATACTCCCAGAGGACCCACAGGGTGACAGGTGCTGCAGGCAGATCACTCTCATGGTCTGGCTAAAAGCTTTGTCTAGCACCTTAAAGCCTGTAAGTGACAGGAGTGGCATTTGAATTGAGGTTTTCTGACTACAAATCCTCTGGTTTGCTTTTTCGTGCTAGCTAACATCCACTTCAGCAGAGAGCTTTGTGGAGCCTGTAGCTTGAGCAGCTCCAGGTGGCATCACAAAATCTGCGTGTTGCTGAACATGAGTAGCTTTGATTCATGATAGGTGTGAGAGGACCATGTCAGAACATTTCTGGTGATTGTGGCAGCATTTCTCAAACATTTACTCCTGAGTGCTCCGAGAGGCAGAGAGGAGGATCCTGTCCTACATCTCCATGGACTCTTTTATTACATTCTAATATTTTTACCTTAAAATTCATGCTGAGAGAGATTGCTGGCAAGATGGCTGAATAGGAACAGCTCTGGTCTACAACTTCCAGTGAGATCAATGCAGAAGGCGAGTGATATCTGCATTTCCAACTGAGGTACCCAGTTCATCTCACTGGGACTGGTTGGGCAGTGGGTGCAGCCCAAGGAGGGCGAGCTGAAGCAGGGTGGGGCATCGCCTCATCCGGGAAGCACAAGGGGTCAGGGGAACTCCCTCTCCTAGCCGAGGGAAGTCATTAGGCACTGTACCATGCACTCCGGCCCAGATACTGCGCTTTTCCCACAGTCCTCACAACCCACAGACCAGGAGAGTCCCTCCAGTGCCTACGTCACCAGGGCCCTGGGTTTCCAGCACAAAACTGGGCAGCTGTTTGGGCAGATACCGAGCTAGCCGCAGGAGTTTTTTTTTCATACCTCAGTGCGCCTGGAACACCAGGGAGACAGAACCGTTGACTCCCCTGGAAAGGAGACTGAAGCCAGGGAGCCAAGTGGTCTGGCTCTGCAGGTCCCACCCCCACAGAGCCTAGCAAGCTAAGATCCACTGGCTTAAAATTCTTGCTGCCAGCACAGCAGTCTGAGCTCGACCTGGGACTCTGGAGCTTGGTGGAGGGAAGGGTGTCCACCATTGCTGAGGCTTGAGTAGGTGGTTTTACCCTCACAGTGTAAACAAAGCCACCAGGAATTTCAAACTGGGCGGAGCCCACTGCAGCTCAGCAAGGCCTCTGCAGCCAGATTGCCTCTCCAGGTTCCCTCCTCTCTGGGCAGGGCATCTCTGAAAAAAAGGCAACAGTCCCAGTCAGGGACTTATAGATAAAACCCCCACTTCCCTGGGACAGAGCACCTGGGGGAAGGGGCGGTTGTGGAGGCAGCTTCAGCAGACTTAAACGTCCCTGCCTGGCAGCACTGAAGAGAGCAGTGGATCTCACAGCACAGTGTTCAGGCTCCGATAAGGGACAGTGTGCCTCCTCAAGTGGGTCCCTGACACCCAGGTATCCTGACTGGGAGACACCTCCCAATAGGGGCCGACAGACACCTCATACAGGAGAGCTCTGGCTGGCAACTCGTGGGTGCCCCTCTGGGACAAAGCTTCCAGAGGAAGGAACAGGCAGCAATCTTTGCTGTTCTGCAGCCTCTGCTGGTGATACCCAGGCGAACAGGGTCTGGAGTGGACCTCCAGCAAGCTCCAGCAAGCTCCAGCAGACCTGCAGCAGAGGGGCCTGACTGTTAGAAGGAAAACTAACAAACAGAAAGGAATAGTATCAACATCAACAAAAAGGACATCCACTCAGAGACCCCATTTGAAGGTCCCCAAATTCAAAGACCAAGGGTAGATAAATCCACAAAGATGGGGAAAAACCAGTGCAAAAAAGCTGAAGATTCCAAAAACCAGAATGCCTCTTCTCCTCCAAAGGATCACAACTCCTTGCCAGCAAGAGAACAAAACTGGACAGAGAATGAGTTTGACAAATTGACAGAAGGAGGCTTCAGAAGGTGGGTAATAACAAACTCCTTCGAGCTAAAGGAGCATGTTCTAACCCAATGCAAGGAAGCGAATAGCCTTGAAAAAAGGTTAGAAGAATTGCTAACTAAAATAACCAGTTTAGAGAAGAACACAAATGACCTGATGGAGCTGAAAAACACAGCACAAGAACTTCATGAAGCATACATAAGTATCAATAGCCAAATTGATCAAGCAGAAGAAAGGATATCAGAGATTGAAGATCAACTTAATGAAATAAAGCGAGAAGACATGCTAAAAAAAAAGAATGAAAAGGAACAAACAAAGCCTCCAAGAAATATGGGACTTTGTGAAAGATCAACTCTACATTAGATTGTTGTACCTGACAGTGACAGGGAGATTGGAACCAAGTTAGAAAACACTCTTCAGGATATTATCCAGGAGAACTTCCCCAACCTAGCAAGGCAGGCCAACATTCAAATTCAGGAAATACAGAGAAATTGAGGCAGCAATTAATAGCCCACCAACCAAAAAAAGTCCAGGACCAGATGGATTCACAGCTGAATTCTACCAGAGGTACAAAGAGGAACTGGTACCATTCCTTCTGAAACTATTCCAAACAATAGAAAAAGAGGGAATCCTCCCTAACTCATTTTAGGAGGCCAGCATCGCCCTGATACCAAAACCTGGCAGAGACACAACAAAAAAAGAAAATTTCAGGCCAATATCCCTGATGAACATTGATGCGAAAATCCTCCATAAAATACTGTCAACCCAAATCCAGCAGCACATCAAGAAGCTTATGCACCATGATCAAGTTGGCTTCATCCCTGGGATGCAAGGCTGGTTCAACAAACACAAATCAATAATTGTGATCCATCACATAAAACAGAACCAATGCCAAAAACCACATGATTATCTCAATAGATGCAGAAAAGGCCTTTGACAAAATTCAACAGCTCTTCATGCTAAAAACTCTCAATAAACTAGGCATTGATGGAACGTATCTCAAAATAATAAGAGCCATTTATGACAAACCCACAGCCAATATCATACTGAATGAGCAAAAATTGGAAGCATTCCCTTTGAAAACCGGCACAAGACATGGATGCCCTCTCTCAACACTCCTATTCAACACAGTATTGGAAGTTCTGGCCAGGGCAATCAGGCAAGAGAAAGAAATAAAGCATATTTGATTAGGAAGAGAGGAAGTCAAATTGTCTCTGTTTGCTGATGACATGATTGTATCTTTAGAAAACCCCATTGTCTCAGCCCAAAATCTCCTTAGGCTGATAAGCAACTTCAGTAAAGTCTCAGGATACAAAATGAATGTGCAAAAATCACAAGCATTCCTATACACCAATAGCAGACAAACAGCCAAATCATGAGTGAACTCCCATTCACAATTGCTACAAAGATAATAAAATACCTAGGAATACAACTTACAAGGGATGTGAAGGACCTCTTCAAGGAGAACTACAAACCACTGCTCAAGGAAATAAGAGAGGACACAAACAAATGGAAAAACATTCCAGGCTCATGGATAGGAAAAATCAATATCATGAAAATGGCCATACTGCCCAAAGTAATTTATAGATTCAATGCTATCCCCATCAAGCTACCATTGACTTTCTTCACAGATCTAGAAAAAATTACTTTAAATTTCATATGGAACCACAAAAGAGCCCACATAGTCAAGACAATCCTAAGCAAAAAGAACAAAGCTGGAGGCATCATGCTACCTGTCTTCAGACTATACTACAAGGCTATAGCAATAAAAACAGCATGGTACTGGTACCAAAACAGATATGTAGACCAATGGAACAGAACAGAGGCCCCAGAAATAATGCCACACATCTACAACCATCTGATCTTTGACAAACCTGACAAAAAACAAGCAATGGGAAACAATTCCCTATTTAATAAATGGTATTGGGAAAACTGGCTAGCCATATGCAGAAAGCTGAAATTGGATCCCTTCCTTACACCTTATAAAAAATTAATACAAGATGGATTAAAGACTTAAACGTAAGACCTAAAGCCATAAAAACCCTAGAAGAAAACCTAGCCAATACCATTCAGGACATAGGCATGGGCAAAGACTTCATGACTAAAACACCAAAAGCAATGGCAACAAAAGCCAAAATTGAAAGTGGGATTAATTAAACTAAAGAGCTTCTGCACAGCAAAAGAAACTATCATCAGAGTGAACAGGCAACATACAAAATGGGAGACAATTTTTGCAATGTATCCATCTGATAAAGGGCTAATATCCAGAATCTAAAAAGAACTTAAACAAATTTACAAGGAAAAAAAAACAACCCCATCAAAAAGTGGGCAAAGGATATGAACAGATGCTTCTCAAAAGAAGACATCTATGTGGCCAACAAACATATGAAAAAATGCTCATTATCACTGGTCATTAGAGAAATGCAAATCAAAACCACAGTGAGATAGCATCTCACGCCAGTTAGAATGGCAATCATTAAAAAGTCAGGAAACAAAAGATGCTGGAGAGGATGTGGAGAAATAGGAACGCTTTTACACTGTTGGTGGGAGTGTAAATTAGTTCAACCATTGTGGAAGACAGTGTGGTGATTCCTGAAGGACCTAGAACTAGAAATACCATGTGACCTAACAATCCCATTCCTGGGTATATACCCAAAGGATTATAAATCATTCTACTATAAAGACACATGCACACATATGTTTATTGCAGCACTGTTCACAATAGCAAAGACTTGGAACCAACCCAAATGCCCATCAATGATAGACTGGATAAAGAAAATGTGGCACATATACACCATGGAATACTATGACGCCATAAAAAGGATGAGTTTATGTCCTTTGCAGGGACATGGATGACACTGGAAACCATCATTCTCAGCAAACTAACACAAGAACAGAAAACCAAACACTGCATGTTCTCACTCATAAGTGGAAGTTGAATAATGAGAACACATGGACACAGGGAGGGGAATATCACCCACCGGGGCCTGTTTGGGGTTAGGGGCTAGGGGAGGGATAGCATTAGGAGAAATACCTAATGTAGATGACGGGTTGATGGGTGCAGCAAACCACCATGGCACATGTATACCTATGTAACAAACCTGCACGTTGTGCACATGTACCCCAGAACGTAAAGGATAATAAAAAAAATTCATGCCAACTTTAAATTCTATTTTGTAATATATCTGTGCTATTTAGATACTAAAAGAATATTTTGCACTACTTGCCAGCAGGTAAAATTGTTATAGCTGGTAATAATACAGGTTTATCCAGTGGCTCTTAGTACCTTCTGGCATACCACCATGTAACCCTAAAGTGGAAGCCAAGAGAAGGAGTGAAGAGAAGTAGGCTGCAGACTCATCATAGGAGTTTGAAGATTCTGCTAAACATTTGGGCTTTATTATGTGGAAAAAGAGGAGCCGATGAAGTATTTCAAAAAATAAAGTAAACTGATAGGATTTGTGTTTTAGATGAATGGCTTTTGAACTTCTTTGATCACCATCACCTATTAATAAGGAAGACACTTTGCATGCTAATTCATACACAGATTATGGATAGCATATATATATGTGTATATATGAATATTATATGTAAAGAAAATATGATGAAACTTTTTTTACCCTCGCATTTTCCATTTTAATCTATTTCATCTAGAAAAGCTAATGTGATTCACTAAATTGGTTGCACTTCACAATGTTTTCTTACTTTGGTGGCAGTATGTAAGAAGGATGGTAGAAGGGAAATAGCAAGAACATTCAAAGTGAAGATAGGCCAGAATAATAGAATATAAAGCAAGACAGTGGCAGTGGGATGGAGCTAAAATCCACTGGAATTGGTTACCAGTTATCCATGAAGATAATGTTGGGTTTCTGGCTTGATTGAATGGCCATTCTATTTACTGGAGACTAGGAAAGCAGAAAATGTAAGTTTGGAAAGAAAGATAATTGACTTCCATTTGGAAGTGATTTTGAAGTATATGGAAAGCCTCTAATAGGTAACTGGATAGGAGAGTTGCAGCTCAGGAAGAAGGTGTGAGTGGGAGAGAAAGATGAAAGATTCAGGACCCTTGAGCGTATGAGTTCTGATGGAAGCCAAGGGAATAGAGATGAGGTTGTCAGGGTGAGTGTAGAGAGTCAAATGAGAAGGCCAAGGAGAGAACAGAGAGAACCCTGAAGAACACCTTCACTTCAGAGGATGAAGAAGAAGAGCCTGCAACAGAAATGGGCAAGCAAACCAGGAGAGTAGAGTGTCACATAAGCCAAAGAAGAGGACGTTTCAGGAGGGAACAGTCAGCAGTGTCCAATGCTAGAGGAAGGTCTGGTAAGACAAGGTCTAGCAATTAGGAAGCTATTATATTCTCAGAGTTAGCAACAAAAAGAGGTGGTGGTTTAGGCATGCAGTTGTGAGGAGAAGGGTGGTAAACATAGCAGGTATGTCCTGGGAGGTGAGTGGAGAGGAGTATCCTGGCCCCTGGCAGCAGGTCCAGAAGTAGGTGAGGTTTGGCTGCTCCAGGGAGGTAGCTGGCACCCGGGAAATCTGTCAGCCATTGCAGAGTTGCAAGCTTTGCTCTGGGATTCAGATGCAGATAGGCAGTATCTAAAAGGAGGAGGTGAGTGAGGCAGAAGCTCAGTCCTAAAAGGGTGGCAGTTCTGGTCAGGTCTCCAAGCCTGCAGCTGATGCACAGGGATTTAGGCTGGTATCAGCTCTGGTGTGCAATGTGTGGGCCAGACTCAGGACATAAAGCAGAAGACCACTTGTAAGTACTGATGCAGAAGATCAGGGCAAAAATGAGAAGCCAGGTGAGTTGCTGTGTTAGAGATAAAAACTACTTCCATTTCTTCAGCCTGGAAAGAGGACTGATTTAAGGTAGGAGCCCGTGGGTGGGAGTCAAGCAGTTTTGCTGCTGGGATAGGAATGCTTCAGAGGGTTGAAAGCAGTAGGCAGAGGCAAATCATGAATGCAGTGGTCTCCAGGCTGGTGTTCATCACTAGATCACACTTCTTTTTTTCTTTATTCAACTGCCTATATGACTAGCTTCTCAAATGCTCATCGGTTTTAACATCTCATTGTTCTCTCATCTCAGTGTGTTAAATACAATTTCTATATCTACTCATTTCTACTTGCATGTTAGTCATTTTATCTTTTTTAAAATTATACTCTAACAGCATACATAATGTAAAATTAAAGAAAATATGACATTTGTCCTAATTATTTTGGATCACCTTCTTTTAAAAACAAACTGAGCATCTGGATTAAAATTTTGTACATCTGAACCAATATGCCACTTGATCTTAGGTGATACCTTCTTTTTTACCTCAACAAATATTTATTGAGAGCCTACTCTGGACAAGGAATTTATTAACTTCTAACCAAAAAATGTTAATTAGTCTGTTGTTTGAAGTGCCATCGACTTATTGTGCATTTGGTTCATTCATATAACATCCTCAAGGTGTGTAGGAAGATTAGCCACTTTGACTCAATCCTGTAAACTGTAAGCTTTAATGAGCTGAGCTCTGGGTAGAATTAGAAATACAAATACCAGTTTTTATATCTCAGGTTACTTTTAAATATCAAAATACTGTATTTGTTGGTACAATATCATTAGATTAGTATATCTAACATCAGAAATCAAAACCATTTATGTTTTGAGAAATACTCAGAGAATTTATACACTATGTTAATATTTCACGTGGAGCAGAGGTGTGCCCAGTGCTTCTTCCTCGAGGACTAGGAGAGATATGGAGCAGTGGGAAGGAGGTTCCTAGGCCCCATTACTACCTTCCCATGCTGGGGCTTGATGCTGTCTGCTCCCATCAGGACCGCTCATTCTCTGTGGCCTTCCCTCCTCTCCTAGAGTAATTTATTTCAAACAGGCCCTTCTTCTCCAATCATCCTACTTGAGAAGAGTCAGGAAGTAGGAGAGAGAAACCCCTGTCTTGGACCTTAACCCTGTCTCAGATAGGGAACACCTGGGGACAATGTGTAGCAAATAATGAAAACTATGTGTATTGGCCTGCTCGAGCAAGGGTGGCTTAAACAACAGGAAATTTATTTTCTCACACTTCCAGAGGCTAGAAGTCCAAGATCAGGATGTCAGCAGGTTTTTCTTCTGAGACCTCTCTCCTTGACTTGTCTTCCCCTTCTGTCTTCACGTGGTCTTTTTCTATGCAAGTCTATGTCCTAATTATAAGGAAACCAGTCAGTTTGGACTAGGGCCCACCCCTAATGACCTCATTTTACCTTAATTACCTCTATAAAAGCTCTGTCTCCAAATATAGTCCCATTCAGAAGTCCTAGGGTTTGGATTTCAACATACACTTTTTAGCAGAGGGGATGGGGGAGGGAGGTTGGTGGGAGAGGTAGGAAGAGTTCAGTCCATAACACCATATATGTCTATCTTTTTAAAAATCAAATACAGGCATTTATATATTCTGCAAAATAAATGCCAAAATACCAGTACTGCAATTAATGTCACAGTTATTCTCATAACATAATGAGCTCAGTTGCTTAATTGCATGGTAGAAAGGTGGATTTTCTATTTTAATGGCCCCTGGAAGAGTCTCAGAGGCTACCAACTTTTAAAATTTTTTAAAATAAGAGGATCTTAATTTTTATTTTACTATGTAGTTACTGTTGCCCATCTGTTTCATCTTGCCCTTGACTGGATATTCTTAATACATAGAAATGTAAATGAAAAGCTAGTTTTCAAAGGGTAATTAAAGGACTTTGGTAAAAAGGAAGAGAGCAACCAGAAATATTTGATTTAGGATGACCTGGATGACTGAAAAGAGAAAATCCAAATAGTTTTTTCCCTCTTTGGGTAGTCGACCAAGAAGTAAGCTCAGCATCTGAATTAGCTCAAAGGGAAAACAGACCAGTAGAAATGGGGTGTGAACTCCATAGCTAAGCTCTGGTCTGATAAAGTGACTTCCCAGCCAGGAAGCTCACACTGTTACACAGTGAGCTAAGTGTTCCCAGTCCCTCCCATCTGCCCATAGATATGTACAGCAGCACCACGGTGGGGCTCTTTCTATTCTGCAACCAGCTGTGCCAGCCCATAGAGTGCCTCACTTCTCCATGGAGCATTAAGCACTCCCTAGCTTCTTCCTCCAAGTTTCTGCATTACATCTCTCCCTGGAGGCTGCCATGGGTTGGGGCTGGCACCTTTGCATTCCATCCATGTTTGCTTATTGATGGATCAATTGATTGATCAGACTTTACAGATTTCCTATCCCACCCCTTGGACAAGTCCTTTTAAGCTCTCTAAGTATCAGTTAATTCATTCTGCAAAATATGGGAAAATATGTAAAATATGGGAAGATGGTCTCTATGACTCTTTTTTGCCCTAACTTTATATAAATCTATGCTACAATTTCAGATTTTAAGGCATATTTTTTTAAATATCATGTATAGCTACAAAAGGAACTATAAATGCCATCGACTAACACATAGGGAAAGAAAAGTACCCTTTTCTTCCTAGGGTCTTAAGGCTTATTTTAGATGGGAAATTTGAGTTTACCTCAACCTTGAGTTTTCAACTCATTCCCCTGCTCTGTTTTGGGCCACTCTTGTTTATAGAGGTAACTCTGAGATCACCCTAAAACTATGTATAAGCTGAAATATTCATTATCAATGTCAGTGGCAGGTTCTCCTCCAGTGATCAGGCTATAAAACACAAATATAATTCTGAAAAGCAAAATTTTATAAACACAAAATGACTATCTGTATGATAGCATTATCAGCAAAGCTTTGCTCTTCCTCTTCTGACTAGAATTTCTAATTAATTGTTTTCTAATGCTCTTTTATACAGCCCTGTGGAATGTTTCCTTGAGACATTCACATATGCAAGGTGGCTTTGTGCTGTGTTCTCCTGCCACCCACTCATCACCCACACGCACCTGCCCTCCTGCTCCCCGCTGACTCAGCGGCCCAGCCTCCTCCCACACAGGCCCAGTGACCCGGCACCCACTCAACCACCTTCTTGTTTGTTCTCCCACAAACCCACCCACTCATCTTCTCTCCTTCACGCAGGTAGACGTTTTCACACTCCCACTGCTCAGCAGACAAAGCTCAAGAATGTGCTTTGGGCGGTAGTGGCGGGGTGAGGGAGAATAATTTTTTTCTAATGACCATTATGTTTTTTTCCTTGATCAACAAGTTTATCCACAAATGAGTAGTTGATAAACAGTCATTTTTATGCTTAGATTATTTTTTCAATACTTCCTCTACTCAATAATTGGATTTTCTATTTTTGAAAACTCTACCACAACGTATATGTATACACTTTGAGCATTGTAACTTGTTTCAGTGAAAACACACTCCCCATCTTTTGTCTAAATTGAAATATTTCACTCACATTTTGAAGTGAACGGGTGCACCAATGAGATAATGGCTTATTGGGATGGTTATTTGTAATGATGGTGTCTGAGCTATAGCTGGAATCAATAGGCTGCCTGACAAGATTAATTGGCTGTGAATTATGCCAGAGCAATTCCAGAGCCAATACCAGAAACAAGGGCCAGCCCACTCATCAAAGCCCTGCCAAGGCCTCCCTACTCTGTGGGGCTGGCCCCAGGGGAGGCGGGGAGGCCAACCTCTGCTACTTGTTTATGTTTTTAAGGCTACTAGAAAGGCTTCCCTGAATCACCCTAATGTTGCTATCCTAATGTTCCAGAATTAAAGTCACTCCTGAGTCCTCTGAGTATTTAGAGTATGAAGAATTAGAAAGATATTGCTGCAGTTTCTTCCCATTCATGGCAACTATTTTTATCCTTTCAAGGAGCTCAGATCATATGCCACATGGTGTGAACAGAATCTATTCTGCAATATTATGAATCCAATCTTGAAGAGGAAATATGTGTATAATAGTGGATTTTAAGAAGTGGACTACTGAATTTGTGTTTACTTATTTATTTATTTTTTGCTTTTTAAATATCATAACTAATGTGAACTCCAGGAACCATTTGTCCTTCTCTTTTATCTCTCCAAGGTGTAGCACAGTGCCTGACATGTAGTAGCACTCAATCCATGGCTGGAAACTTGCTTCAGATCCCTGGCATTTTATCTTGTCAGCACTAAGCTTTAGGGCCAATTTTATTCAATTTTATATGTACCAGTCTTTTACTCTTGATTTTGAATACAACTACTCTTTCCTTTAAATTTCCACAAAAATTTGCTATGCCCTCTTATGTATTTTATCACTTTCTCTCTTGAATCATATTTAATCTTAAAGCTCTTAATGGCTCATAGGACTTTTAAGGCAGATCTATATGATTTAACTTTGTATCCCCACCTAAAGCAAAGCTTCTCACGTAAAAATCTCCACATATAAAAAGGTGCAAGCTGGGTGCAAAAGCAAGAGACAAGTAAGGACCTCTTGGCTCATTCAACTGCCACATGGTGATAGAACTGCCACTAAGTTTCTAGTTGCTGGATTCTCGCTAAAGATGGCAGAATGAACACAGGCATATCTCTTATATCTCTTCTCTCAATAGAGAACAGGAGAGGGGTGATGAGTAGATGAGACATTTCATAAATATTTGTTGGAAAGAGAATGGAGGAAGGTTAACTGATGTAAAAGGAGAGAAAGCCATAGTCTAAAGTGTGTGCAGTGGGGTGTACTGAAGATAAATAAGACATTTCACCTTGAAGACCTGAAGGAAGCTCAAGACTTGGAGTCATCAGTCTTGGCAGAGAGTGGGGGTGAGGTACGGAGTGCAAAGTTTGAGATAAGTTCAAAGCTTATGTATGGAACAGTCAACTACTCTTGTGCCCCAGATACAGAATATCAGCAGCCAAGCTACTCCCTCCTGCTCCAGGAGGAAATACGAATTTTTTTTTTAATCAAGAGACACCCAGTAGGAATGGCCTGAGCATCAGAAAAACCAAGCCTGATAGAAGAAAGAAGGCAGGAGGACCTAAACAATCAAATGAATTGCAAGTCTGCACTGGGAATGGTTGGATTATCTGTGCTCTCTCCCCTCCTACACAATGAAAGCACTATTAATCAGGGAACTAACCCCTAGGCCAATGTTTCTAAATTGTGGGTTATGAACTCAGTTATGATTAGTGGAGTATAAAATCTGTTTAATGGGTCATAACCAACATTTTCTTGGGTTGGGTTCCTTGAGAAGCAGACTTTGAGGTGGAGTTGAGAGTTCAGAACATTTATTAGGGTTTGTCCTTGGGACCAATATCTGTGGAAGGATACAGAATTGGACAAAAAGAGAATGCGAGCTGTGATACAAGACCCAATGATTATTTCACCCAGCCCCACGAGGAGCACTGAAGCTAGACTGGCTTTTCAGAGTTGTCCCACACCAGGCCAAGATGTCCAGGACTTTATTCTCTGTCATAGGCTGAATTGCATCTCCCCAAAATTCATATGTTGAAGTCCCAACACAGAGAACCTCAGAATGTAGCCTTATTTGGAAATATGCTCTTTGAAAGGATGATTAAGTTAAAACAAAGCCATTAGGATAGGGCAGTAATCCAGGAGTATTTGTGTCCTTATAAGAAGAGAAAGACACACAGGGACACCCACATGTACAAAGAACAGTGAGACTTCCAGCCACCAGAACTGTGAGAAAATTAATTTCTGTTGTTTAAGCCACTAAATCTGTGGCATTTTGTTATGGCAGCCCTAGAAAACTAATATCTCCCCCCACCCCCCAACCCTTACTGGATATGGCCACAGGAAGTATGACCCTGGGCAAGGCAGCTCTGCACTGAAGCAATCCCTGAAAAGGCCAACAACTGAAGAGTCCCCACCAGCAGCCATCTCACAGTCTGGGGCAACTAGTCCCTTCATTGCAGTGTATCTAATGGATATATAATGGTCCATCACAAACATGAAAGAAAATAAAATTCAGTAGACTAGATAGAGAATGTCAGAGAGCATTCTATGAAGAGAAAGTAAATATTGTTTCACAAAACATTTTTGTCTTTATAAATATATGTGAGTGTGTTGACTGGGACTTGATGAAAAAGAATTTCTTACTGTCAGGTTTACTGGGCACAGTGGATCATGCCTGTAATCCCAGCACTTTGGGAGGCTGAGGTGGGAGGATCACTTGAGCCCAGGAGTTTGAGACCAGCCTGGGCAGCATGGCAAAATCCTGTCTGTACTAGAAGTACAAAAAATTAGCTGGGTGTGGTGGCTGAGGTGTGAGATCACCTGAACATGGGAGGTCGAGACTGCAGTGAGCTGTGATTGCAACACTGACTCCAGCCTGGGCTACAGGAGTAAGACTCTGTCTTAAAACGGGAAAGAAAAGAAAGAAAATAAAAAAGAAAGGAAGGGGAAGGGAAGGGAGGGGAGGGGAGGGAAAGGGAAGGGAAGAGAAGGGGAGGAAGAAGGAAGGAAGGAGAGAGGAAGGAGGGAAGAAAAGAAAGAAAGAAGGAAAGAAAGAAAAGAAAAAAAAAGAAAGGAAGGAAGGAAAGAAAGATTCAGAAGTCACTCACCTAGGAAATATAGGGGGTTTTTTCCCCAAAAAAGTTAAATATACAACAGATAACAGGTTTTCCATACCATACAAAAGTGAAACCCATCACTCTACAAACACCGTCTACCCACACAGAGCTCTTCGTCAGCTTTTGAGTGCTCTATTCTTAAATATAAGTCGGCAAAAAAATACCATGAGGCATGTAAATCATACCTCTAACCTAAAAGAGAGGAGGAAACATGAAAAACAGAAAATGGAATATAAAGGGAAACTATAGAAAATAGAAAAATACTGTTTAAATGCTAATTTATAGCCTGAAAAATTATGAGATTTGTATCTATAAAATAAAAGCAGAATGCGATGATAAAAGAACAATTAGATAAAAAAGGAAGGAGCTCTTGGAAACTAAAAATATAATTTTAAAAACTTCAGTAGTAGGAGTAGGAGATAAAGTTGAGGAAGTCTGCTGAAAATAGAACCAAAAGATGAGTAGATTAACAATAAGAAAGGAAAGGTATGAGACTTAGACTATCCATCTAGTAGGAACAATATCTGACTACAAGGAGCTCAAGAAAGAGAAGAAATGGAGGAAAAAGTATACAAGAAAAGTTCCCAGAACTGAAGGCTATGTCTAAAAATCGAAGGTACCAAGTACTCAACACAACAAATAAAAAACGGCCCACACCAAGGCACATCATTGAGATGTGTCAGACCATTGGGAATAATGAGAGAATCCCAAAAGCTTTCAGAAGAAGAAAAAAGAATTAGTCTTATGCTAAGAGTAGGTATCAGAATGCATCAGACTGCTTGCTCAACTACAATATTGGACTAGGGAAAGCAATGAACGATGCCTTAAGAATTATGAGGGATAATTTCATTTATTTATTTATTTATTGAGATGGAGTCTCGCTCTGTCACCAGGCTACAGTGCAGTGGCATGATCTCGACTCACTGCAACCTCTGCCTCTTGGGTTCAAGTTATTCTCCTGCCTCAGCCTCCCAAGTAGCTGGGACTACAGGCATGCACCATCATGCCCAGCTAATTTTTGTATTTTTAGTAGAGACAGGGTTTCACCATGTTGGCCAGGATGGTCTCGATCTCTTGACCTTGCGATTCGCCCGCCTTGGTCCCCCAAAGTGCTGGGATTACAGGTGTGAGCCACTGCATCCAGCCAGGATAATTTCTTTTAAACCTAGAATGCAATACCCAGCTAAACTATCAATGAAGTGTGAGAGCAGAATAAAGATAATTTCAAACAGAGGAATTCAGAAAACTTATGTCTCATGTATCCTTTTACAGGAAGCTACTGCAGGATATAATCTAAGAAAATAAGGGGAAGAAAACAAGAAAGAGGAAGACATTGGATCCAAGAAATGGGGGATCTATCACCTTACAGATGAAAAGAGAATCTACATGATCTTTGTGAAGGTGATTTGAGCATAGCAGCTCTGCAGGAAACCTGGAGAGCAACAAGTGAGATTAATACAGGACACACAGCTCTAGTAAGGATGTCACTAAGGAAATTAAAATCATTTGTTGTAGAATACTTTATGAATCAATGCAGTAAGAGGAGGTTTACACTTCTGGTGAAGAATAGGGAATGAATTTGTGATAGGCATGTAGAAAATTATGCAAACAAATAAAATAATAATCAACTCCTGGGAAAATAGGAATTTGTACCAAAAGTGTCAATATAATCTTATATATATATGCCTCAGTTTTGAATAATATTTGTCATTTTAATTATGTAAAAACTGAATAATTATCGGCCGGGCACAGTGGCTTACGCTTGTAATCCCAGCACTTTGGGAAGCTGAGGCAGGTGGATCACCTGAGGTTAGGAGTTCGAGACCAGCCTGACCAACATGGAGAAACCCCGTCTCTACTAAAAATACAAAATTAGCTGGGCGTGGTGGCGCATGCCTGTAATCCCAGCTACTCTGGAGGCTGGGGCAGGAGAATCGCTTGAACCCAGAAGGCGGAGGTTGCTGTGAGCCGAGATTGCGCCATTGCACTCCAACCTGAGCAACAAGAGCAAAACTCCATCTCAAAACAAAACAAAACAAAACAACAAAAAACTCAATAATTATCAGAGAAAAACACTGTAATATAACTATATTGAAAGAATAAGAAGAGAATGTAAGAGACTAAATCCGTATCTCCCACAGAAGGGAGTCATAGATAATAATATCTGGAACTGAAAAAAAAATCAAGAAACAGCAGTTTAAAATGTGGAGATAAACACCAAAAGAAACAGCTGAGGCCAGGTGTGGTGGCTCACACTGAAAGACTTGAGCAAGTTTGCTTTTGGGAATGGAAATGGAATTAGAACATGCAGGTTGTACAGGGAAAAGGGCTGCTCTTTGTCTTTTAGACTTTGAGGAGCTATTTGGCTTTTAAAGCTCTGTGCATTTATAACTTAGATGGAAAATATAAACAATTTTAGAAAGAAAAATGACAATATATGTATTTTTGAGATATGGAGGCAAACATTCTAAACGCTAAAAAGAGAAAAGCTTGAGAGTGGTTTCTTTTGGGGAGCAGGACAGGAGTTGATTTTCACTGTAATTATTACTAAGCCATTGATTTTATAGAGTTGTGAGGCCATTACCTTGAGACAAATTTTAAATAAAAAAAGGAAAGTCCAGGAAGGAATTCAGGCATGAGGACATTTAAGAACTTTGAATTTTAGCTTTGTTGCTTGTAGTTTCCCAATTTTAAAAATCTTTAACATCTTCCATACCAGGAGATAAGCAGTAAATGAGAGAACACATTTGGAAGCTCTTGGTAGACTGAAAATAACTAAGGGAGGTTCCCTTCTTTCCTCTTACAGATAAAACTTGGTTTTCAATAGTATAAACTCAATCTTTGAAAAACCCACCTCTTTTCCTAGACTCACAAGGGTGCTTCCATGACATCTTGGATATAAAAGGAATACTTAGTGTACATGTGAATAATTAAGTCATTTTTTAAAATGCCCTATGTGAAATAAGAAATTACCTCTGTGTAATTCAACTAGTCTTGCAATGAGACCCTTTCTCCAACAATAAAGTGCAATAAATAATTTACTCACATGACTTTTCTCAAGCTTTAATGATTTTTGAATGAGTCCCAGATTCCATTTTTATTTACAGCAGATTCCATTTTTATTTAACAGTAATTAGAAACAATCCACTCATTGTGGAATGCCATCAGAGCTGGGCTGTGGTGAATGGGTTAGGAGTAGGGAATTGAGAAATTGATCCCCACAGCTCTTGGGGTAGGCAGTCCTCCTGGATCAGTAGCCTCTGGACAAGAGCAACCAAATTGTTTTACCCAGTGTTGTACAATTATGATTGTCTTTGGTTGCCATATCACAAAAAAGGTTGGGAAGCACTGCCTTGAACAGTTGCCATAAAAATCCCTTATAAGGACTGATAGTCTGATAGTCATTTAGGTAAAGTCTTGTTCATTTGTTTACTTACAAAATGTATAAGAAAATTTGCATATCTTTAAATGAGTTTTTGATGTTTCCAAATCTGAGTGGAAACATGTAACATTAGGTTTATGAATGAGTTTGAATAAAGTTCAACTACAAGTAACTTAATAGAGACCCCAATATAATAGTTGAAACAATTTATATCATTATTCCTTCCTGTAAAAAGAACTCTGGAGAAAGCCAGCCCAAGGGTAGCATGGTGGCCTCGTTGTCTTCAGGGATCCTGGTTCCTTTCAGCTTTTGCTCTTACATGGCCAAGGTAATCTTCTTAGCAGGAAGCTAAGCCTCCTCCTCGGAGCTGGGAGCCAGAATGTCCACACCCCAAAGACAGGATGAAGCAGGAGGATGGAGCAACAGGATGGAGGAGGAGAAGAACAGTGCACCCTTTTCCAGGGGGGAATTCCCAGAAATCACCATTCTATTTCCATTTGGGTCTCCCTAGTCACATGTCCACACAAAGCTGTAAGCATGGATGCAAAATGTGTTCTTTTAGTGGGGTAGTGCTATGTCCAGCTTAAAATAGCAGTACTATTAGTTTGAGAGAGAAGAGGGAAAAGGGATATTCAGTAGGCACCCATGTCTTTACATGTTTTAGTAACTGCCATGTAATTCACTTCAAACAAAAACAATCTGTCCATTAGTCATTTTATATATACTGCTAGAAAGGTTAACATAAGCATTAAGGAAGACCAGTTAGCAAATTTATTGTTTGGAGTCCCGATTACATATTTTTGTTGGATTTATTAATGATTTAGGCACTGTGGATAGAGGGTAAAAACTCAGATTCTGAAGCTGATTGCCTGGCTTCCATCCATTAGCTGTGTGACCTTGGGAAAGTTGCTTGAATGCTCTGTGCCTTAGTTTTATTTTCTGTGAGATGGAGATAATAGTAATTGTACCCATCTAATAGAATTTTGGAGGATTACATAAGTTAATACAGTACATGTAAAGTACTTAAAATAGACTTAGCTACTAATACATCTTTCTCTTGAATTAAAACCTTTTCCTTGGCCAGGCACGGTGGCTCACGCCTGTAATCCCAGCACTTTGGGAGGCTGAGGCAGGTGGATCACCTGAGGTCAGGAGTTTGAGACAAGCCTGGCCAACATGGTGAAACACTGTCTCTACTAAAAATACAAAAATTAGCCAGGCGTGGTGGTGGGCGCCTGTCATCCCAGCTACTCTGGAGGCCGAGGCAGGAGAATCGCTCGAACTCAGGAGACGGAGGTTGCAGTGAGCCAAGATCCCGCCACTGCACTTCAGTCTGGGTGACAGAGTGAGACTCTGTCTCAAAAAATATAATAATAATAATAATAATAAACCTTTTCCTTTAGACTCATAAGTAGCTGTGACAATCAGATTCACTCTCTTACGAATTTCCAGGTATGCAGTATTTTCTTGGCTTTGCATTTGTAGATATGCTGATCCCTAGAGTCAAACCACAGGGTTTTACTTGAGCTAATAAATGTTGTATCCCATAGTAGCATTATGAAAGGGAAAGGAGTTGGCATTGGCAAAATTGAACAATAACTGGTTTGTCTCTTTTCCCTCCCCTTCTCCCACTTCTTCCTTTTAATAGACTGTACTAATGAGATCACCTCCCTGCCCTCCACACACACAGTCTGAGTTTCCTGTTGCCCCAGGGCTGCATAGATTCTTGGTCTCTCTACCCTCTCCACCTCTCCCCTCCCCATCCCCTGCACTACAGCATGCCTTGCCTGGAGCCCTTCTCAGTTATGCTCCCTAATCATTTCTAGCTGTTCAAAATGATGAAATTGCCCAAATTGGGGCCATTCAAAAAGCCATTTCTATGTGCTGCTTTATTATTTTCTGGGGTTTTTTTTAAAGTTTCCTCAAATGTTCCCACAAATAGAGAAGGTCTGTTTTCCTTCCAGAAAAGCAATATTTAAGATAAATTTTGATGATTAGTTGCATTTAAACTATAGCTAGTATATTTTCTCAGCTTTTTTAAATAATAAAAGTTAGAATAAAGAAATCTCAGGAAAAAAAGGAAAAAATGTATCTTTCCATTAACTTGTGACTTTCATCTTTGGACCTAAGGCAACTGCTTCAGTTATTGCTCTTTCCTTTCTAGGAGGTAGGGGTAAATAAGGCCTATAGAACATGTGCCTCAACAAGTTTTTTTCTGGGCAAAACTGGGAAGTTACACACATTCCTTCTGCTCATATTCTATTGACAAGAAATTAGTCATGTGGCAATAACTAGATTCAAGGGAGGCTGGAAAATGTAGTCCATAGCTGGGCATCCCTGGTAGGTAGGAACTCTATTACTAAGAGGAGGAAGGGAGAGCAAATATGGAGCATGTTAGCAGTTTTTGCCACACAAATGTATCACACAGTTGCAATATAGTAAGATAATTTTATTTTGCTTTTTACTTAACATTATATCAAGAGCTTTTTTCCCATGTTACTACATGGTCTTCAGAATTATAAAGTAGTGGCTTTGTAATGATGTGTTGAGTGTATAATCAATAATTATTTAATTCTTCCTGTTGTCAAAAGTATAGATTCTTTCCAGTTCTTCACTATTACAAACAACGTCACAATAGATCTTTTCATGAGTATATATATATATATATATATATATATATATATATATATATATGTATATATTTTATCTTTTGGGAATAATTCCCTTAGGATGAATTCCCAGAACTAGGATTACTAGGTCAAAGGGTGTGTAAACATTTTATGAATCTTAATGTTTTTGTTCCAAATTGGTTTCTGAGAAGACAGTTACCAATTTGTTCCCAAAAGAAAATGTGGACATTTTCTTATAAATGTGGGTGGAAGACACATTCACACATCCCTATAGGTAGGTTGTTTTCATTTTTCAGGATCTGGCTAGAAACAGCACAAGGCAGCACAGGACTTGAGTCTGAATCCCTTGCTCTGTCACTTCCTAGCTATATAGCTGCAGGCAAGTACTTACTCTCCCTATGCCTCTGATTTCTTATTTTAAAGTTGAGGAAACAAGTAATTCCCTCATAAAGTTGTGTGTTAATCATTAAGGCTGTTGACAAATACTCTGTTTTCCCATCTTCTATGCACGTTAAAAATGTAATCTCCTATCTCTTTGAAGACAGATATGACCTTGGGACTTGCTTTAGCCAGTGGAATGGAAGCAGAAGTAACCTGTAATTTCCAGGTATATGTTTTAAAAGTCTGTGTGTAATTTGCTACTCTTCTCCCTTTGCCGTATGCCTGGTTTGTCTCTTTTCCCTCCCCTTCTCCCACTTCTTCCTTTTAATAGACTGGAAATGTTCCAGATAGTACCAGCTCTTTAAACCTGAGTCCTAGAGTAAAGATGGCAGAGTGGAGCCTCAAGCCAACGTGTGACAGATATGTAAATAGACCAAGAAATAAATCTTTGGGTGTTTTGAAGCACCTGAGACTCTGAGGTTGTCTGTTATTGAAACGTAACCTAGCCTACCCTGACTGCTGCAGGTTTTCTCAAGATTAATGAGATAATATGCATAAGATGTTGGACTAATGGTAGAGCATTTTTATGGGTCCTTTTGCAATAATATTAGGTTGGTGCAAAAGTAATTGTGGTTTTTGCCATTAGTTTCAGAGTTATTATTAATACAATTTATTCATTCAATGCCTTCCATATGCCAGGCATTTGTGTACATTATCACTAATCTTCAGAATAAATTTGAAATATTATAAAAACCTCCATTTTATAAGGGAGAAAAAACAAAGCTTGGAATGGTTAGCATTCTGCCAAATGTCATCCAGCTAGGAAGCTGCAGAGCTGGCTTTCAAACCTCATGCGTTTCTCCCCTCTTTCTCTTTTTTCCTTGTCTTTGGAAGTTTATGTCATTGTTTTATTTTATTGCTATTTACATCATTGTGTGAATTCCTTTGCAACATTTGTTTATGAAATTCACACTTATTCTTGCAACAAAACCTCTATTTTCTTAAATTTATTGCAAGATGAACAGAAATAAATTGAGTCAAAGGTACAGTAGCTTACAATTCAATCCCTTGCTCCAGAAAGTTCATGAACTCAAGCACCTTTTTCATTTTTCTTGGCTTGAATATGCCTGAAAGCAGTTAAGATATATGTGCTTATGAATGGAAAAAAAAAAGTGTTTCACAATTGGAGTGGAGTGAGTCAGGTTAGAATGAGCTAGATTCCATAAATTCTCAAGCCCTAATATTTACAGATTCTTTCTTAATGGATTTATTGAGATATAATTCATATACCATATGTCACCCATTTAAAGTATGTAATTTAATGACTTTTAATATATTCACAGAGTTGTGTATCCATCATCACAATTGATTATAGAATATTTTCATCATCTCAAAAAAAAGCCTATATCCCTCAACCAACACTCCCAAACCTTCTCATCACCTGACCTGTCCCCCAACCCTAGGTAGCTAATTACTTTCTTTCCCTTTCTTTCTTCCTTTTCTTTCTTTCTTTTTTCTTTCTCTTTCTTTCTTTCCTTTCTTTCTCTTCCTTTCTTTTCTATTTCCTTCCTTCCCTCCCTTCCCTCCTTCCCTCCCTTCCCTCCCTTCCCTCCCTTCCCTCCCTTCCCCCCTTTCTTTCCTTCCTTCTTTTTCTTTTCTTTTCTTTGCTTTTCTTTGCTTTCACAGAGTCTCACGCTGTCGCCCAGGCTGGAGTACAGTGGTGCGATCTCAGCTCACTACGATCTCCACCTCCTGGGTTCAAGCGATTCTCCTGCCTCAGCCTCCCAAGTAGCTGGGATTACAGGTGCCCACCACCATGCCCGGCTACTTTTTTTGTATTTTTAGTAGAGATGGGGTTTCACTATGTTGGCCAGGCTGGTCTCGAACTCCTGACCTTATGATCTGCCCGCCTCGCCCTCCCAAAGTGCTGGGATTACAGGTGTGAGCCACCGTGCCCAGCCGACTCTGTTTCTTTTTACAGGAGCTCCCAGAATGCCAGTTTCCCACCATCCCCAACAAGTGGTTCTTCCTCCCTCCCACTGCAGTCCCACTCCTAACTCTGCAAAGCTTTGCTCAATTATTTTTAATTCAAAGCTCAAATTCTAAAGTATCTGATATAATAGACTATTTTTTTCTAATTTTTTTTTTTACTTTGCTAAACTTAGAAATTCCTTGTAGTATAATACTAAAGGTTAAAAAAAAAGTGTGTTCTTTTTAAAGCTCTCATCTGTTCATGATCTGATTAGCCAGTTTGTGGCATTTTAAAAAAATCTTTTCCTCTCTTTCATTTTCTCTTTTGAGCCATTTCACAGCTTGTTAGTACTTCTGATAATATAAAGTAGTCAAATAGATGAGATTAAATTAAATTTGCTCTCACATACAACTCTGGGTTTTAAAGGATATTGCTTGAAGGAAAGGTAGGAGGCCGAGGCAGGCAGATCACTTGAGGTCAGGAGTTCAAGACCAGCCCGGCCAACATGGCGAAGCCTCGTCTCTACTAAAAAATACAAAAATTAGTTGGGCATGGTGGTGCACGCCTGTAATCCCAGCTACTTGGGAGGCTGAGGCAGGAGAGTCCCTTGAACCAGGGAGGCGGAGGTTGCAGTGAGCTGAGATTCTGTCACTGCACTTCAGCCTGGGTGACAAAGCAAGACTCCATCTCAACAAAAAAAAGAAAGAAAGAAAAAGAAAAAAAAAGAAATGAATGGTTAAAAAGAACATTACAGATCATCTGTGAATTTTAGTGACCTATATTCATGAGTACTGTGAAATGTTTCTGGTTTACTTTTTTTTTTTTTTGAGGCAGGGTCTCCCTCTGTCACCCAGGCTGGAATGCACAATCGTGGTTTACTGCAGCCTCAACCTCCTGGGCTCAAGTGATCTTAATACTTCAGCCTCCTGAGTAGCTGGGACCACAGGTGCACACCACCACACCTGGCTTATTTTAAAATTTTTTTTCTAGAGACAGGGTCTCGCTATGCTGCCCAAGCTAGTCTTGAATTTCTGGTCTCAAGCAATCCTTCTGCCTTAGCCTCCCAAAGTGCTGGGATTACAAAAGTGAGCCAGCATGCCCTGCCTGCATTACTTTTTGTAATGTTTATTGCCGTGGAAAATCACTGACAACTTGAATCAGGTTGTATTTGTTACTATGAGACTCTTAAATTATCTGAACCGTATGGTTGGAAACAATGATTTCTAGAACTAGCATCAGCTTTCAAGGTTTGTTGATGGAAGAGAGTACTTAAGCTAATAAATGTAACTTGTTAAATGAAACGGGAAACATCAAAATGCAGCTAAGCATTAAGAAAATGAAAGAGAAAAGTTTCCCTAGGAGAGAAGAAATTAATGAAATGTGTATCTTAATGTATCCCTGAAGATGGTATTTCTGCAACATACTGAATTGAGGGTGAATTTACTAGTTTATGGAGCGGGGTGGGGCGGGGGGGGATCTGGTTCTTTTCTCCACTTGTGCTGTGCTGACTTGTTTCGTATGTGTTTTGGATACATGTGGTGATAGCAACCTGTTAGTCTCTGGTAAAACCCAGTCCAAAGATATGTGAAGCCTGGACACGTGAGGCTGAATAAGGATGTCCTAGAGCCATGAAATACATTAACATTGTTGGGCAGTTATGGCAACGGAAAAACAGTGTTAATATAGGGAGTAAGTAGGCACTTTATAGGCAAAGAGGACATGCCTTTTCTGTATGCAACGAGCTTTGCAAATTCTAACTCCACCCTAATTATAACTGCCTTGTTCTCATGAAGTTCACTGTCAGCAACTGTTTATTCACCAGGTACAATATTATGCATAATACACTGGGCTGAGAACTGTGAGGGATACAATTTGGAAAGACAGGGCCCCTGGTCTTAAGATGCCATTGAAAAGCACAGACTGTGTTCGGGAATCAGTAAGTCCAGTGTGTAGATGACAGCGTTAGTGGGGAAAAATGGAATACAGAGTTGAAAGGTGTATTGGAGCCAGATTGTTAGGTTTTTGAATGCAAAATTTATATGTTAGGATGCTATTATTTGGAAAGTGGGGACTTACTCAATTTTTTTTAACATTAAAAGAAAATAATCAAATCTGTTTCTGGCTATTCACATTTTTTTGGTCCCATTGGTATCTTTTTTTAGATGGTACATTTTCAGTGAACAAAAACAGTATCTATTTCGCTTAATGTCCAGTGCAATGTCATAGATTATGTGTAATATTTAGGTTCACGTAAATAATGGCTGTTCTTAAAAATTCACATGTTCTTATTATGGAATGATTAAAGGACCCTCATTTTTCTTAATATTTATTTAGCTAAACTATCATCCTCCTCACCAAGGAATAACAAGAAAGCTGGGCAACTGTGGCAAATTATTTGCCCAAGAGGATCACTTTTAAACCCTAGTGAAGCTGGGAGCAGTGGCTCACACCTGTAATCCCAGCACTTTGGGAGGCTGAGGCGGGCAGATCACCTGAGGTCAGGAGTTCAAGACCGGCCTGGCCAACATAGTGAAACCCCACCTCTACTAAAAATACAAAAAGCCGGGTGTGATGGCGCATGCCTTTAGTCCCAGCTACTCAGGAGGCTGAGGCAGGAGAATCGCTTGAGCCTGGGAAGTGGAGGTTGCAGTGACCCGAGATTGCACCACTGCACTCCAGCCTGGGTGACAGAGTGAGACTCCATCTTAAAAACAAAAACAAAAACAAAAACAAAAAACTTAGTGAAGCTATCAGGTATTGGAGAGCATGGAAATGCTATAAACCAATACATTCTATATTTTATTGATACAGCATTTTTTCAATGTTTTGTCTACAGACAGATCCCAGGGGATTAACATATATTTAAATTACCTAACTTTCCAGTTGGACATAAACAATCTTATCCTTCTCTTTCATTGTCCTTTATATCTTCTGTGGGGTCTCCTGGGCTTGTGTAACTTGTCATAATGGACAGGATGTGAGGGATGCTACCACAGACAGACACCATATTGTAAATCTGAAGAATGGACAGAGGAAAACTTGCAACAGAATTAGAGGAAAGAAGAAATGATGGTGACTATTGCAAAGCCTGGAATGGTTCCCTTGGGAATTTAAGGAGGGAAAACAAGAGTTTCTGTAGTTTCCAGAAATAGAACTGCCTGCCAGCTTCCTTCCATCCTCCCTCTTAGCCTAGCTGCAGGAGAAGAACAGGCAGGCACATGCAGGCTGATGACTTTCCTGCTTGTGACAGCTCCAGATTACAAATGTGCAGAACAAGATTACAGTGCCAGCATTCCCAGGCCCAGGGAGCAAAGGCAGGTGGGCCGGGATGAGGTGAAGGAATATTAAAATAAAATAAAATAAGTACGGGTGATAATGAAAAGAAGAGGAAGTGTGGGGTAGTATATATGGTGTTAAGATGCTAGGAGAAGACTGAGGGCATGAGACAGAAAGCCCTGTACTGCCTGGGCGTGTATCTGAGAGATATGTGGGTGTGTTTGCAGAGGAAGTTGTGGGGGCATGTGTGTGTGCAGAATGTGTGTTAGGGAGGGGTTTTATTGGTATAGGAGTGGGAGGGTGTGTACAGCAGGGTGTGGAGTGCAGGGGTGGAGGGAAAAAAAAAGCGGAGGGAGGGAGGACTTTTATGGAGTGCCAGGAACACCCATTTCACAAAGGAAAATTGCCAGCTGCCAGCAAGTCAAATCTCCTTTGTGGGAACGGATCAGCTCCCCACAGTGGATTCTGGCCTCTGATCTGACCCCAGGATGTTTGCCAGATATTTGACCCCTGAAGGGAGGGACACAGTTTCTGGATTTTTACCACACCCTGATGCGTGCTCTTTCCCAGGGACTGATGTGTTTGCTTATATATTATCATAGTGTTGGTCACAGGGCAGCATTGTTTGGCAGACAGTCTAGTGAATAGAACTGTAAGTTAGAAATAAATACTTTCCAGTCTTGGTTTGTGTGTGTGTGTCCTTTTTGATGGCCTTTGAAACCCTACGATAGTACTTCTGTGCCTTGGTTCCCAATTTTTCTAGTAACAAGAAAGAAAACATCAGCTAGATAAGGAAATATAGTGTAGAATTAATAACTGCAATGAATACATAATTTTAAAGACACATGGGTGACAGATTTTAATCTAGTATGAGAAATAACTTCTACTAATTAGAATTGTTCAAAACTAGGAGAGGTTAGCATAAAATGTGATATGTGTCATATTATTCTACATATTCAAGTGGAGCGAAGATGACCAGTTGTAGGGTGTTTAGGGGGAATTCCAGCAGCAAATAACAGTATACTTAAGATGCCCGAAGAATTATGCAAAAACTCTGAGATGTTATGATTCTAGGACTATAGTGTGCTTAAGTAATACAGAATTATCTTGAATATTTAAGTGTTATAAATATGAAATAATCAATACACAAAATGACCAAGGAACAAAATGTCCACTGCATGATTAGCACCTTTATTGGGCAACCAAGATGTATGGCATATAAATGCAGAAATAACTTGGGGCCCAAGTCTTCCACAGTAACCCCAAAACAAACTAAATATAGAGAAAGAAGGCTATGTTGTGTAGCAGGGAAAAGTATTCAATAAAAACAGGCTGAAACTCTTATCAGTCGTTCCTGAATAGCCTCTATCTATTTCTATGAGAGATCCAGTCCAACTTAGTGGAGTACTGAAAGAATGCTAGAAGTGTTTTCTTCAGTGATTAAAAACTTTCAGATGTTTGTTGACCACCCAGTTCAGACATATCCCAGGTCTCCGTTTGAGAGATGGTAGAGGAGTCCTCAGAACTTCCTTAGCTTTCCAAAGGCTGTTAAGACTTCTCAACAGTCTTGTTGAGTCTTAGTGTTCTCATTCAGTCTAATGTACTTTGAATCACGTGGGGATCTATTAAAAAGTGATTCTGATTCAGTAGGCCTGGGGCGAGGCCTAAGATTCTGCACTTCTAAGAGAGGCTGATGATGCGTGTCCACAGGCCACTCACAGAAGCAAGGCTGTAGGTGAAAGCAGATAGGAAACTCTAGGTACCCTGGGCAAGGGCAGACAATGCATCAAGGGAATGAGATCAATACTACCCCATCCACAGAATCACAAAATTAAGAGTATAAAAGGAGAGAAGCCTTGTGATGCCATCTAAAAACCATCATTTGGCTCTTTAGTGGCGAATATAAGAGTTCTGTGTGGGCTGGACTGGAGTCTCCTTAGGGTGGTGATAATATGGTCTGTTAGGGTAAATGTCAGGGACTTCTTGGAAATTCCAGGTTCTGCTGTCAAGTAGATAAAGTTTGTTTTGGTCCCGTCTTCCCTGCTGATCTCACACTTCTTAAAACATGACTTTTCCTAAGAGGAAACTGTAATCTTTTCTTTAGGACAGACCTCAACAAATTGCCTTAATTTCCTCTACAGAATCAGATGGGAAGGAATTTAAGGTGTGGCCTTTCCCATGGAAGTCTTTAAGACTCCAAATTTTCAAGACACTACAGGATAAAGCTCTATCAGCAAAATGCCAAACTGTGACAGGTAGAAAAATATTGTGATGGGCGGGTTTGCTTAAATAGCTTTCTGATTCCTCCACAGACTGACATTACCCAGGATAACAGGAGTGGGGAGAAGTGTCAGTGTTGGGAAGGATTGTAAGAAGGGTCTCCATCTCATTCTAACTGATTAGAATTGAGAAGGTTGCAGGATTAAAATATTGGTGCAAAGGAAAGACATTTGAGGACATGGAGTAGCTAAGGTTGTTAACCATTCTCCAAACGCTTATTTATTTTACTTCAATGAATCAGAAATAATTGGATTCCACCCTGTTTCTCTTCTCAGAACAGATAGTAACTAATGTTGTACCATATATTTTAAACTATACTAAGAATATAAGAATTACTTGCTTCAACCATCCACAACTTAGCTCACCAGCAGTGTTGTCCATCTGGAACATAACTAAAAACCAGGAATTATGCAAAAAGTTCCCTGAGTAGGCAAAATAGATGTCATTTTAAATTCATGCACTAAAGCTCATAAGAGCTCAAGGTTTTAGTATTTATATAATCAACATTTCCCACTTAATGGCAGTAATCCATTACTGAAAATCAGATGTTCTACATTTTAAAAGCTGACCAGAAACTATTTCCCATTATTTGGAATGGAAAAAAATATAATGTGTTACACATCAGCTTTAAACCAACAAATTTCTTAAAAAGTAACTAAAACACAGAAAAGTGTGTATATGTAAGTAACGAACTACCATATTATTATGTAAAATGATCAAACCATGTTTGCTGATCATCTAAGGATTGATACAGTTAATAGCTACTTTATATGCTGTGATGTCTCTGTTAGTACCAGTGACAGAAAAACTTACCTTAGTTTATAATGTACACTTTTTAAAGTGCGTGCACATGATTCTGACATTCTACAAATTATATTTCTTTTCTTATGTATTGCTTTGTTAAAAATGTTCTATTGAGTTATAAATATGCAAATATACATTTTTTCCTATAAAAACATAGCCAAAAAATGATATGTTGAGAGATATATATGTTCTATGAAGTTGGGTATTAAAAACCAATAAATATTCTATGGGAAAAATGTTAACTGGGGAGATATTTGCAGTACATGTCTAGTGCCGTGCTGGAGCCCATTTATATTGGTTCCCAAGAGATGACTGTTAAAGTTTTAGGAATTTTGCAATTCCTAAAAAGTCATATTGGTAACTTGAAATTGGCCATGATGGGAGTATTTACACCACAAAAATAGGCAAATGCTATAAATCGGGGATTCCCTCCAACTCCCTGAAAGCTGGTAGTGCGGCATTTACCAGCATTCCACTGAGTGTTCCTATACTTTATCAAATGTAAGAGGTCATAGGTTGCTGGATGGACTGTATCATAGTAAGGATATGCTAGAGGTGTGTTATAATAAAAAATAACCTCCAAACACCAGTGGCTTACACAACAAAAGTTTATTTTATGCTGCAATGAGAGTCAATTGAGGCCTCTGTTCTACTTAGTCACTCGGGAACCATAAGCTGATAGAGGCTCCATTATCTCTATAAGAGGCTTCAGGGTTTACTGTGGTGTGAGCAAAGACATCTGGAATCAAGAGCTAGTTTTTCTATGCTTTGACCCACAAATAACATAATTCATTTTCCACCTGTATCCCTCTGGCCAGAACTCATCACATAGCTCAGCCTACCTATAAGAGCGCCGGGACACATGAGGGAACAGATGGAATATTGGGAGACCACTGATACTCCTTTTACATATACACCATTATTTTATATGCCTCTAAGGAATAAAAACCCACTATCAATTAAACTATGATGTAAGGCTTTCTTAGAATTAGATATTTGGACATAGACCTTAAAAAAATCATTTATCTCTTTTTTGCATACCAAAGAAGGTAAATTAATCAAAATAAATTAGTTGAAGTGTTCTTTAAAACTTCTGCACATTTGAAGAAGGTTGGCTTCTGATTCAGAGTTGCTGGTATGTGCTTTTCTACAGAGCATCAGACTCTGTACGAGCAAGAGCAGGGGTGAGGAAGCATTTCTTAAAAGAGTGCTCTGTGATAGTCTTTAAGACTTTTGTCTAAACCATGGTCACACAGTATGCAAGTTTTAATTCTGGAGCTTTATCGATCATATGAAGATGTTCGTGGAGGTTTTCTAACAATAACAGATCCTCACTTTTTCCTCAATTGGCCTCAGAAGTTCCATTGTTTACAGATTTGCAGCTGTCTGGTCAGGCCCTGACACTAACAGCCAAGTCACTACGTTTTCAGCAAGCTTGTTATTTAATGGACCAAGTTCTCATATAACTAAGAGGCAACTATCTCATGAATGCTGCTTGGCTAGATGTGATTGTGAGAAGTCATAGATTATAAGACCTATCCTGAAGTCAGAGATGTTGAAATGTAAAAATAGAGTGTGTTTTGGAATCTATTAAATGTCATACTTACCTAAGAGGAGCTTGAACTGAAATGCAGCCTTAACGATTTTTAAAAACTTGATGGGCAGAAGGAGAGAGGGCAACCTCTGTGATTTGAAAGTCATAGGTCTTTTTTTTTTTTTTTTAATCCCTAGAGATGACAGCTGGCAATCACTTTTAGGGAAGATTGTTCTTTCATTTTGAGAAAACAATCAGAATGAGTCATTTAGGTATTCAAACATAAATGAAGGCCTTGTTCTGAATTGGTGATTTTCAGCCAGGGTGACTCTGAGTGGCTAACATCTGTATTTTAACTCAACAGATTTTAAACGCCTGTTTTGTAATCTACAGGAATGTATCTCTGCATGTTGCGTCTTCCTTAGATAAATACTGATTGTCTTCAAAGTGTAAATTTGGATTATACTGGGACTTAAAGTATCACATATTCATTTGGAGATTTGTGTATATTCTTACTTAGAAGCAAAATCTGGCGATTTCATGTAGGATGTGCAGGCAAGATTTGCATCTCCTGCTATCAGACAGACCACACAGAAGAGCAGAACTGGACTTGGTAGAGCTCAACCAGGCCTGGACTGTCAATGTCTGAGAGCCACATCAGGTTGAATCATCTACAGTGTATTGATGTTGGACTGTTGTGTTTTCACGCATTGTCCTAATGGGTGCCATGGGACATGTTCATGGTTTTACTGGTCTTGTAATTTTAGGAAAAGTACTAAGATGCTGGTGCCAATAAATGATAAGTGAAGAAGTAGGCCATTCCCTCTTTGGCGCCTGGCCATGGATCTGTGCTTGGAGTTATGGATATCTTTGGCCTGCTTCCAAGTTTGGGTTGATAGGGATGGGAACTAAACAGGCATATCCCTATTGAGGACTGAGAGTGGGTTCCAGCCTCTCTGGGTTCAGGAGTAAGCTAGCAGTAGTAGTACAAAAATGTGCTTCCCCTCTGTTATTCCCCAGCCTTCAGTTAAACTTGTTAAAAGTGCAACTTTGTCTCTGGGGGCTAGAATGAAGTAAGCGAAGGTCTGTTTCACACTGAGATGACATGACAAAGTGGAAAGTAGAATGCTTTCCTCTGAGGTCAAAGAGGTAGGGTGGCAAATTAAGAGTGAAAGGTTTTTTTCTGCAATCACATTCACAATAGGGAATATGGAAGCCTGAAGAACATGGAAGACCAAAAATTTTCTTTGAAGCAAGCATAAACACTGAAAGAAATCAAAGGAAAAATCCACCATAGCTCCCTGGAACCAGGTCATGGTCAAATAGTGCCGCAAATCTCAGCTGATGTCCTGGGTCCTAAGAAATCACTTTCTCCTAAGAAATCATACTCAGTACAATTATGGGTGTTCATCATGATAGCTCCAAGTCCTCAAGAAAATGTTAAGTTTGTCAAACTTGTGTAAGAGCACATAAAAATTCATGCCACTGCTGAGAAAGACTTTTACACAATTTGTTAATATAAAGAAAATATGGCCAGGCATGGTGGCTCATGCTTATAATCCCAGCACTTTGGGAGGCCCAGGCAGGAGGATTACTTGAGGCCAGGAATTTAAGACCAGACTGGGAAACATAGCAAGGCCCTATCTTTGCAAAAAAAATTTTAAAAATTAGCTAAGTGTGGTGGCACACACCTGTGGTCTCAGCTACTTGGGAGGCTGAGGTGGGAGAATAGCTTGAGCCCAGTAGTTCAAGGTTACAGTGAGCTATGATTACACCACTGCTCTCCAGCCTAAGTGACAGAGTAAGACTCAATCCAACAAACAAACAAAAAACAACAATGAAAGAAAGAAAGAAAGAAAGAAAGAAAGAAAGAAAGAAAGAAAGAAAGAAAGAAAGAAAGAAAGAGACATAATGTACTAGCTTAACTTCCAGTCAGTTGGAAAGCTTGGTTACTGTAGATGTTGATATCCCTGAGAAACCTGGATAACCAGAGATTTGCTGTGTTCAGTCCATGGCACAGGCACTGCAGGACATTTTAAAGACAAACATGGTATTTTCCCTGAAAGCATTTGGAAACGTTCCCTGTGTGTTTCTAACAATGCTCTAGCAGCTCATATGAATCTAACAAGGATGAATTTATCTAAATCTTTCTTTATCCTATTTATATTTGTGGACTATGCAACATCTTGAGGATAATGAGTTCCATATGTTTACTACCCACTGTATAAAGTAATGCCATCTTTTATTTATCTTTAAACTACTTACATAGAATTTCAATGGGTGCCCCTGAATTTTAGCATTCCAGGATTTGAATATGTTCTCACTTTAGGGCTGCCTCTAGCCCATACAGGCCTCTATGCAGATAAGAAACAGCACCCACTCTGGGTGCTTAATTTAGAATGGGTGCTCCCTCTTTCGGACAGATACAGCCTTATGCCAGATGCATGGCTCAGTGAGAGGAGCATGGGCTAGATTTCAACCCCAGTCTAGTCCCCCACCCCCATGTCATGCCCTTGGCTAGGTGCCCTTGCAAAGTACAACTGGTACAGCCATATACAGCAGCCAGGCCTCACCATAGAGGTCCTACAAAGAGTATAGAGTTTTGGTCATATCCTCTCTCAGGTATCATCTCCCTAAAGGATCATAGTCTTTCTGTTGATTCCTAATTTCGATCCTATTGATCCTTCTCTGCCTTCCTCGAGATATGGGGCTCAGGCTGAGGAGCAGTCCAGGCACTCTGCATTCTCCTTGGGACCCTCTGGATCCAGCGACAGTCATCAGGCTGTTGGGCTCTAGGGCAGTTACAAAACAGGGGCCAGAGGAACCAGTCAATAATGGATTCCATTTGTAGAGCTTCAAACAAATAACCCAGAGAGGATCATCTTATAATCATAGCTTAGGTTAATGTCCCCTAGACACACCGTTTGCTTATTGCCCACACAGAGAGTTGTTGGAAACTTTTCTATCCCTTGTCTAAGCTTGGTGAGGTTTTTCTTCATTTTCTCTCCATCAGTTCAGAACTGTACCAACTGCCACCTATCAGAATTCGTTCTGTATTCCCCTTTCAAAAACATATTCAATGCCTAAATCATACAATAACTAGCAATAATATAAGGACAATACAACTTTTAAAAAATACTGAAGATCATGATTTTTTTAATAAAGTCTAACCCTATTCTTTTTAGATTCACTCACCCAGCACAGTGTCTGACATGTGATTGATACTCAATGATGAATGAATGGCTAAGTACCCCCGAAGTCAGTTTCGTTTTGGTTTTGTTTTTTGTTTATATATAAACAGTCTGTTGTAAACATTTGCAAGACCTGCATTCTCCTTGTTCTCTCAGTGATCACTGGAACTTGAGTGATACATGGATCATGTATTAGATCCTTTTAGCATGTTGAGTATAGCACTTAGTCATCTAGTGAAATTTAATGTGATTGTCTAACATTCTTTCATCTCAGATCTTTGTCCCCATATTTAAAATACATCAAGTATTTCTAAAACAAAACTTTCAGTTTTGGTTATATCAGTAGATAAAATGTTTACATATTTTTCTTCCTTCTACTATAGTAGAGATTTTCGGGGAGAGAAACATTCAATACCAACCCCAACTAAGAGGTTTTTATCCTAAGCACCATCTCTTCAATGAAGAATTCTGTTACTTCAAATTGTTTAGTTAAAAATGTTTTAAAATTTTATTAGAAAAAATTTTAAACACATAAAAATAGAGTTAAAAATAGTAAAAGGAACTAACAGATACCTATCATCCTGATTCAACAATTATCAATAGCGCTTGAATTTAATCTATTTAAAAAATATATGCCTTGACTTCTATTGTCCCTCCTGAGGTAGAAATTTTCGGGTTCTTTCTCCTCTTGTGAGAATTTTCATTTTCATCTCTTGTGGAAGGTTGAAAATTTATTTATGTAATCACATAAGTTCCCACCACTTCCATGTACATCGTACACACAATGATATGAGATGCTAATTCAATTCCCAGTCACCGGCTGTTCAAGTGCCACTCCCACATTGCTGCTAGATAATTCTCTGTCCTGATCGAGACACTTTTCTGTGGATCTCTCACATTTTTGCACACCCTGTGAGCAAAGCACCAACTTGCTCTTTCTTCCTGTAAAAGGATGTTTGTATAGTGAAGAGCCTTGAAAGCTGGAGCTAGTGTCTCTCTCTGGAGCAAAGGGCAGGCGTACTTACTGACCATTATAAAAGATTCAGTTTCCCTAAGCTCAGGTTCTCCTCCTGTAACCCAAGCTGCTGCAAGGGATGATGTCACCTGACCCTCTGTGCCACCTGTTGGAATTGGGACTTGAGGAACAAAGGCAAAAACACGGATACTCTGGCTATTGCTATTGATGTGAGTAATAAGCCATTCTTCATCGCTGATCTTGGAATCTTGGGTTTTCCATGAAACTATGGCAGGCTAATTTCTTGGTCTGCAAGTAGGGCAAAGGTCAGACTCTTCACAGTTCTTCACAGTTTGGTAATGATGGTGAGATGCTGACAAAGACATGGCTTTCTGGAAGAGGAAAGATGAGTAGTCCACAAGCCTATTAATAGGATTTGGGGACGTTCATAGGACTTAGTAGTGAATTGACCAAATTGTATGGCCAGCTGGGGAATAAATTGTCCTCTACTTTACTGCTATTGCTAGTGAGAAGGAATTGAGAAGGTAATTGTAGGAACTGCAGGTTGAGTATCAGGAAGTAGGCTCCGAAATAGTTGTTCAAATAGTGCGCTGCTTGTTGCTAACTTTGCTCTGGGTGAGGGAACTTCCTCACCAGCCGAGGGGTCAACCTCAAATTTCTCCCACTGTAACAGCCAGCACTAAGATTCCTCTCTTTCAGACAAGTTAGAGACACACATCTACACTGAGCATGAAAGGAGGAAAATCTACCTACCAGTGTGGGCAAAACCCAGACAAATCATTGGAACTTTGGCTGGTTAGCTTAGCAGATGAGGCTTTGGGTAAGTAAAGCTTATTAAGAAAAAATGGCAAAAGTTGGGCTTTTTTATAGCTCAAAACCTCCTGTAATCTCTAACGCAGATCTTAAATCCAGTTGGAGATGGCAGTAGAAAGTCTCAGACATTTTTGCAGTGGGACCTGGTGGCTAAAAGGGAACTTTGGCCTATTTTGGAAGATTTTCCTGAAAAAGAAAAACTCCTGTGGGGAACCAGAGATGAGGCATTGACTAGGATCCAGGCTTTCAATGGCCTAGATTATAAAATGTTGGTGGATGATAATGAGAAAATAATCTCTCAATCTTTCTGTCTCTTTCTCTTTCTTCCCCTGACCTAAGCTAGGTTAAGGAAAAATGATTAGAGATGGGGCCAAGGTCTTCCTGTCCTCAAGGGGAATGAAAGACCATACACATTCATCCCAGTATGGCGGGGAATCTTGGAGAGAGAATCAAACTTTTATGACTCTGTTGAATACAGAACCTACCTAGACCTGTGGGAGGAAAAGGCATGCAAATTCAGTTAGTGGGGTTAGGCAGGGTTCATAGTGGGGAAAGAAAGCTAGCCTGACCTTGTGGATGGGGTCCTTTGGGCCAATTCAATGTGCTGTTACTGCTGCTTCCACATCACAATGTAAGTAGGAATTGATGCTTGTACTTGCCTGTCCCATAACTGCCAGAAAAGAGATTATCCTAATTGAGAAGAGCTGTCCAAAGCCCTCATTATATAGATGACAGCTTGTTGATTGGCAAGTCAGAAGCCTCAGTTTAGTCACCCTTATCAGAGGTGGCTGATAAACTCTGACAAAATTCACGGGCCTGTTGACCAAGAAAAGTTTCTCAGTACTATGTGGTTGGATACATATCACTCAATTTCTTTCGTAGTCAAGGAAAAACTGCTCTCTTTTGATCCCTACTACCAAGTATTAGAGACAGTATGTACCTCACTAGAGAATTCTATTTGAATATCTTTATATGGGCTAACTTTCAAATCAGCATCTTCTGAGTGGGACCCAAATGAATAAGCTGCATTGGAAGCTATCCTGCAAGTTATAACACACTCTGTACTTTGGGGCCCCATCACCCTAATGACCCTTCTGGACTACAAGTCTCTCTGACTGATGATTTTGTTGACTGGAGCCTCTAGCAAAAGGAGGTCATTTCTACCCAGAGATTCCCCCTTGAGGTTTTAGACTCATCACCTCCCTGATGCAGCTACCAGGAATGCCCCTTTTGAAAAAGTGGCTATTAGCTTGCTATGTGCTCTTGTCAACACTGAGTGCCTGACCCTTGGAAGCCTTGTGCCTTTCTGACGTGATATTCCTATTTTGGGGTGAGTCTTTTGGATTCAATGACTGACAAGTGGGGAAGGACCCAATAAGCTTCACTAGTCAAATGTGATGAAAATGTCACATTTAAGAACACAACCAGCATGACTTCAGTAGCATCTAGGCTTTACCAGTAAGATTGGTACCTATTGCTTTGGGGGAATACTCTATCCACACTGCCAACTGAAGCAATGTCACTGGTTCTACAAGGTCTTCAATTCACAGCAGTTTCCCTAGAATCCTGGGCCTGGTTGGTTCAATTAAGCCAAAACCTGGTGGTATTCACTGGGCTGCTGTGGCTGTTCAACCTCAGTGTCAGCAACACAAAACCAAAAATGAAGGAGGTTGCTCCACTCCATGGACAGAACTCAAGCTGTTCTCATGGCTCTGGCCAATGCTATCCTTGAAGAACCCTGTTATATTTTTTACTGATTCGAGCCATTGCCAATGGCCTACCTGTTTGGTCTGCCACTTAGAAACTAAAGACTGGCCAATTCAAATACCCCTATTTAGGGCTGCAAACTGTGGAGATAAATTGTGGCTGCTGAAGGAATTGTCTGGATGAAGCCTATGACAAGAATCCAGTCTCTGATAGAGTACCAGGACTCAGGTTGCTGATTAAGCCTGTTCTGCCCAGATTGCCATCATTGCTGCCTGGGTCCATCACCATAATGGACAAGGAAACACATCCATGGTCACAGACTGGGCACAAAGTAAAGGTCTCTATGCTCCTGATGCAGATGCTATGACTGCATGCCAGACTTGGAACTTCTGCCAAAAGTTGCAACAAAGGGAGGACACATCACATTGGGCATTGACCCACCTGCAATGGCAGATTGACATTTGACTTTTGATTCCCTCTCACGACAGTCCATGGGACCTCACTGCTGTGGACTCTTTTCCAGATTATGGTGTTTTTGTTCCAGTTGATCATCCAATTCTGGCCACACCATTATGGCATTTGAAACTAATCCATGCCATGTTTTGGGCTGTCTAAATGATCTGAAGTCTGACACTAGTGTGCCTTTTATCACAAAAGTCATTCAACAGTGTGCTGATGTTGAAGTTATTTGATGAACCTTCCATGCTCGTCAACTGAGCCATCTGTGGGCATCTGGTATTGTGGAACATTGGAATGGTCTCCTCATTAACATCTCCTATTCTTCTTCCCTCACCTTCTCCTGATCAACACACCTTAGTAAGACAATTGATCATTCAATGCCAGTCTTACTGGGAAGGGATCATTTACTCTCAGTTGCTTCCTGAGTAATGATTAGGAGCAAAGAGGTGAGAGTTATATAGACTTATTTTAAAAATTCAGGACTCTGCCCAAATATTCCTGGGCATGATGTTTTTATTTTTCTCCTAATGGCAACTCCAAGCCAGTCTGGTTGGTTCATCTGCTAACTGTTGTGAGTAATAAAGCCTTTTGTCTTAACCAGATTCTTATTCTTATTTCCTTATTTCTTCTACCAGAATTCATAAAACTATGGCAGGCTAACTTGTTAGCTTGCAAGTAGGGTAAAATATCAGATCTTCATAGTTCTTGGCTATATTCCCACAATGAAGAACAGCCTGGATTATAAAACATGTACAGCACACAGCTGTACAGAATGAGGCTTGCTTTTTACCTTTCTGCCTAGTGTGCCCAAACTGACAGTGATAACTTTGTGACATATGCTCTTATGGACTCAGCAAGATCATACTAAGAACATTTTGACAAAAAAAGGAAATAAGTAGGATTCAGGCACTATTTGTTCCCCCCTTGTATTGCCATGCAGGGGGAGAAATTTTGTG
The DNA here is from genome assembly GCF_000001405.40 of Homo sapiens. NCBI lineage: Eukaryota > Metazoa > Chordata > Mammalia > Primates > Hominidae > Homo > Homo sapiens. The sequence goes on from NC_000002.12 coordinate 190,591,162, forward strand.
TTTTCTTTGCCAGTTGCCATCATACTTAGAGGGTCCAGGGTGTGATGACTTATAGGAGAGTGTGCCACTTAATGACCCTTCCTCAGTGGTGACAATGTGTACAACAAAGAAACTAATTACAGTAAAGATTGTCTGCAGCTCAAATCAGAGTTGCCTAATTGAGTCTAATATCATTGCTGATAGCTATGAATATGTTCAAAGAATTTGTTGTGAAAGCACCTCTCATGTTTACTATTGTGATTCCACCTCCATGCAATGAGATTACAGTTCAGAAGGTTCCTAGTACTGTAGGGATAATGCTAGCTTGCTCTGCGTGTGTGTGCGTGTGTGTGTGTGCTGCCCTTCAGAACCTTTTCATGCACTCAAACTCAGGTAAAGTAAAAGAGCTGTTTTCTCATTTGTTAACAAAGGTTTCTGTGGTCACTATAAAGCATGACTTCCAAAAGTGATTATTCATACTAGTCAATATGTGACAGTTCTGATATACAGTTTTTCACATGTCTTCACACACATGCGATAGCTACTGCTCATGGAAACCTTGTGAGGATTAGGGCCTGGAGACTAAAGAAAGCCCACAGACAGACCTGAAAATTGCCATGGCCAGCAGGCCAGCAACTGGACATAACACATTATTGTTGTTAGGGAATCTGTGGATGATTCAATAAGCATTTGTTGAGTGTCTACTATTTGCAGGTATTTTACTGGACACTAAGATACACAGATGCTAAAATGTTTGCCCATGAAAAACTAGCAGGCTAGTGGGGGCAATCATAAATAGGCCTATAAACCAAGAACTACAAAATGTTAAATGGGAATATGGAGGAGGAAATGATTAATTCTTCTTGCAATTAAAAAAGAAAATTGAGAATGCAAAGTGCTTTTGGGGTCCTCTACTGTGTTTAAGAGTGTTGCATATAGTCCTGTATTCTATGCACTGTGAGGCTCAGACCCCTCCCCCAGAGGTGCAGGGGGGAAAAGTAAGCTTTGGAGACACATAGCTCTGGGCTTGAATTTCAGCTCTGCCATTAACAATGACCTGGTTATGTAACTGCCAAGTTTAACCTCTGTTGAAATCCAGTTTAACCGTTGAAATGGTATCACCTCACTGAGTTATGGAAATCAAAGGAGATAACCAATCTAAAGTGTATGTATAGTAGTTCCATAAATGTTGTTCTCCCTTCTCTACACTTCACTCTCATCCCTACATTGAATGATGTAGAAAAGTCAAGTCATCTGTTTACTGGGAATAATCACCTGATTGCTCTTTAAGGGGATGCAAGGCAGATCTGAGTATTTTGGAATGTGAAAGCCAAATAATTGACTGAGTACAGGAAATAAAGAAACTAAGGGTAATAACAACAACACTTTTTGCTGGGGGCTTTACATATATTCTCTTTTTTTATCTTCACAAAAACTTCATAAGGGAGATAGTGTTTTCCCCATATTTGATGATAATTTCCTTACCTACTATAATATTTTGTATGGCTTCATTCATTTTATGTTGTGTATGTTACCCTCCAAAACCTAGAGACAGGCTCTTTTTTGTTAGAAAGGCTCCCAAATTTCAGTATACTGCAACCAGATGAGAATAGTTGGCTGTATCCACCCAATACAGATGGAGCAATAAAGCCTAGCATAAATGTGCTTGATTGATTTAGAGCTTGGTATATTTTCCACATTTGTATAGTGAAGACATACTTCTGTATTAAGAGTAATTAATTCAAAATGTAAAATTTCTTAAAAATAACTGGTATAGAAAATAAATCTGTTATCTTTTAGTTTCTTTTTCACAAACTTAATGTTATTCAGAGTTCACGATCAGACTGTTCCTCTATTACTCATCCTGAGTCTTAGCTGAGGGTCAGAACTCTCCCAAGGCTTGGGTATGGCCATAAGGCTCCTGACAAAATTAGTATCAAAATAGTTTTTCTCTCAATTGGCTATGTCTTATGCTATCTCAGGCAAAAGGACATTGAAAAGAAGACTTTTTTTGCTTATGTTTGTAAAACTCCCGATCAGCCGCAAAGGCATCTGCCATGCCCTAGCTTCTCTGCTTAGATGCTTCTGTTGGCTTTCCCATATTACTTAGTGTACATAAGAAGTGATTCTAACCAAAAGATCCCAGAATACAGCATGACTTGAAAAAGAAAGTTCATTTTATCATGTGATACAGATTGAAGGTGAGCAATGGAGGCCAGCCAGAGGGCTCTGTCCCATGCGGTCATTCAGAAAAGCAGGTGCCTCTATCTTCTTCACCATGCCCCAGGGTATTTTTCTGGTTAAAGTTGGGTTGATGCCATGTCTGAGTTCCAGCCTGAGGGAAGAGTGAAGAGTCTTCTCTCTTGTGGTTGTGTCCCTCAGGAGATGACCAAGAAGCTGCATACATTACTTGTCTTCATTTCCCAATGGTCTGTGCTTAGGCATAAGATCATTCCTTTATAACCAAATGGCCATGTGTCTAGCTAGAACTCAGAGAGTTCTAGTACAAAAGTCAGGAAAGAATGGACACTGAGAGATAGTAATCTCAGCCACTCCCTCTAAGACAAAAGTTGAAACAGAACTGTTGCTATATAATGGAAGATTGGAACTTCCCCCACCCTTGCTTTTTTGTTCCCAGTTGGGAGGTATTTTTCCAATTTTAAAGTTTTTAATATTTCTCTCCCACTATCATCCTTCTTACATGGTAGCTTCTAGCTGTGACCTCAACAGCTTCCCAACTGGCATCCTGCCTATACTCTTGTTTCCCCAAAATCTACTGTTAACTCAGAAGCCAGTGGGATCTTTATTAAATGTAAACTAGGCAACATCACTTCTCCACCTGTAACTCACCAATGACTTCTCATGTGATGAGAATCAAACTAAACTCATTGCCGTGGCCTGAAGGCTGCCCTATTGGCTCTGCTTACTTCTCTTCCTTCTCTGCTCTCTGCCACTGTCTTTCGTTTGTTTGTCATTGCTTTTGTTCCCTGAATATAGTGAGCTTGAACTCATCTTGGGTCTTTCCCTCTTGCTATCCCTTTTACTCGAGGTCCTATCTTCACAAAGTTGCCTTCTTCTAATATTCAGGCCTCAACCCCAAGGTAACCTCTTCAGCAAGGACTTCTCATAGCTACCATAACTAAAGCAGCCACACACCCACCCCCGTCACCATCCATGATGTTACCCAAAAGTATCTCCTTTAAAACATACATCATGATCATTATTATTATTTGGTTTACATGTCTATAGTATAGAAACATGTCTTGTTTGACCCTCTATCTAGAACTCCCAGCAACTCTAAACACATTATAGGCACTTGGTGAATATCTGTTAATGGAAAGGTTTGATCTCTGTAAAATGGCAAAACTATTTATCTAACAGCCATTAGCACAGGGCCTTGCACATGGTAGGTATTCAAAAAATATTTATATTTTAATGGTTTTTTTCTTTTTAGAGATAGTATCTTTCTCTATTGCTCAGGCTGGAGGGCAGTGGTGTGATCACAGCTCCTTGAACTCCTGGGCTCAAGAGAGCCTCCAGCCTCAGACTCCTGAGTAGCTGGGACTACAGGCGTGTGCCAGTACACCCGGCTAATAAACGTTTATTGAACGAATAGAGTTAGCTGCAAATCCCAGTAAATCAGAGGGACAAGGAGTACCATCTGAGAAGTCTTTACATAAACATTTTGTGCTTAATTACTACTTTTTCTGAATATTAAAGTAAATAAGCTGTGTAAAAAATACAGAGAGGTATAAAGAAAAGTTCCACTTCCAAATAAAAATACAAATGTATTAACATCTTGGTAAGTATTTATATAGACTTATTTCCTATATGCATCCACACATACAATTTTTAAAAATTGGTATCATATCATATATGCAGTTTAAACAGAAAGCTTGCCGAGTACACTCGCCAAGAAATAATGCTTATTTTAAAGTATGGAGATGTACATTAAAATAAATTAGGTTGTCATCTGATCTTTGACAAGCCTGACAAAAACAAGAAATGGGGGAAAGGATTCCCTATTTAATAAATGGTGTTGGGAACACTGGCTAGCCATATGCAGAAAACTGAAAATGGACCCCTTCCTTACACCTTATACAAAAATTAACTCAAGATGGATTAAAGACTTAAATGTAAAACCTAAAACCATAAAAACCCTAGAAGAAAACCTAGGCAATACCATTCAGGACATAGGCATGGGCAAAGACTTCATGACTAAAACACTAAAAGCAATGGCAACAAAAGCCCAAATTGACAAATGGGATCTAATTAAACTAAAGAGCTTCTGCACAGCAAAAGAAACTATCATCAGAGTGAACAGGCAACATACAGAGTGGGAAAAAATTTTTGTAATCTATCCATCTGACAAAGGGCTAATATTCAGAATCTAAAAAGAACTTAAACAAATTTACAAGAAAAAAACAACCCCATCAAAAAGTGTGCGAAGGATATAAACAGATACTTCTTGAAAGAAGACATTTATGTGGCCAACAAACATGAAAAAAAGCTCATCATCACTGGTCATTAGAGAAACGCAAATCAAAACCACAACGAGATACCATCTCACACCAGTTAGAATGGTGATCATTAAAAAGTCAGGAAACAACAGATGCTGGAGAGGATGTGGAGAAATAGGAACGCTTTTACACTGTTGATGGAAGTGTAAATTAGTTCAACCACTGTGGAAGACAGTGTGGCGATTCCTCAAGGACCTATAACCAGAAATATCATTTGAACCAGCAATCTCATTAGTGGGTATAAACCCAAAGGATTATAAATCATTCTACTATAAAGACACATGCACACATATGTTTACTGCAGCACTGTTCACAATAGCAAATACTTGGAACCAACCCAAATGTCCATCAATGATAGACTAGATAAAGAAAATGTGGCACATATACACCATGGAATACTATGCAGCCATAAAAAAGGATGAGTTCATGTCTTTTGTAGGGACATGAATGAAGCTGGAAACCATCATTCTCAGCAAACTGACACAGGACAAGAAAACCAAACGCTGCATGTTATCACTCATAAGTGGGAGTTGAACAATGAGAACACATGGACACAGGGAAGGGAACATCACACATTGGGGCCTGTCAGGGAGTCAGGGGCTAGGGGAGGGATAGCATTAGGAGAAATACCTAATGTAGATGACAGGTTGACGGGTGCAGCAAACCACCATGGCACGTGTATACCTATGTAACAAATCTGCATCTTCTGCACATGCATCCCAGAACTTAAAGTATAATAATAATTTAAAAATTAGGTTGTATGCACCACCACTTACATATTTTAGGTGGTGATTATAGCACAGAATAAGGTTTGCATGGACATATCTATCAGCAGCTGGACCTGTGCCCCATGTCAGGGGCCCTCTGCAGAGCAGGGGAAAATGAATTCTCTAGAAAAGTTTGTCAAGTCTGTGATGCTACTTATTTTTACTTAGATCTAAATCTTCTTTCTTCCCATAGAAAAACATTGGTCGCTTGTCTTTTCATCTCTTCTAGCAAAGGTTGGTGAATATTATTGGAAGGAAACTATCAAGATACATATTTTTACCTTTACTATAAATTTGTGTATAATTCAACTCTTCTGATGAAATTGTATGGTGATGTCAGGGGTGCTGCTGTCTCTGGGTAGTAAGAGAAAACAACTAGATTTGGAAATCTGGTATACAAATGCATATAAATATACAAATGACATTTATACATCCCAACATACTCATTCACCCATGAATATATATATTTGGCATCAAGTCACTAAGCATAAAAATGTTGTGGGTGTTTACAACTTTTTAAAAAGGATTATTTGCATTTTCTTTTAAGTTTTCTGGACAGGCACAGTGGCTCACACGTGTATCCCAGCACTTTGGGAAGCTGAGGCAGGGAGATAGCTTGAGCCCAGGAGTTCAGGACTAGCCCGGGCAACATAGGGGCACCCCACCTCTACAAAAAAATTTTTCTAATTAGTTGGGTGTGGTGGTGTGCTCCTGTGGTCCTAGCTACTGAGCAGGCTGAAGTAAGAGGATCGCTTGGGCCCTGGGGAGTTGAGGCTGCAGTGAGCCATGATCATGTCACTGCACGCCAGCCTGGGAAACAGCAAGACTCTGTCTCCAAAAAAAAAAAAAGCTTTCTAATTTCTAAAATAGACTGTGTGAAGAGTTAGGAATTTGGGCTAAGAGATAAAGGGGAGAAAAAAAAAGCCCTGGGAAAAGAATTGGAAAAGTCTGAGTATAAATATAGTTTTTGTACTTTTGGCTGAAGTCTCTTAGAGCTTGTGAATAATAAAGACTACATTACTATCCACAAAATAACTTTCTTGGAAAAAAAATGTTACCTGAAAATTACTTGCTGTGTTGATGAGGGCCTGGAGAATGAGAAGACAAAAAGAGCATCTAACTGAAAGGGGTAGTAGAAAGAATGTCCGTGTAGCAATCAATGTTAAAATGTACAGTAAAAACTTCCAGGACAGAATAAAAACCAAACTGATGGAGGTGCCCAACACAGTAGTTGCGAATCCCAGGCTAAGGCACAGCCACAGTTCTAAAACCTTGGAATAAAAGAAACAGTGCCTCTGATTATTTATCACGATGCTTTCTTCAGAACTTTTATTTGAGGAGATGGGGTGAGCAAAGAATTAAAAAAAAAACAACTCTGAGCATTCTTTGCTCATCCAATTTGAAAGTGGAATTTCTCTACTGGAACTGCTGATTTGTAAGGCCACCAGTTTACATGGGTTTCAAAGGGCTTTAAGAGTTCAGTTATGAAAATATTCTACTTGTTTATGTTCCAATACCATACACACACCTATCCCATTTATACCTCTAGGCTAGTGTTTCTCAGTCTCTGAACTATTGATATTTGGGGACAGATTCCTCTTCATTGTCTTCTTCGTTGTGGGGCCATCCTGTGTATTGTAGGATGTTCAGCAGCATCCCTGACTCCACCAACTAGATGCCGGTAGCACCTTCCCTCTCTCCCTACCGACAACCCCCATAGGACAAACAAAAACATTTCCAGACATTGCCAAATGTTTCCTGGGGAGGGGAGAGCAAAATCACCCCTGGTTGAAAACCACTGTTTAAGGCTGAGATGAAGACCTTTAGTGAGAGGGAAGAGAAGACTCTTGGGAGAATAAGGAAAATGAGGGCTTCCTCCAGAATTCAGATATTTATTCTCCAAATTCTTCTACTTATGGAAGTTACTCAAAGATGCTTACAAGTGTTTTTAGGAAATTGATCTTATTCCAAGGCAAGCCAATATTACAAATATTATTTTAAACTGTAACTTATAATTGCTTTTCTACACTTCTTAATGGATATAAGCCTTTGTCTTAAAGAATGCTATTGATTCATTCATTGTTTTCATAACTTGTGGCGCTGCCAGCCTTCCACTTGGAATGGCATCAAGTCGTGTTTTGCTTTCATCCCCAAAACTTTGCAAACTACTTTGAGGCATTGCTGAAAATACATTTTAGTGGAATAAGTTAGGCTTTACTGCGATTCTCAAATTTAAGAACCCATTTTATCTACTAGCTAGCAAAGCAACCATTTTAAATTGGAATGTAATAGTTACCTAGATCCATGTTGCCATGTTGCTGCACAGACTTAAAATATTTTACTACCAGTGAAATTGTACTTTGCATATAATACTAACCTTGCCAAATAACCTTATGACCAAACCTCATATCTTGAGTGACTAACGTTAATATACCTTAATCTGAAGTTTAAGAGTACTCCCTTATTCAGCATTTACATCTTATCTTGATTTATATTTTTCTCCAAATAATAGAAAAACACTGCAAATGGTGTTTTGTTTTGTTTTTAGTGGCTCTCTAGGCCCCTTTTTCTCAATTTGTTTCAACCAACATTTATCAAACAAGGAGTATGGGCCAGGACTTGTGCCAACTTTAAGCAGATTTTAGTCATAAAATCAGATGTGTTTCTTCTAAAATCATGCTGTAATTTATTCTCCATTATTTTGATATTAGTGAAGGTTAACTACTGCAAAAGTTATCAGTTTCTCCATCTATAAATAGAGGACAGAAATCAGGAAATAGAAGAGAGAAGCTATAAAAGGCAGGCTAGATTTGTACAAAACTACACATCTAGCTTATATGACTCAAAGATGTGGTGAGAATTCTGTTTCCTGTCACTATTTACTACTTGGCATCAAGTAGATGAAAAAAAGCTGAAGCTTTTGGGCTAAACTTTTATTTTCATCTGGATAGATGGCAGGCCTCGAGGAACATCACAGGTAAAACTCTTGAAATGTCTATAACTTCAGATGAGTTATGGACAAAATATATACTTTCTGGCCTATAATTTGTTCACTGTATTTTTCCATATTTGCTACTGATTAGTAATATATTAAGTATCAGTCAGTAGGAATAGTATTAATATTGCCAATGCATTTAAAAATTTTAATTTTAACTATAATTTTTACTTGCTTTTTGATTCTGTGTCTTTTACTTTAGGTGCTGTGCCCCTAGTCAGGAATCGGTTTACTTGGCTGTGTAGGAGTTATGTAAAAATTTCCAAATGATATAAGCCAGGTGTTCACAGCTCGCTATGCATCGAAACTACACTGGAAGCTTTCCAAGAGTAGGTGTCTGTTACCTATAGCAGGGATGACAAAGATGGCACGTGGGCCTATTTTCACTGTCCCTTAGGCAAGTCATCTTCACAAACTCACCGACCTTGCAGTGCCCCATCCCCCCATCCCAATCATGTTCCCTCTCCCTCACCTGGGAGGACTATCCTTGGCAAGAGTCAGATCCAATGACCTCTTCCTGCACTGCTGTGAAGAGTTTATGGGAGCACAGCGGCTTTCACACACACTCTCCTGCTGTACAGTGCCATCCTAGCTGCCCCTGTGTGTGTCACTTCCTACATCTCTCACTGGTCTGAGCGGTACAGAGCAACTAGAACCTTAGAAAATTAGTTTTCGAAGGTTTCTTATCTTAGTTCTGTATGTCACAGTACACAACACACTTGCCATCTTAGCAGTGGTATTTTACAAACATTCCCTCTTGCTCTTCCTCTCATTCCTTTTCCTGTTGTTTCTAACTCTCATTGCTTGATTATTGGCTCTTCAAGGAGAAGGAAGAAATAGGTTAAAACCCAACTAGAAGATACTGGGGGAGGAAAGGGGACTCAGTAGAGTAGAGTACAAGGGGAGGGTTATCAGTGTTAGTCTTAGAATGAGGCTAGTGCTGCCAGACTAGAAATTATTTGTCTGGCGTGTGCTATTGTTTGAATGTCATTTGTCTTCGCCAAAACTCATGTTGAAATTTAACCCCCAGTGTGGCCCTGTTGGGAGGTGTGGCATAGTGTGAGGTGTTTGGGTCATGGGTGTGGATTCTTTATGCAGGGAAGAATGCCCTCCTTGGGGTGGGTGAATCCTTGCTTTCCTGGAGAATGGATTAGTTTCTGAGAGACTGGGTTGTTAAAGAGAGTCTGGCTTCCTTGGTTTCTCTTTTGCTTCCTCTCTTGCCATGTGATCTCTTTGCACGTGCCAGCCCCCTTTTCACCTTTTGCCATGAGTTGAAGCAGCCTGAGGCCCTCATCAGATGCAGATGCCCAGTCTTGAACCTTCCAGCCATCAAAATTGTGAGCCAAATAAGCCTCTTTTCTTTATAAATTACCTCAGCCTCAGGTATTCTGTTATAGCAACACAAAACAGACTCAGACAGTGCAGGAATGTGCGGTGGCAGCCATGGCCCAACATGTGGTCAGGTCTTAGTGGTGTGTTCCCCAGCCCTGGCGGCCAGCATCCCTGCCCACTTGTCACACAGTGCTAGTACCTTCCTGAGAAGGCTGCTCAGAAAGCTGAGCAAGTACAAACAATTGATGTGGGTTGAATTGTATCTCCCTAAAATTCATGTTGAAGTCCTAACCCCTAGTACCTCAAAATGTGACCCTATGTGGAAATAGGGTCATGGCAAGTGTAATTAGTTTAAGATGAGGTAATACTGGAGTCAGGTGGGCCTGTCATCCAATATGACAGGTGTCCTTATAAAAAGCAACATTTGGAGACAGTCACATATACAGAGAGAACACTGTGTGAAGATTGGAGTTATGCTGCCACAAGCCAAGGAACCACCAGAAGCTAAGAGAAAGGCCCAGAACGATCCTTCCATAGTGCCTTCGGAGGAAGCATGCCCTGTCTGCACCCTGATCTCAGATTTCTGGCATCCAGAGCTATGAGACCATAGCTTTCTGTTGTTTAAGCCGCTCGCTTTGTGGTGCCTTGTTATGGCCACCCTAGGAAACTAATGCTGTGTAACAATGTGGCAATGGCAGGCCTACGTTGGTCTTGACTCAAAGCTCCTGGAAGGGTGCTGGTTTGATGGTGCTAAGAAATGTGTACTGTCCAAATCCAAACATCTGGAATGAAACCTATGTAAGTTGATAATAGACATATACATATAAGGAAATAAAAATATAATTTCCGAGCAACTCCATGAAAATAATGATTGCTGAAACTACTTGTTATGATACTTAACGCAAATGATAAAAACCTGTGGTCACTGTTGGGCTTCTTATATGCCAAAGAATCTGTTTCTCCAGGTACCAGGGCAATCCCAGGAGCTAAGCACTCCAGGCCATCTCCTTCTATAACTCAGCTCAACCAATGTTTACTAACCTGACCAAGTACTAAGAATTCTAAGCAACGGCAGTAGAAATAAAAAAAATCAGACACAATCCCTGCCATTAAGTAGCTTGCTGCATAGTAAATAATAAGAAAGGTAGAATTTTGGAAGAATCTTTCACTTATTAGCCTATAGGGAATTCCATCCACTTACACCGAGGACTGTTGAAGACTCTTAGTTACAGGTGATGGAAATACAACTCAAGCTGGCTAAAATGAACACACAGATAAAACCCTGACTAATTTGAGGATGAAAATATGATTTTATTAATGTATTAGTCAGGGTTCTCTGGAGAAATAGAACCAGTAGGAGACAGTGAGGGAAGGAGAGACTGAGATAGGGAGATGGGAGAGAGGCGGAGAAGGAAGGAGAAATAGACATAAAGAAAGATATTTATTTTAAGGAATTTGCTCATATGATCGTGGGGGCAATTTGTAGGGCAGGCTGGCAGGCCGGAAATTCAGGTAAGAGTTAACGTTACAGTCATGACTCCAAATTCTGCAGGGCATCAGGCTGGAAACGCAGGCAGCATTTCTGTATTGCAGACTGGAGGAGAATTCCTTCTTCTTTGGGAAATATCAGTCTTTGTACTTAACGCCTTCAACTGATTGGATGATGCCCACACACATTATGGCGGGTACCCAACATCTACTAATTTTAATGTTAATCACATCTTTTAAAAATACCTTCGCAATAACATCTAGACTGGTGTTTGACCAAACAACTGGGCTTCACAGCCTATGCAAGTTGACACTCAGAGTTAACCACGACAGGTTGAGTGGAACCCAGGGAGTGCCCTTCAGTCACCAGGAATCTACCCCTCCCCATCTTTCCACTCTACTTCTTCCTCGGTGAAGGCTGTGACTGCCCTGTCTTCCTGTACATGCCCATGGCTGAACCAGTCATTGTGGCCAAGGGAGTGCAGTTTTCTGGCTGGGGCAGAGAATGGGGAGAAAGGCTGTTGTGTTAGAAGAAGGGATGTCAAGCAGGCAAAATCAGGAGCTGTAGGCAAGCATAGTTTTGAAGGAAACAAAAACATTTTGTGCAAAACCAGCCCTGGAATACTGAAAGGTGGGAAGGAAGAGGGAGCAAGGAGAGACTGGGAGAAATGAAGAGTCCTTGCTGGAATGCCTTATATACTGCTGCTGGAGGTGGGCAGTGACATCAGTGGTCACCAGAGACCATATGTAACTGATGGGCTTATATCCATTAGCTTGATTTAAACCACTTTGAATCTCATGAAATTTTCCTTTGAGGAAAATTTAGTTTTTCTCATTGATTTAAAGTCAGTAATTTCTGTTCCTCTGAGCACAGAATTGCTTTTAATTATAAATGTATGACATTTAAAATTATTTAAATACAAATATTTTTACACCAAGGGGTATGGAATGTGGGGTGTGGGAAGTGGGGATGGAAGCAATGAATTTTTTCCTGTGCAAAAACCCTGCTGGAAAAATATTTTCCCTTAGTCATTCTTCCAAAAATCATCCCTCTCAGAGATGCTTCTTATTTAAAATTAAATGGAATTGACATTCAGAGATTTTTGAATAATTTAGCTGAACTTGTTTCAGTGATTACGTAATGGTTGCAAATGGGTCAAGGCCCGGGTCATTTGTGGGAAATAATAAATATATTTGTTTCCGTAGCCATTGTTCATCTGCCTCCCTCATCCTCATCTTCTCCTATCCCCACAGCTGCTTCCACTCTCTCCACACTGGAAGCTCCCTGAGACAGTGGCTCCCTTTTATCCATCCTACTCCTGGGGCAGTGTCTGGCATCTAGTATGCAATGCATCAGAGTGTGCTGAATTGCACTGAACGTTGACACCCGGGGAGCTCTGGCATTTAGGAAAGTAGAGAGTGCTATGATAGTTCTGTAGATTCTCAGAGAAGAAAGCCTCTTAGAACAAAGTCAACAACAATTATAACAACAGCTTCACAAATTTCTAGATGCACAGTTGCCATTGTTGGCAGCTTTGTACAACAAAAATCTTACATGCAGCTAATGTCTGTCAAATATTGGAAACCAACACTGGGCAAACTCTGGAGTATGTTTTCTGTGTTCCTACTCTTTACACCCCCCACCTTTTTAAAACAACCCTCCCAACCATCCATACATTTTCCATATTCAGATCTCCTCTACCATTTTCATTCTTTCTTCTAATCAAAGTAGGAAAGGACCTCATTTTAATCATTTTTACTTAATGAACTGATTATAATTTGAAATCAATGAATGTCATTTACTTCTTTCTCTATTATAAAATGAAAGAATGTGTCGCACCTGAAAGGGAATCTAGTTGTGAATAAGCAGCTAGGGATGGTCTACGTGTCCATCGATAGGTGCCTCCTTCCTTCTCTCCCCCACTTTATTCTTTCTTGGAGAGTGAGTGGGAAAAGGGCATAGACAGGGTTACCCTGAAAACCAACCCGAACAGTACAATGATTTCATCCGTTTGAGGGTGACTAGAGGGATCAAATGGAAAAGGTGGTATGGACTTTTTCCTACCCCAACACCTACTTCTGGGACCTGAAGATCCCTTTCTTTAGGGATAGTAACAGCACCTTGCCTTACTACAGGTACTTCTGGCAAATAGTCTCTTCCCTTCTTTCTACTGAACACAGGTGAGTCGGCTTCCTCACCTTTAACCCAACCCTTTCCATCTGCGCGCTTGAACAACAGAAACCACAATGTGCCTACTCAGCCCAGTGCCGTTGGGAGTTTGCATACATTATTGCTAGGCTGAACACAACCTTGAAGACAGATTAATACTGCCTTCATTTCACATGTGAGATTCGGAGAGGGTAGGTCACATTCTCAAGGTCACAGCACTAAGTAGCAAAGTCAAGAAGCTTGGGTTTCTTCAGCTCCAAAGCTCATGTCCACTGCACCACTCTGCCTCCCAGATGTGTTTTAATGTTGTCCAGCAGTCCAGCATTCATTTTTTAAAAAATGATAATATTGTTATTCAGCTCTCTCCCTAACCTGACTTCTTGGGTCACATTGTCATGCCTCCTGTATCATTTCTTATCATTTCTGCCTCCACAAAAATGTCCCTTTAGCACTTCACATGCCTTGTGACCAAAACCGAACGTAAAACTGTGTTCCCAGTTTTTGTTAATTCAGTTAAGTCACCTAGTTGCTTAAACCAGAAGCCTGGGACCCTTGACTTTTCCCTTTTTCATGCTCTCCTGTTTCAGTTGGTTGCCAAGTCCTACAGATTATTTCTCACACATACATATCCATAAACATAAACACATACATATACAGTGCACGTCTACCCCTGAACTCTCATTTTTCATTTTGTAAGAATCCTAACTTTTCTCTCACTGAAACCCCCATGTTGACATTAAAGTAATTTTTTCTAAGATACACATTTAATTACGTCATTCTCTTTCTTATAAATTCACAGAATAAGGTCAGAATTCCTTGGCATGGTATAGAGGACCAACACCTCACAATCTTGTCCCACCCTCCCCTGCCCGCCCCACTATTCCCTGCCATGACCCCAACTCCTTTGCTTGTTCCCAATCTACCACGTCTTTTTTTAATTTTTTTAATTTTTATTTATTTATTTATTTATTTTTTTGAGATGGAGTCTCGCTCGCTCTGTCACCTGGGCTGGAGTGCAGTGGCGCAATCTCAGGTCACTGCAACCTTCACCTCCCAGGTTCAAGCAATTCTCCTGCCTCAGCCTCTGGAGTAGCTGGGACTACAGGCCCCCACCACCACACCCAGCTAATTTTCTTGTATTTTTAGTAGAGATGGGGTTTCACCACGTTGGCCAGGTTGGTCTTGAACTCCTGACCTCAGGCGATCTGCCTGCCTTGGCCTCCCAAAGTGCTGGGATTACAGGTGTAGCCATCGCACCCAGCCCTACCATGTCTTTTGAGTCTATGCTTTTGCAGCTGCTCAACTTTTCATTTCTTGTTCCACATGGCCATCTTCTATGTGCCAAAGCCAAATTCAAATGTCAGTTCTCCTGTAAAACCCTCTCAGATTTCTCTGGGAAACTTAGCTTCTCTGCACTTTCACAGCTCTTAACACATACCTAGATTATAGAACACATACCGTTGTGCTTGGAGTGTCTGTTGACAGTGTACCTCTTGGCCCCACTAAAGTGAGAACTCCTTATGGGCAAAGATCTATATTATCTGTACTTGGAATTCAGACATCTCACACTGTTTCTGGCACACCATAGATCCTGAATAAATGTTGTTGGGTTGAATTCAATGGAATGTATCTGAGGAACAAGAGTTTCACAGTGTCCACCTTCCAGTCTTGCGCTTGTGATTTAAATACTCACTCACAGTTAAGCTAAGGCCGGACCAAAATAGGGAAGATTACAGTTTGTCTTTTCTTTCAGTGGCCTTTTTTTCTAACTTCCTTTTTCCTACTAGTTACAGCCCCTCTCCTCCTTTTAGATTCCCAGTGACCTAAATTTTTCCTGTCCTCTTCCCCAAATCAGGAAGGCTCTGGAAACATCACTTGTGTACCAACTGAAACTCCCAGCTCTGCGGCACACTAGCTGTGATCCTGGCCAAGTTCACTTGTCTGAAATTAGTTCCTCATTTCGAACATGAAAAGTATCGTATCTGCCTCCTAAGGTTGCTGTGAAAGTTCAACAAGAGGCCAGGCATGGTGGCTTACGCCTGTAATCCCAGCACTTTGGGAGGCCAAGGCAGGCAGATCACCTGAGGTCAGGAGTTCAAGACCAGCCTGGCCAACATGGCAAAACCCCGTCTCTACTAAAAATACAAAAATTAGCCGGGTGTGGTGGGGCAGGACTGTAATCCCAGCTACTTGGGAGGCTGAGACAGGAGAATTGCTTGAACCTGGGAGGCAGAGGTTGCAGTGAGCAAGATCGTGCCACTGCACTCCAGCCTGGCGACACAGTGAGACGCTGACTCAAAAAAATAAAAAAGAAAAGAAAATTCAACAAGAAACTCCAAGTAAAGCATTAGCACAATCCCAGGCATATAATAATAGCTCAATTAATTTTTTTTAAAAATGCCTTATTTATACAGATATGCTAATTTTTCCCAATGCATTTACTTTAAGAATTTCTATTTAATTGTGGAGCAAATGACCTCTTATTAAAGAAATCTTATTCAAATAAGACCTACTGGCAGCTTCCTTGGTGCCTGGCTTCCTACCTTGTACCGGGAATGCAGGGAGGAAGACTTGATCCCTGCTCTGGTGTGCTGATCCAGAGTCCTCAGTATAGGTGCTGACATGTGAGGCACTTCCAGGGTTCAGAGTGGAGGCATCTGAACAGCCCATGGCGGGTGCTGAAGGCAAGTTTCCCAAGAAGGGGTTCACGAGGGCTGGAATCAGTCAGAGGAATGTAATCTTGTCAGCGGAAACATGAGCAAGGGAATAGGAGTCAGGGTTTGACAGGAGAGGATAAATGACAAGTCATTTGGTTCAGCTGCAGCTTGGGTATGTGTAGGAGGGAGTCAGAAAGATGAGGCTGGAAGGATAAGCAGGTGGCCAAATCTCAGGGGCAACAGCAAGTGGGTGGTAAGGAGTGGGCTGTGGTTCTTCTAGCCCAGTAAGGCTCAACTGCGTTTGCATACTGGAATCACTGGGAGCTTTTAAAAATACCAAAGCCATGACCCTAGACTATTACACAGGAACTACTATGGGCAGAACTGAAGCATCATTTTTTTTTAAATCCAAAGTGATTCTAATACACAGCCAAGATTGAGAAATGCTACAGTCTAGCCCCTGAAATCACACCAACCCAGATTTGGCTGCCAAGTAACTCAGAGTAATTGTGGACCTTTAGCATGGGCAGGAAACCAAAAGCACATCCAACCTTACTCCTGTATTTTTAAAATTAATTAATTTTTATTGTGGTAAAATTAGACATAACATAAATTTACTATTTTATCCATTTTCAAGAGCACAGTTCAGTGGCATTAAGTACAGTCAGTTGCCGTGCAATCATCACCTCCAGCCATTTCCAGGTAAAATTACAAAGGCTTTTCATTTTGAAGTACAATCTATTTTTCTTTTGTTGACTCATGCTTCTGATAGCATAACCCCTGTATTTTATAGATGTGAACACTCATTCCCTCAGGGTGGGCTTCCCTGGAAACAGACTCTGAGATGAAGACTGGTGTACAGTAGTCACTCCTTATTGGTACTTTTGCTTTCTGCAGTTTTAGTTATCTATGGTAAACTGCAGTCCAAAAATATTAAATAGAAAACACCAGAAATAAATAATAAGTTTTAAATTGTGTGACGTTCTCAGTAGGGTGTAAACTTTCAAGCTGTCCTGCTCTGTCCCACCCAGGATGTGAATCATCCCTTTGTCCCCCGTACCCACGCCGTACACGTTCCCCATCCGTTAGTCACTTTGTAGCCATCTTGGCTATCAGATTGTTGCAGTATCGCAGTGCTTGTGTTCGAGTAATCCTTATTTTACTTAATAATGGTCCCAATGTGCGAGAGTAGTGATGCTGGCAATTCGTATATGCCAAAGAGAAGCTATAAAGTGCTTCACTTAAGTGAAAAGGTGAAAGTTCTTGACTTAACAAGGAAAGAAAAAAAAATTGCTGAAATTAACAAAATTTATAAGAACAAATCTTTTACCCGTGAATTTGTAAAGAAAAATATATTTGTGCTGGTTACAGCACCTCAAACTGTAAACGTCATGGCCATAGAGTATGATAAGTGCTTAGTTAAGATGAAAAAGGCATTCAGTTTGCAGGTGGGAGACATTAAAAGAAATGTGTTTTGATTGGCAACACGTTGCACCAGAAAGCATTGAGCCTGTATGAAGACAAGCATTGATCCCTACAGCAAGGGATCCCCTGAAACGAGTGACACCAAGCCATTTATTGCAAGTAAGGGATAGTTAACAGATTCAGGAATAGGTTTGGACTGAAAAATATATAAATTACTAGAGAGGCTGTGTCTGCTAATGAAGAAGCTGTTGCCACAGGAATACAGAACAATGGGATATTTTGAAGGAGCGAGAGAGACCACATGCGTATGATTTTACTGTAGTATAATTGTTCTATTTTATTATTAGTTATTATTGTTAATCTGTTAGCTGAACCTTATTAAAAAAATTTTATCAGAGGTACGTATGTATAAAAAGAAAATATATATAGGGTCTGGTACTATCTGCAGCTTTAGGCTCCACTGAAGTTCTTGGAATGTATTCTATGAAGATAAGGGGGACTACTGTATAGAGGGGATTACAGCATGCTCTTGGCATTGTTCCTGAACCAATATGGGGGTTGGGCTGCTATTTCTCGTGGCCCAATAATGAGATGCAGATGAACTGGGGACGAAGAGAGTATTTCTGTAACCAGTTACAGGGAGAAGGCCTGGAAATTATTGCCAGACCAACTCAAAATTACAAAGTTTTCCAGAGCTTATATACCTTCTAAGCTATATGTCTATGTGTAACTGAGTGAATTAATCTAAAGACATAAGTGATTAACTTCTTTTAATCTATAACTAAGGTCTGAGTCCTGAAGACCTTCTAGAGCCTCAGTAAGTTTACTTAATCTAAATGGGTCTAGGTGCTGGGGTGATTACCCTTATCTTGTCTCCTGCTAAATCATGGAGGTTTGGGGAGTTCCTTTAGATCTCAATAAACTTGTTTGTGGAGGCCCGAGGAGTTTCTTCAGACCCCCCAATAAAACTTGTTTAATCCTAAAAGGGTCCTGTTAAGAATTCCTTCATTATCTTGTCAAACTTCAAGGCCCATGAAAAGCCTAGGCAAAACTCTTGGTGGGCTCTTTGTTACATTCCAGCCTTTGTATAAGGGCACTGGCTCAATCAGCTTTTAATGTTTAACCTAGCTACTCAGTCAGAGCTGGGACAGTTGTTGTAATGCAGGCCTGCATTAGTGAGACCTGGCCTGCCACAATCACCACTGTCAATTTGTGCATGATTTCTATCATGCTTGTATATTTATTTATCACAAGATCATAGGGATATGGGGCATCATAATCTTTCTGGCTACTTCCTGCTGAGAGAGGGTCATCATTATGGGGACTGAATGCAGTGCTGGAGTGGAGGTGGTTGATTTGTTCCCTCTATTGGCTCTATTTCGGGGGCCTAGAATAGTATGCAACAGCAACACATATAAAGAGGTTGCTGCTGTTTTCTTCTAAAGTTTAAGTTGTCTAGTCTTAAGTTTGCAGGGCTTTACGAAAGCACAGCTCAGGTTTCAGTGATTTCCAATTAGGAAGAATGGGGGAAAAGGAAAAGAAAAAGGGAAAAATTGAAAACATTATTTTGGAGACCTGTAGCCAAAAAATTAGAATTTAATCCAAACTGTAGAAAACAATAAAAACTGAAAAAATCAGGCAAGACTAGAATTTAACAGGTATACTATAGTTTTGAAACATAATTTTTCTCTCTTCATGGTAGGACTGGTATGCTTTATTATATTTGGCCAGATTATTTGTATAAAGTGCAGCAAGAATAATTATTTTCACATAGGTCTTTTATATTGGCTTTGATGGAACTTTGTTCCATAGAAGGAATCTAAGATGAGACCTTTTTAAAGCCAAGCCCAGCCATGGATTTGTACCATCAAATACCTATGAATTGGGTGAATTCCTCTCCTCTTGAGGTTCCAAGATAACTTGGGGTTCCTGGCCTCTTGGAAAGTGACATTGTTTGCTTACCACAGATCAGAAACCCTGTACAGGGACTGTGTATGCAAAATATGAGGCCAGTTTTCCAAGGGCTTTATTGGCTCCATAAGTCAAGTTTGATTCCTTAAAGGAGAGCATACCATTCCAGTCAAAGCCCTTGGTAAAATAACCAGTTTTTCCAACTGTGTCCTCTTACGAAAGAAAACAGATTCTTGTTGCACTTATGCAAATAACTATATTGCCATAAATTAAGAATACTCGCAAATAGTTTCCAAATTTTGGAATCAGGTAGAGAGAAACAAATATGCTCCAAATTTTGTTCATAGGAGTATACTTTACTTAATTGTTAAAAGCTGTCAATAGCTCAAAAGTCTCCTTGACTCTGAAAAGCAAAACAAAGGATTAGCAACATTTTAAGCAAAAAGTCAAAAAGATCACTTCAGTCTCCTATTAGTTCAGTTCATGCAGTTAATTCCTGTCCTGCTTGATACTAATGAATATTTTAACTCTTCAAGAGTCCTGAACGTTTTTCCTCTATTCTGATGTCACATCTCCAAAGTTATCAGAAACCTGCATTCAAGAGCACCTGTTAGAGCTTTATAGCTGATTATAAAATCACCTTCTACAGAGGACCAAAACAAGACAACAATTGATTATGGATGACAAAAAGTTTTAGGGTAGCCATAGTTAAACACACAATTGACAAGGATATCTGTTACCTCTGTGGCACACAATAATTTAACACAACAATTATAATTATTACTCATAACATACACTAAGATGTATCAGAATTATAGGAGTCTCCCATAACTTTGGAACACATACAAATAACATACTTATACAAATATAGCCCAAAGAAAGCCAAACACCATTTCATATTTGACAATGCTTTCTGTATAATATTTATACCAAATAAACCAAATTTCACCTTTACGTTAGTGTGCTATTAATGTTAAACCCAATTCTTAACAAATCCTTATAGACAGATTTACCCAATTTTAATGTTTGACCATAAGGTAAGATTTTGTATAGACCTTTTATAACCCTTTACAATTTTTGTTAAAGAGCAGGTTAGTGCTTTAAGAGAAACCCACTGTGCTTTTATTTTAATGTTCAATTTACAGAAAAACTGGATGATACCCCTTTAACTTTGGCCAATATGTTTACACACAAAATTTCCTTTATAATCAACCTTCCACAACTTGTTTAAATCTTCCTCTTTATTTTATCCAACTTAAAACAGTCCTTTAACCTTTTAATCTAGGCAAAAATCCACATTCTCATGACTCCTTATAATCTTTTTACTAGAAGTATATTTTGCTTTCCTTACACACCTTGCATGTAAACTGTTTCTTCAATAGTTTTAAATATATGTTACACTGTTAACTTTTAGCAACCTTTACTTTTGGTGAAAACCTTGGTAAGTTTGGGATTTTAATTATGTACTAGGTGTGGAGCCTTGGACCTAGGCAGAAATGCAGATAAGGTCCGACTTATTCCAGTTTCAAACTCCATGTGTCCCAGGCCTTACCTAGCTGTACACCAGGCAAGTTGTACAGCTAAGAGTCTTAGTGGCATTTTTATAAAACATTCAGGAGGCCTAATCACCTTCAAACTGTACATTTCTTTCCTTTCATAAATTCCCTTTCATAAATTCTTTCATGACTACACAGACAAGCTATGACATGCCTTGACTTGACTTTCTGACTTGTCCTAAACATCCCTCTTTTTTTTTTTTTTTTTTTTTGAGATGGAGTCTCGCTCTGTCACCCAGGCTGGAGTGCAGTGGCATGATCTCGGCTCACTGTAACCTCTGCCTCCCAGGTTCAAGCGATTCTTCTGCCTCAGCTTCCTGAGTAGTTGGGACCACAGGTGCGTGCCACCACGCCCAGCTAATTTTGGTATTTTTAGTAGAGATGGGGTTTCACCATATTGGCCAGGCTGGTCTCAAACTCCTGACCTCGTGATCTGCCCTCCTCAGCCTTCCAAAGTGCTGGGATTACAGGCGTGAGCCACTGCGCCCGGCCACATCCCTCTTTTTAAACAACCAGTTATTTTACTTTAGGACAAGAATTTACCACACAAGATCCTTCATTATATAAAATATCTTTTCTTTAATACCTTTTTGCATAGCTAGGGGCATGGCTAATTTCATGTGTCCTGAGGGCTTATCTAGAATTTAACACTCCAAAATAAATTGAACAATTTTTTAAGTCAAAAAAAGTTTATGACCTAAAGCATTTAGCAAACTTAATATTTGACCTGCATAATTTAGACCAAATGTTTACATTTTTGAAGATATTTTTATTTTACCAATAGACTTTAAAACTCTCTTTATTTTTACAACTTACTTTATATCTCTCTTATTTCCTGGTTCCTTTTACCTTGTTTTATATATAAAAAACCTTTAAATAAGCTTTGAATTAGACAAAAATTATTTACCCTTTAAAAAGGACACAATTTTTAGAATGAATGTTTTCCTACAATATATTTTAATTGGAAAATACCTAAATAATGAAATATCTGTTGTTTAATTTAATATAACTTTGGATTCTGCAAATATTTGTCCCATTACATTTATCTAATTATTTATTTTAATCATTTACCTATGTTATTTATGAAAACTGTGATAGTCATCATTAAAAGTTATGAAATCACCAATGCAAAATTATAACTGAGAGAGTGAAAATGATCTGACCTAACTGACTCCATCTTACTTCTTACCTTAAAGCTATTCTTATTCATTAACTAAGGTCATAGTTTAGTTTTGAAACAGAGATGATAACAGTCCTTTCCCAGGATGAACTTTCTTTATGTCTGTGGAATAGACTGCCTAAGGCCACAAGATTAGGGTATTTTACTAAATAATTCAAGATGTAGCTATCTTCATTAAACCAATATTAATGTTTTATTAAAAACATTATATTTATTAAAAACAAGCTATAAATAAAATAATGTTTTATTTATTTAAAAAACATTTTATTTATTAAAAACCAGCAAAGATCATTCTGTTTTGGGCTGAGTTATAGTTTTGTAGCCTCTACGCCAAATTTTGACACCTTATAGTATTTGACAGAGCTAAGTACAAAGTTGCTTGATCAATAAATGCAAACAAAAATGTATGCTGGCAACTCTTAAGACATTTCTAATATTACTTCACCAATAATTTATTTTTTTTTGAGATGGAGTCTCACTCTGTCACCCAGGCTGGAGTGCAAGTGGCAAGATCTTGGCTCACTGCAACCTCCGCCTCCTGGGTTCAAGCAATTCTCCTACTCAGCCTCCCAAGTAGCTGGGATTACAGGTGCCCACCACCATGCCCGGCTAATTTTTAAAATATTTTAGTAGAGACAGGATTTCACCAAGTTGGCCAGGCTGCTCTTGAACTCCTGACTTCAGGTGATCTGCCCGCCTCGGCCTCCTAAAGTGCTGGGATTACAGACGTGAGCCACCGTGCCCAGCCATTACTTCACCAATAATTTTTAAAGCTAGCTTATTCATTAAAGATTTTACTTAAGTCATATAAACTTGAGAAAGCATTTGACTAGTCTTTCCTTTTTCTGTTGAAGTATTTAAGCACTTTTATTTTTCTTTGAGCCAATTAATTAGAACTCTTTTATATATTTTCAGTAGTGAAACATGGTGTACACAAGACATAAATACATAGACATATTAGGCATGCCAATAGAAGTACATTTTATAGATTCATAAGACCTCCTTTTCCCTATCTTTTAACTGGATCTTTGAGCTCTGGGCAGAGCCAACACTGAATCCTGGGTTTGCAAAAAGGGAGAATTATTATGGGGCTAGACCATGTGGTGCTTTTACAGTGCACTTAAAAAAACCTTTTTTTCCAAACAAAGTCATTTCTAAGTGTCTAAATTACACTTTTTCTTAAAAACCCCAGAGTAGCTTCTGTTGTAATAGCTATTAATGAAGAAAACACAATTCAGTCAACTGAAAAGAAAAATAAAAACTTTTGCTCAAAACGACAAGATCCTAGGAGAGAAATAAAAACAAAAACAAAAACAAAAACATGAAGGCCTTTTAAATACAAACATGCACACATACACACATACATAAAGATATCTTGGATGTTAGCTTTTAGTTAAGCTGACTCTCAATCATTGAGCTTCTAAAAAATATTTTTCCTTCCCAGAGGCCTCTCAACAGGAATGGACCCAATACCTCCCATTTTCAAGTTTACGTGATATGAAAGGGAATAAGACAGATACACAAATAAGTGGAGGCAAATTTTGAACAACACAAGGGGGAGTGCATTTAGGCAAAACAGAGTCAAAACCAACTCAAAACATGATCTTAACCAAAATGCAAAGCAGGTGTATGAGCAAGCCCTATGGCTTCCCTTAGCAGTACCAGACAAATGGCTTAACAAGGCCAGATAGGAAAACAATAGGCTCCCAGCATACAACCCAGTTAACTCACCCTTTGAGTGAGTCTGCTCCTGATCTCCTGGCATCTGGAGGGAATGGGGTTTAAGCCGTGAAGGAGATCTGGGTGACATATAACATCATCCATTACAGTTCCAAAGAGGTATCTTGAACAATAGGAAAGCAAACTGTTTTCTCCTACTATGCTCTCAACACACAGGACATTTTCAGTCACCAAAATGTGTGTGGGGTTTTCTCCACATTGACCAATTGTCTGACACCAATTAGGTGTCCTACAATTTAACTCAATTCTGACATTAACTGGAGTTAGTTTGGGTCCTACAGGTTAAGGGCTCAGTCCCACAAGACTTCCCCCAAATTCAGATGCCAATCACAAGCTCCGGGTTGGCACCTGTGCTCCTGACCGAGAAGCTACAGATCAGAGGTTCACACGACTCCTTCCTCAGGTTTGATCATTTGCTAGAGTGGCTCACATAATTCAGGGAAAAATTGACTTATGTTTACCAGTTTACCAGGGAGATATTTACTTGCATTTACTGGTCTATTATAAAGGATATTTCAAAGGATACAGATGAACAGCCAGATGGAAGAGATGCCCAGGGCAGGGCACATGTGAAGGGCACGGAGCTTCCACACCTTCTCTGGTGTGCCGGCCTCCCTGCACCTCCACATATTCAGCAACCTGGAAATCTTCCAAACCTATCCTTGGAGGTTTTATGGTGGCTTCACTACACAGGCATGATTGATAAATCACTGGCCATCAGTGACTGAGTCAACCTTCAGCCCCTATCCTCTCCCCTCCCGAGAGATGAGGGGATGAGGTTGAAATTTCCAAACCTGTAATCACTAGGTTGGTTCCTGTGGCAACCAGCTAGCATCCCAAAGCTTTCCAGGACCCCCTAGTGATCTCATTAGCACACAAAAAGACACCTGTCACTTAGGAGAGTCCAAGCATTTTAGGAGCCTCGAGCCAGGAAATAGGAGGAGAGACCAAATATATCTATTTCTTATTATGGCACATCTCCTCTTGCTTGCTTTGGTCTCCTGGTGCTGGGCTGTCACTGCCACTTTAATATAATTTAGAGCAGAATCTAAGGTCTCCAGGAAGCTCCAGCCTATTCTCACCAGGCCCATTCCCTCCTTCCCTCCTCATTTTCCTTTCTGCCTCCCTAGCTGCTCTCTTCCTCACCTACAACTTTGTCATGTAACTGTTGCCCTTCTGTTAAAAGTCTGCAGTTTAATTTCAGGCCCGAGTTCCTGCCACTTCAAGACTTCACCACCTGAGACAATGAGCAGCAGCAAAGGGAGAAAGCAGCTGCTCAAATTCTCCAGTATGTGTGGATGGAGTGAGGAGGGATGCTGGGATAAAATACTTAGAGAAAAACCCCAGCCCAGGGGCATGGGCCCAAATACTGAGGGGCAAAACCTGAACCAGAAGCACCTATATGATGAGAAAGTGAAGAAAAAAAAGGATGACAGTAAAATGGTACTGGAATTAGGGACATCATAAAAATTGACCTCGGTTTTAGATGTTGAAGAAATGACAAAATGAATAGAAAAATTAGTAGAGTTAATATTTATGTCTAATTATTATGCAGTATATTTCTATATATAATGTGTTAATAAAACTTAAATGTATTAAAACTAAATTTTTCTCAAGTTGTATTTGATTAGAACAGTAAACTCTGACATAACAAATAATAAGCTTTATAAACAGTGGCTTACACAGCATGGAGATGTGCTCACACTCCAAAACATCAGAGGGCATGCTCACTACAATGTATCCTCTTTTGAATAGAAGGAAACTATACCTTTGGATCCCTCTCTTCCCTTGGGGCTCACAGATACAGGACTCATGCTGAGTTCCTAACCTAAACTCTAAGACTTGTTTCTCATAAAAATTTCTCTTTAATAGTCTTCTTGCTATACTGTAGTAATGTTTTATAACATTTTTTCCTATTTTTTTTTCCCGAAAAAAAGAATATTTAGGCCAGGTGTTGTGGCTGATGTCTATAATCCCAGTACTTTGCGATGCCGAGGTAGGAGGATCACTTGAGCCCAGGAGTTTGAGACTGGCCTGGGTAACAGAGCAACATAACATCTCTACTAAAATTAAAAAGAAAAATAAAAGGAAAAAAAAGGCAGGTGTGGTGGCTCGTACCTGTAGTCCCAGCTACTTGGCGGGACTGACGGGGTTGGATCGCCTGAGCCTGGGAGGTTGAGGTTGGAGTGAGCCCCGATCGCGCCACCGCACTCCAGCCTCAGCAACAGAGCAGGACTCTGTCTCAAAAAAAAAAAAAGAATATTTGAAATATTGAATTTTTAATTTTCCTAAAAAATACTTACATCATTGAATTTATGAAAATTTCTATTCCTACCCCATAGATAACTTACTACACTTCAGTTTTCATTAAAGTCCACTACCCAAGAGTCTTCCCAAAGCTTTTGTGTCATCTGAAGTCAAGGTCTATTTGAAGGCTGAGTGATTTTTTTTCTGAGAAGTATTCTTGAAAAGGTCTTATCTATTTGGAAATGCTTTAGGACAATCAAAATGGAGGAACAAAAGTTGGATTTTATATTCTTCCTTTCCCTTTCTAGTCTCCTCATTAAAGAATACCAGGATTTCTCCCACCCCTACCCTTCCACCTCCCACATTATCCTGCCCAAAATTAAATTACTCCTTTCAGAGAAACTAGGAATATCCAATGGAATGAAAAAGATTTTGCCTGCAGAGAGTTTCCATTTGACCCCTATTTAATTTGAGTGTCATTTTCATTTCTTGCTCCAACCCTATTTATACTGTCTAAATCCTCAGACGTTTCTCTGGGGAAATTTACTCAGAATAAACCCACAAATTTTCTAGAAAATAACTTAACAAGATTATATATTTTAAAAACAAGTTTTGATATTCCCTTTGGGCTAAAGCCTCATTTTTCTTAGGGTATCCATGTAGGAATTGAAATTTCTTTGGTTGCAGTAGTCATTTTTAACCTTATCACCACGATTACTGCTATTAAGTATTTAGCCTACATTTTTATGATTCAATCTTGGAAATGGTTTTTACGGTTTCATGATCATTTCCTTAATTGTTTCCATTTTTCAGGCTTTTACTATGACATTAGCTACTGCCCATTCTTTAAACTGCCTGAAAATGAGGACTTGAATTTTATTATCAAGTAGCTAAATGGAAAATCAGTCTCCCAGGATTCTTAGAGGGGCGTAGGAGAGACCTCTGAACGTATTCTATCTCATTACAGAGCTGGCTCAGAAGCCCAAGACCTGAGCAGGTTCTCTACTTTGCTTGCAGCTTATCAGTGTGGTAACTCATCAAGGCCTTAGCAAAATCATCCTGCCTTTTGGCTGTTTGCCTCATTGTTTGTTTAGTGTAGACCGAGTTACAAATCAAGTCTTATCTTCCTTTGTCAATCAGTTCTTCCCCTTTGCCAGGTGTTCTAAGCAGTTTCTTGCCTCTCACTGTCAGTTTCTAGCAGTTCCTGGACTCTCAAGGTCAGCATGGAGCACTACAGTATATCTCTCACAAGGATCAATGACACTTTATGAGAAACACCTAAACTCTCCCACCAAAACTTAAAAAAGGTAGAGCACTATTGTGACTTTTCATGTATCTCAATCCCTTCTGCTTCTCCCATCCCTCCTTCCCGCTCTTCGACCAAAGATAAATTATTAGCTAGGGATAGATGATATTATCTTTGGACAAAGGAGATAATTCCCCATTATCTACCTTTTTTTATTTTTAATTGAGACAAGTCTCACTCTGTTCTTCAGGCCAGAGTACAGTGGCACGATTATAGCTTACTGCAGCCTCGATCTCCTGGGCTCGAGCAATCCTTCTGCCTCAGCCCCTCAAGTAGCTAGGACTACTGGCACGTTTCACCAAGCCCAAGTAGTTTTTGATTTTTAATAGGCACAAGATCTCACTATGTTGCCCATGCTGATCTTGAACTCCTGGACTCAAGCGATCTCCCTGCCTTGGCCTCCCAGTGCTGGGATTACAGGCATGAGCCACAGCACCCGGCCTAACTTTTTACGTACTCTGTGATTGCATTATTGTGTCATCTGAAATGAAAGAAGATTATTTGCTCTTTTAAAATTGTTTTTTTAAACTTGTAATTCTTGCCCAAAATGCTGAAGTTGGTGAAATGGAAATAAGCAGAGAATAATCTCTCTTCTATCAGAGAGAGCAAAGCTACTTCTCAACTCATACAGCAGAATTGGACTTGCTATTAAGACTCATAGTAGGACAGATGTGGTGGCTCACACCTATAATCCCAGTACTCGGGAGGCCAAGGTGGAAGGATTGCTTGAGCCCAGGAATTTGAGACCAGCCTGGACAACATAGTGAGATTTCGTGTCTACTAAAAATAAACAATTAGCTGGGCGTGGTGGTGCATGCCTGTAGTCCCAGCTGCTTGGGGGCTGAGGCAGAAGGATCACTGGAGACCAGCCTGGGCAACATATGGAGACACCTGTCTCCACAAAAAAAAAAAAAAATTAGCCAGATGTGGTGGTGTGAGCCTATAGTCCCAGCTACCTGGGAGGCTGAGGTGGGAGCATCCCTTGAGTCCAGGAGTTTGAGGTTGCAGTGGGTTATGATTGCATCAGTGTGCCCCAGCCTGGGTGACAGAGTAAGACCCTGTCTCAAAAAATAAAAAAATTAAAAAAAAAAGACTCATAGCAACCCATTTGTTACTTGGCTCTGAAATCATGAGATGAAGTTAAAAGATTTTTTTTAAATGTTATGCTTTGCTCTTCCAGTTGTGATTGTTATATACAAATAATGCAAAGCTGAGCAGAGTCAAACCTGGGGTATGTGCATGGTCAGTTCCAAAAATCAGGATACATGATTTTTCATTCTGCTATCTAAGGGACAGGCTCATGGGGCAGCCAGGGGCAGAACTTATTGGCCCCTAGACATTATATAGTACTAAAGGCAAAGTGCCAAAAGTTGAGAGTGGGAGATGAATATAGGCCACTGAGAAAAATGGCAAGCTATGAAGTAACAGAAAGTTGGAGAATGGTCTCCAAAGCCATTCAATGAATCCTGCCATACTGTGTTTTCCTTGGCTCAGACTGTTTTTACCTCGGTGGCCAGCCCTGCATTGGCTCTTGGGTCTCAGCTTCTTAAAGGTACCACTTAGCACCTGGTGGTTCTTATTCTGTAAATCGATGCTGTATCATCATTGTCATCAAATCAGCAATTCTTTTCCAGGATGCAGACCATGTCCTAATTTGCTTAATTTTCCCTGGGGAACTAAGCTCTCAGTTGGATGTGATAATGTCTTCTCTTCTTAGAAGTTTGTCGAGACAGTTTTCTAGAGTTGACACCTTTACTGACTTCCTGCTGTCTATTTTATATAACAGGCATGGCATATGCACTATCAAAATTCATGCACAAACATATTGCATACTACAAGCATAAGGATAGAATGGAAATAAGCTATTATATTTACCTACCCCAATCAGTTGTTTGCTCTCATGTGGTGGGAGATATGGAAGAATGCTCAGGGGAAAGGAAAAGAGAGAGAAAAGTTTCTTCTGCAACATCCAGCCTTTTCCAGGAAAAGCAAAAAACAAAAACAAAACAAAACAAAACAAACAAAAAAACAGAGAATCCGTCTCTAGTGGGCATTGTTTCCATACCTTATTACAAATAATGAAAAGGACATAAAATCCCAAATGAACTTTCAGATCTCATTTGTTTTAACAATTCAGCCCTGACCATGAATGGCATTTAAAGAGAGTTATAGAAGGGAATTTAATGAACTGATTAAGGTCATCTACAGAAACCTCACAACTAGCATCATACACAATAGTGAAAGACTAGATGATTTTCCTTGTCCAGAAAAAGACAAGAAGGCCCACTCTTGTTACTTTTATTCAACACTGTACAAGAAGCTCTAGACAAGGCAATTAGACAAGAAAAAGAAATAAAAAGCATCCATATTGGAGAGTAAAAAATGAAACCATCTTTATTTACAGATGGCATAATATTGTATACAGAAAATCCTAAGGAATCTATTAAAAAACTATTGGAAGTATTAAATTCAGAAAGGTTGCAAGATACAAGATCAAAATGCAAGTATCAATATACTTCTATATGCTAGCAATGAACAATATGAAAATGAAATTTCAAAAATTCATTCATAGTAGCACTAAAAAGGATAAAATAATAAATTTAACAAAATGAGTAAAAGATCTAAAAGATCTACACCAACAAATACAAAATACCATTGAAAGAAATTAAAGAAGATCTACATATAGTCATAAGTTGTTTAATGATGGGATTATATTCTGAGAAATGTGTTGTTAGATGTAGGTGATTTTGTTGTCATGCGAACATCACAGAGTGTACTTATACAAACCTAGATTGTATATAGCCTACTATACACTCTGCAGATATATGGCATAGCCTATTGCTCCTAGGCTACAAACTTGTACAGCATGTTACTGCATTGAATACTGTAGGCAACCATAGCATAATGGTAAACATTTGTGCGTCTCAACATATTAAAACATAGAAAAGGTAGAGTAAAAATATGGTATTATAATCTTATGGGATCACCATTATATATGTGGTCTGTCATTGACCAAAATGCCATTATAGTGGCACATGACTGTAAATGGAAGACATCCTATGTTCATGGGTTGGAAGACTTAATATTGTTAAGATTATAGTACTCCCCAAATTGACCTATATATTCAATGCAATACATATAAAAAATTCCATCTGTCTTTGGGTTTTTTTTTTTGCAGTAATTGGCTCATATGTCCCTATTTCAAAATTTACTACAAAGCTACAATAATCAAGACAGTGCAGTAGTGGCATAAGTATAGACATAAATATCAATGGAATAGAATTGAGAGTCTGGAAAGAAACCTTCACATGATGGTCAATTAATTTTCTACAAGGGAACCTGTCAAGACAATTCAAGGAGAAAGACTATTCTTTTTAATAAATACTTCTGAGGGCTGGGCATGGTGGCTCATGCCTGTAATCCCAGCACTTTGGGAGGCTGAGGCTGGTGACTCACCCGAGGTCAGGGGTTCAAGACCACCCTGGCCAACATGGTGAAACCCCGTCTCTACTAAAAATAAAAATTAGCTGGGCAGGGTGGCATTCACCTGTAGTCCCAGTTACTTGGGAGGCTGAGGCAGGAGAATCACTTGAGCCTGGGAGGTGGATGTTGTAGTGAGCATGCCACTGCACTCCAGCCTGGGGAGTGAGACTCTGTCTCAAAAATAAATAAATAAAGTGCTGAGAAGCTGGGTGTGGTGGCCCATACCTGTAATCTCAGCTACTCAGAAGGCTGATGTTGGGGGATCACTTGAAGCCAGGAATTCAAGACCAGCTGGGCAACATAGCAAGATCCTGTCTCCAAGAAAATAAAAATTTAAAAAATTAACTGGGTGTGGTGGTGTGAGCTTATAGTCTCAGCTACTCAGGAGGCTGAGGTGGGAGGATCTCCTGAGCCCAGGAGGCCGAGGTTGCAGTGAGCTATAGTCATGCCACAGCACTCCAGCCTGGGTGACAGACAAAAACCAAGGCTAGAGTGCAGTCTCTTAAAAAAAAAAAAAATTAAAGGCTAAGACATCTAGATATTTGCATGCAAAAGAAAGAAGTTGGATTCTGACCTTTCATCTTATAGAATAATTAGCTCAAAATAAATCAAAGGCCTAAATGTAAGGGTAAAAATTATAAAACTCTTGGAAGAAAACATTAGAGTAAACCTTTGTGACTTGGGATTGGGCAGTGGTTTCTTAGATATGACACCAAAGCACGACAACAAAAATCGGACATCATCACCATAAAAAACTTTTGTGCTTCAATAAAGGGAAAGACACACCACGGACCCTTATCTAATAAGGAATTTGTATCAGAATATATAAAGAATTCTTAAAAGTCAAAATAAGATCAAAAATTAAAAAACAATTTAAATGGCCAAAGAATTTTATTCAACATAATACTGGAAGTCCTAAGCAGAGCAATTAAGCTAGAAAAAAAATAAAGAATATCCAAATTAAAAATAAAGATGTCAAATTATAATGTTTGCAAACAATATATTAGATTTAGAAAAATCTAAAGATTCCACCAAAAAACTAGAACAGACAAACCAATTCAATAAAGTTTCAGGATATAAAATCAACATACAAAAACCAGTAGCATTTATATATGCCAACAGTGAACAGTCTAAAAAATAAATCAAGAAAGCAATCCTATTTACTATACAAAATACCTATGAATAAATTTAACCAAAGAAGTGAAAGATTTATGCAATGAAAATTATAAAGTACTTATGAAAAAATTGAAGAGGACAAAACAAGGGAAAAATGTTCCATGCTCATGGATTGGAAGAATTAATATCATTAAAATGACCATACCGCCCAAAGCAATCTGCAGATTCAATACAATCTCTATCAAAATACCAATGACATTCATCACAGAAATAGAAAAAAAAACCCTAAAATTCTAATGGGACCACTCAAGACCCCAAATAGCCAAACCATTCCTGAGCAAAAAGAACAAAGCTGGAGGCATCACACTACCTGACTTTGAAATACACTACAAAGCTATAGTAGCCAATAGAAAGGCTACTGGCATAAAAACAGACACACTGACCAATGGCACAGAGTAGAGACTCAGAAATAAATCCATGCATTTACAGCTAACCCATTTTCAACATAGGTGCCAAGAACATATATCAGAGACAAGATGGCCTCTTCAATAAATGGTGGTGGGAAAACTGAATAACCAGATGCAGAAGAATGAAGCTAACCTCTATATCTCATCATATCAAAAATTAAATCAAAGTAGATTAAAGACAAATCTAAGACCTAAAACTATGAAACAACTAGAAGAAAACATTGGGGGAAATGCTTCGGGACACTGGTCTAGGCAAAGATTTTTTGGAAAAGACCTCAAAAGCACAGGCAGCCAAAACAAAAATAGACAAATGGGGTTATATCAAGTTTTAAAAAAACACAAAACCTCTGCAGAGCAAAGGAAACAATCAGCAAAGTGAAGATACAACCTACAGAACGGGAGAAAATATTTGCAAACTATCCATCTCACAAGGAATTAATAAGCAGAATATAGAAAGATTCAACTCTATAGCAAAAAACAATCTGATTAAAGAATGGGCAGAGCCAGGCACATGGCACTCATCTGTAATCCCAGCTACTTAGGAGGCTGAAGCAGGAAGATTGCTTGAGCCAGGGAGTTGGAGACAAGCCTGAGCAACATAGTGAGACCCTATCTCCAAAAAGGAGTTGGGGGGCAAAAGACCCAAATAGATATTTCTCAAAAGAAGACATACAAATGGCCAACAGGTATTAAAAAAATGGTCAACATCAGTAATCATCAGGGAAATGCAAAGCAAAACCACAATGAGATATCATCTCACCCTAATTAAAATGGCTTTTATCAAAAAGACAAAAACAACAGATGGTGGTGAGGATGTGGAGAAAGGGGAATACCCATACATTGTTGATAGGAATGTTAGTATAGTCACTATAAAACAGTATAGAAGTTCCTCAAAAAAATTATAAATAGAGCTGCCATATAATCTAGCAATCCTACTGCTAAAGACTTAAGTCTTTAATCCATTTTATCCAAAAGAAAGAAAATCAGTATATGGAAGACGTATCCACATTTTCATATTTATTACTCTATTCACAATAGCCAAGATATAGAATCAACCTATGTGTCCATCAATGGATAAATGGATAAAGAAAATGTGGTACATATACACGGTGGAATATTATTCAGCCATAAAAAATACAATGCTTTCATTTACAGCAACTTGGATGGATCTGGAGGTCATTATGTTGAGTGAAATAAGCTGAGCACAGAAAGACAAATACCACATGCTGTCATTCATATGTGGGAGCTAAATGTGGATCTCATGGAGGTAGAGAGTGGATTCATGGTTACCAGAGGCTGGGAATAGTAGGGGTGAAGGAGAGACAAAGAAAGGTTGGTTAGTAATCACATGAAAAGATTCTCAACCATATTAGTTATTAGGGTAATGCAAACCAAAACCACAAGAAACCACTTCACATCCATTAAATCATCTATCATCAAAAAGATAGACAATAAAAAGTGTTGACAAGGATGTGGGGAAATCTGAATCCTCATTTATCGTTGGTGAGAATGCAAATGATGCAGTCACTTTGGAAAACAGCTTGGCAGTTCCTCAAAAAGTTAACCATGGAGTTGCCATATGGCCCAGCAATGCCAGTGCTAGGTATACACCCAAGAGCACTGAAAACATGTCTACACAAAAACTTGTACACTCATGTTCACAGAACATGATTAATAGTAGCTAAAATGTGGAAACAACCCAAATGTCCATCAGCTGATGAACAGAGTGTGTTATAGCCATACGATGGAATATTATTTGGCCATAAAAAGGAAAAAAGATAGATGAACCTTGAAAGTATTATACTGAATGAAAGAATCCACATAATGTATGATTCCATTTATATAAACTGTCCAGAAGAGGCAAGTCTGTAGAGACAGAAAGTAGATTAATGGTTTCCAGGGGCCTCAGAAAGGGGGAATGGGGTAATTGCAAATAAGCATAGGGCTTCTTTTTCGGGTAATGAAAATATTCTGGAACTAGTGTCAATGGTTGCACAACTTTGTGAATGTACTAAGAACACTGAATTGCACACGTTGAAAGGATGCATTTTTGATATGTGAATTACATCTCAATAAAGCTGTTATTTTATAAAAGAAAGAAAGGAAAAGTAAAAGCAAGCTATACAGAAAAAGATAGCTAAACAGCTATCTATGATGCTTTAGGCCACCATCGTCCCTGGCTGCTTCAATGCTGTCAGGTATTTACATTGATTAGCTTCTGTTTAGTTGTGCTTTTTTTCTTTCTTTTTAAAATTTGAGGCTTCAATCCAAGCCATCTAGCCAAATAAATTCCCAAACATGTGTTTCTGACACATGGCCAAATAATCTAGATTTAGAGAGGAAATCATGACCAAATTAATTTTAGTCATAAATTAACAGACAGGCAGCTTCTAGAGACCCAAATATGTCTCTTTTTCAAACATGGTGACTGTCTTACTCCATTCAGGCAGCTGTAACAAAAATACTATAGACTGGGTGGCTTAAACTACACTTACTTCTCACAGTTCTGGAGGCTGGGAAGTCCAAGATTAAGATGCAGATTCAGTGTCTGGTAGGGACCAGCTTACCAGTTTATAGACTGTGGTCTTCTGACTATGTCCTTACATTGCAGAAAGGGGTGAAAGAGCTCTCTGGGTCTCTTTTATAAGGGCACTAATCTTATTCATGAGGACTCTGTCGTCATGACATAATCACCTCCCCAAAGCCACACCTCCCAATGCAGCACATTGAGGGTTAGGATTTCAACATATGAATTTTGGGGGGACACAAATATTCAGTCCATAGTAGTGACATAGAAGCATTAAATTAATAGGTTTCCTTTAGTGCAAGGATAACATCCTGAAAATAATAATTAATTTAAAAGTTAAAATGAATAACAAATGGAATGAAACACACACAGACATTTAAATGTACCCTGAGGAATGCCCTTTTATATTACCATATTAAGAGTGTCGAGAGAGAGAGAGAAAGAGAGAGAGAGAGCTTTACCTGTGGGTGTATAGTAATTTTGGGTAGTTAAGCAGCACCCTTCTTTTGAGTTGCTCACAATGCTTTATAGCATTCACTTCAATTGTGACAACACTCCTGTGGGTGGCAGGCATTGTACTAAAAGTGCGGTACAGCTGCAGGTCAGACAACCCAGGGGCACACAGTTTTCACATGAACAGTTTATAGCACAGGTGGGTGCCGAGCCCACAGGGTCGGTCCAGTCATGCCTCATCCACATCTGACCAAGGTGGCATCTTCTTGGACTGATGAGCTCTCGAATGAATAACAGTTTTGAGTTCCCATTATTCTGGGTTTCCCAAGTGTGCGTGCCATATCTGAAACAGATGGTCAGTATTACAGGATGATGACGGTTTTTAATGGTAATAGGAATCACATGATTAACACTTCCTGAAAAGAACTGGATTACATATTGAAAATTGGACCTCAGCTCTTCAAAAAAATATTATTTGATTTCCTGTCTCATTTCCAGAAAATCATAGGAATACTGAAAGTCTGTGAAGAGTATTTTGAAATGGATTAACATCTACACTTGTTTTTTGTCACACTGATCTCTAAGGCCCCATTCAACTATTTACTTATTTGGCAGTTATGGTACTTTCTCTACACACCAAAAGCCTGGGGAGGGACATGCATGCAGGGACAACGTCCATTTTATTTTCCCGTGTTGTCCCAAGCTTAGCACTGTGCCTGGCACATAGAATGTGCTCAACAACAGTTTTTGAATAAATAAATCTTGCAGTATTTTGCTTTATAAGACTTTTCTTTGACTATATGGCACTCCAGTTGGAGTTCTATTTATCATAACAACCCCTTCTAGGAATGCTTTTGTTGCACAGATAATGTGTTTTTATTTTTCCAGATTTCTTTCATTTCTGATTTACTCTGACCATTCACAAAAGGATATTAAGATTTGAAGATTTCCAAACACCTCTGGTGAGGGAATTTCTATAAGTGTTCAAATGTTTCTTGACTACATTTTAAAAGGTTATTTATATCTGCAGTATTTTTGGCACTTAACAAGTAATAACATATTCATATTACATCAACACTTACTTCATTGTTTTTCCTTTAAAAGTTCTTAGGGAAAAAAAAAAAAAACCTTAACATCTTCCCAGATTGTATTTCCCTCATCTCCATTAGTTACCAGTGTTGACTCTATTCTTTTTATTGCCAATATTCCTGCAGAAAACTTAGAGATGACCTATTTGTCCTTGATTTTTGCTTCCAAAGATGTGCCACCAAAGAATAGGAATTTCTTATAGAATGCATATGCTTTAGGGGCATCTGTCTCTAACTTTACAAAAATAAAATAATAAAGTTATGTGTTTTCTTCACACATTTGAAAGCCAGAAATAGATTCAAACGTACATTTTTCTATCCGTGTGCCAAGCTAATAAGCTGAGCGCAACAGACTGCATCGCGCAGGCCACCGCGGCTCCGCCCTCGCACTGCGCTCTTCCTCCTCCCGCGCCTACCGCGTCCCTCCTCCCACTGGGAACTGGCCGGCCAGCAGCCCCCCGCAGTCCCTCCAGCTGCTCCCCTGGCAGCTGCACACTTGCCTCTGGGTCTGTCGTGCCTCTTTGTGTTCCTGGGCATCATTAAAATAATAGAATCGCAGCGTTTAGAGCCGAGTGACTTTGGACTGGCTCCTCTGACACCACTGAATTTCTGCAGATCATTTACTCCATTTTAGACTCTTAACACTTCACCATCTGGAAGGTCTTGGGGAGGGCACTGGGACCAGCGAAATGTCTGCTGCATCATGTGGGGCACTTTTAGTGACCTCCCCTTGAAGCAGACGTCAATGGGAAGTGTTCTAGGTGCCCACAGAGAGGGGTCTGATGGAGGACGCCTGTTACTGCTTCTTCACCCTCAAAGGAAGGAAACCTTTTAGACTTCTGAGGAGGTAGAACTCAACAGTATACATGCTCTTAACTAGCAATATTTATGGTACACGTTCTTCCTTTATAAAATCAGTTCTGCAATGCCTGCTACTCCAGTCTCTGTTATCTCAGGAACTCTTGAGTGAAGACTATCCCCTGACCTAAGCTGGGCCCATCAGAATCTCTCTGGGGAGTTCGGAACTGGAACAGAAATGCTCATCTCTCTCCTGGTTTCTCCAACAGGAAAGATGTGCATGGGGAGCTGGGGATGGGCAGTGTTTGGGGCTGTGTACCTTGAGGTAGTGAAAACAGATCTGCTGATCCTGCAGGCAGTGAAAGAGAGAGAGAAAGAAAAATAAATCTACAGTGAGAAAAATAGACATGAGAAAAAGCCAGCTTCCCGGCTTCCCAGAAGCTTCCTGGCTCTTGGTTCTAGTCCCCCAGGAGATTGTGCTACTTCCTCGCCTGGCCTGAAGTTAGTTTCTCTTCCATGCAACAAAAATCCTCTCCTCAGATGTTGACTCCATAAGGCTTCTGACCACAAAGCACAATCATAATTCTTTCATTGAGTTTAACTATCCAAAATCTCAAGAATCTCAAACTCAATTAAGAACCCAGAATTAGACAGATGACATATCCAAATAGTGAAAGCTATGTTTTTGGTCCAGAATTGTGCAGAGCGTCAGTCCTAGCTGCGCCTGGCCCTGCTCACTAACTCCTCCTCAAAAAACAATTCATCAGATTTATCTTGCAGCTGCTATATGCTCTGCACCAGGTCAAATGCTGAAGTTTTGGAAGCCATCATGACACAGCCCGATTCCCATGAGCTTTCAATTTAGTAGGGAACTTAGACAAGTAAAACACATTACACAAGCGGTCTTTAAAAAGTTCATTGAAATACGTATTATGAAAAAACTATGCATAGATGTCAAAAATTTTTTGCACCAAAATAAACTTGTACTAACTTGTTATAACATGTCTGAAAAGGATCTAGTTCGAGGCACTAAGATATCAGTTTGTAAGGAGTCCCTTATCAGAGCAACGTGAATTCTGCTAAAATTGAAGCAAGAACAAACATTAAATTTTTGGTGAAGCTTGGTTGGAAGAATGATGAAATCATTAACTTTTAATGAAAAGTTTATTGGGACAATGCCCCCCAAAACTAAGCAGTTTATAAATAGAATAATTCATTTTAAGAAGAGGTGAGACAATGTTAAAGCTGAAGCCTAGAGCAGCAGACCATCCACGTCAATTTGTGAGTTAAAACTCATCTTGTTTGAGCCCTAATTGAAAAGGACCAATGATTAACAGCAGAAACAATAGCCAACACCATAGACATCTCAGTTGGTTCCACTTACACAATTCTGACTGAAAAATTAAAGTTGAGCAAATTCTCCACTTGATGCGTGTCAAAACCGTTGTGCCCAGATCAGCTGCAGACAAAAGGAGAGCTTTTGACGGAAATTTTAAAACAAGTGGGATCAACAATTTCAGAGCATTTCTTCAAAGAACTGTAACAGGAAATAAAACATGGCTTCGCCAGTACAATCCTAAAGACAAAACACAATCACAGCAATAGCTACCAAGAGGGGGATGTGCTTCAGTCAAAGCACAAGCAGACCATCAAGAACCAAGGTCGTGGTGAAGGATTTTTTCGGATGCTCAAGGCACTTTGCTTGTTGACTTTCTGGAGGGCCAAAGAACAGTAACATTTGCTTATTATGAGCATGTTTTGAGAAAGCCAAAGCTTTAGCAGAAAAATGCCCAGGAAAGCTTCACCAAAGAGTTCTCCACCACAACAATGCTCCTGCTCATTCATTCCTCTCATCAGACAAGGGCAATTTTTGTTTTTGTTTTTAAGATGGAGTCTCGCTCTGTTGCCCAGAGCAATCTCGTCTCACTGCAACTTCTGCCTCCTGGGTTCAAGCCATTCTCTTGCCTCAGCCTCCCGAGTAGCTGGGATTACAGGCCAGCACCACCACGCCCAGCTAATTTTTGTATTTTTAGTAGAGACGGGGTTTCACCATGTTGGCCAGGCTAGCCTCAAACTCCTGACCTTGTGATCTGCCCACCTCAGCCTCCCAAAGTGCTGGGATTACACCCTGCCCTGCCAGACAAGGGCAATACTTTGAGTTTTGATGTGAAATGATTAGGCATCCACCTTACAGTCCTGATACGGCTCCTTCTGACTTTTTGTTTCCTAAAAAAATCCTTAAATCTTTTTTTTTCAGTTAATAATGTGAAAAAGACTACATTGACCTGGTTAATTTCATAGAACCCTCAGTTCTTTAGGGATGGACTAAATGGCTATTATCACTTATAAAAATGTCTTGAACCTGTTGGAGTTTATGTTGAGAAATGAAGTTTATATACTTTATTTTTATCTTTTAATTCCGTTTTTTCATGAACCTTTTGAACTAGTAACAGAATTTTCTAATTTAACTTCACTCAGTTTAAATCTCAGTGTTGTTCGAGAAATCATAATATTGGCCAGGTACAGTGGCTCATGTCTGTAGTCGTAGTGCTTTGGGAGGCTGAGGCAGGAGGATTGCTTGAGGCCAGGAGTTTGGGACCAGCCTGGCCAACATAGTGAGACCCTGTTTCTAATTAAAAAAAAAAAAAGATCTGAGTCACACAGCAGAAAAACAAATATAAAAAATGATAATACTACTTTGCAGATTTTATCTGTTTAATATTTCAACAGGCCAAGCGTATCAGCTACAAAAATCTCAAGAATTGTAAAGATATGACCAACTTAAATTATTTGAAGATGTTGTATGAGACTTGCAGAGTTCTAGATGGGGAAGAAACTGTTTCCAAGATGCTTACATATCCAACCAAAGGAAATAGATTAGAAAACAGCAGGATGATCACACAACATAGCTTCACTTTGCTGGTTGTGTGGAATGGGCCTTACAGGACACCATCAACTTTGCTACAATCGTGTTGCATTTTTATTTAGGCTCTCAGTGTTGACAGTACAGCAAAGCCCTTTTGGTCAAGGAAACAAACCTTAGACATTGTCAGAGACCAGTTACAAGATCAAGTGGTTTTATAAGATCAATGTAAAAAAAACTTTATATTAATATTTTACTACTTTTATTTTGAATATGTACCAAAGAGCATATGTTATATTTTAAAGCTAATTTGGTAATTTAGAATAAGACTTATAAAAGCAACTTCTTTCAGATTATATATTAACACATGTTGATTGCAGAATATTTGGATAATATAGATCAATACTGTATAACCTAATCCACAAAACCACTTTATTGTTATAGTCATGACTTTTATTTTTGTAATTAATTTCTCAAATCCTCACTTACCCTATCAGGAGACAGTCCAATATAGACTTTCCCCAAATTGTCCAAAGATACCATGGGCTGGGCATGGTGGCTCATGCCTGTAATCCCAACACTTTGGGAAGCCCAGGCAGGCAGGTTGCTTGAGTCCAGGAGTTCGAGACCAGCCTGGGCAACATGACAAAACCCCATCTCTACTAAAAATACAAAAATTAGCTGGGCATGGTGGCACGCATCTGTAGTTCCAGCTACTCGGGAGGCTGAGGTGGGAGAATCACCTGAGCTCAGGAGGTAGAGCCTGCAGTGAACTGAGATAACGCCACTGCACTCTTGCCTGGGCAACTGGAGTAAGACTCTGTCTCAAAAAAAGAAAAAAGAAAAGAAAAGAAAAGAAAAAGACACTATGGTCTTACTGGATCCAAAGAGTGACAAGGGTGAGTTGTGTTTCCATTGCTAGGTCTAGAGGGAAGTGGGAAGCTTGACCATTTCACTAGTGCTCTCCTTCCTTGCAGCCTCACAGGGCTCTGTGGAAGTATGGTCCTGCATGGTCCATGCTGTGGCAAATGCCCTTGCTGCATCTGGCCCTGCCTAGCCATGTAGGGCCCCAACCTGGGGTCCTACAATTATAGGTCTCTTGGAGTCCCTCTCAGTCAATGATAGTCACCATTTCCTGTATTCTCAGCATAGGACCAAAGTAGCTGGATCCCAAGAAGCTTCTAACTTAGCCACATGCTGTGCTTCCTCCAAGAATGCCTAAGCCCTTAAATTTATCCCAGGATGTCAACTTAGGTTTGCTGATTCCTAATGATAATTTTATTTCAGGTCCTCATTACTGTTCTCTGATAATGGGCCTTGGCCAGGTTACCCTGATCAATCTTGAAAAGAGCAGGGTAGAATATGTGTCCTTGCCTTTCCAGATGGTCAGGGCTCCATCCTCATATTATCCAACCACTTCATCAGGGACCAACTTTGTTTACCCTGGGTTTCAGAGAATGGCATAATACCAGAAGGATGGGTAAACTCTATTCCCAACATTTCCATAACTAAGGGGGGCAACTGGAATGACTTGGCAGGCGACAAATGAAATCCTGTTATGTCAATTAAAAAAAAATCCATGACCAAGCAGTAATATGTGGTCATTATAGAATATACAGAATATTACAAAGAAAATAAAAATCCTTCATAATCCCATCCACAGATAACCTGTTAATGCTGTAGAGGACTCTTGTCCTAACTTGCCTTCCCACCCACCGTTGCAGTACTCTTCCATACCCATCCAACAATTTAGACACGTTGCTGCTCTGAACACTCCATTCTTTACTTCTTTGTGCATTGTATTTCCTTGTCCTGCAATGCCTTCCTATTTTTCCCTGTTGAAATCTACTTCTTTTAAGGTCCAGATCGAATGTCACTTTCCTCTTAAGTGCATTCTGATTGCACCCTCTGAATGAAGCTCCACCTACTCGGACCACCCACAATTTGTACTTTACTTGAGGCACATATATCATGCCTTTGAACTGTACTAATTGTTGCAGTAGTGTCAACTCCACGACTAAACTGAAAGTTTGAGAGTAATTCCTACTTGAGAGTAAGAATTTTGTTGCATTCAACTTTTCCTTTTTTTTTTTTTTTTTTGGAGACAGGGTTTCGCTCTTGTTGCCC
The DNA here is from genome assembly GCF_000001405.40 of Homo sapiens. Taxonomy (NCBI): domain Eukaryota; kingdom Metazoa; phylum Chordata; class Mammalia; order Primates; family Hominidae; genus Homo; species Homo sapiens. The sequence continues at coordinate 190,633,357 of NC_000002.12, forward strand.
AGGTTGGAGTGCAATGGCGCGATCTTGGCTCACTGCAGCCTCTGCGTCTCGGGTTCAAGTGATTCTCTCGCCTCAGCCTCCTGAGTAGCTGGGATTACAGGCACCCACCACCATGCCCAGCTAATTTTTGTATTTTTAGTAGAGACGGGGTTTCACCATGTTGGCCAGGCTGGTCTCAAACTCCTGACCTCAGGTGATCCACCTGCCTCAGCCACCCAAAGTGCTGGGATTACAGGCATGAGCCACTGCGCCCAGCCCATATTCAACTTTTCATCTCCCATGTCAACTGGTACAATGCCTTCCTTGCAAATAGTATGTACTCAGCAAATGTTTGTTAAAAAACACATGTGTGTACCTAGCAATAGAGAGATAACATATCAATTAACTTGGCCTAGTCAAATTCTTTAACTTTATTAAAATAAAAAATGATAAGGCCAGGTACTGTGGTTCACACCTGTAATCCCAGTGACTCAGGAGACTGATAAAGGAGGATCACCTGAGGCCTGGAATACAAGACCACCCTAAACAACAAAGCAAGACCCTGTCTCCACAACAAATTAAAAAATTAGCCAGGCATGGTGGTCACATGCCTATAGTTGTAGCTATTCGGGAGGCTGAGGCAGGAAAATCGCTTGAACCCAGGAGTTTGAGGTTACAGTGAGCTATGATTGTGCCACTTCACTCCAGCCTGGGCAACAAAGCAAGATTCTGTGTCTTAAAAAAAAGAAAAGTATCAAATGTCTGTTGTAAGACTCCAGGTATTTACTATTTCAAACTTTTCTTAAATTTATTTTTAAAAAGTTCAGATGCATAAAATTATAAATAATAATATAATAAACACCCACATACCCAGCATCCATATTAAGAAACAAAACATTACCAATATAACTGAAGTCCTGTAAATTCCATCCTTAATGCACCCCTTTATGCCTCTACCATAGTTAGGCAAATCCTGAACTTGGGGATTAATCTTTCTAAGCATTTATTTTTATTTTAACCATATTACATATGTATTTATAATGTGTGTTTGTTTAATTATTTAAGAATATTCAATTCTGCTATACAAAATAAGAGAAACAAACACATAGGGAGAAAAAAATGAAACTAAGAATTGAAGCAAGTAGCTTATGAAACAAGCAAAATTCCTACAAAATGTAGTAGTGCATTTGCGTAATGAACATAATTAGAAAGAGATGGAAAGAACAAGAAACACCTAATAGTCATGATACATGTGAGGCCCTGAATCATCCAACTTTCATGACGCACTGAAGATACTTAAGGCATATCAGGCATTCCCTATTCAAAAGGTTTTAATCTGGCCAACCGTTGGCTCCTCATATCCTCTGCAAAAGAAATATAAATAAAATCCATAGCTGTTCATGAGGTTAACTGATGAGCTACTGCTGTCAGCTAGACCCACTCTGCTCCCAAGACTTTAGAGCAACTGTGTGTTTTGACCCTAAACACCCGTCTGTTGGGCTGCTTTGGTTAAATCTCAACTCTGATCTTTGCAAGCAAACACTTGGTTAGGAAGGCTGATGTGGCAGGGAGAGACAGGACTGAGGATTCAGGTGTTGTCATCTTTCCACCCTGCCTCCTGTGACACATCTTAAATGTGTTAACCCCCTCCATGTCTTTCACCTAGCTTCTTATGGTGTGTTTTAAATTGATTTAATAAGCCACGTGATTTGAGGATTTTGTTTTGGTCCATAAGCCTTTCTTGTTCTGTGATCCCTTGAATAGCTTGCCTGTTAGTGTACTTACAGGCTACCATTGCAGCAACAATGGTTGTTGTTTCCCACACAACAATAGCATTTGCAAGTTTTTAACCTAGATAGAAATATATTCTACACATTCATCTGCAATCTTTTTTTTAAGAGACAAGAGTCTTGCTCTGTCACCCAGAATGGAGTGCATTGGTGCAGTCATAGCTCACTGCAGCCTACAACTCTTGGGCTCAAGGAATCCTCCCACCTCAGCCTCCTGAGTAGCTAGGACCATGGGCATGTGCCACCAAGGCTTGGCTAATTTTATTTTTTGTAGAGCAGGGCCTTGCTGTGTTGCCCAGGCTGGTCTCAAACTCTTGGCCTCAAGAAGTCTTCCTGCCTTGGCCTCCCAAAGTGCTCCCAATTTACAGGCATGAGCCACTGCGTCTGGTCTTGCAACTTGATTTTTGGTCAACTTGATCAACATCTTGTTTGTGAGATTCTTCCATGGGAGATATGCATATCTATTTCATTCATTTTCAGAGCTATATTCATTGAATATTTCACAATTTACCCATAAATTCTTCTGTTGATCTAATATACATCATTTCCAATTTTTTCTATGCTGCTGTGAATATTCTTGTATGTATCTCCTTGGGCACAGGTAAGAGAGCTTCTCAGAGACTACACCTAGGAGTGCAATTTCTGGGTCACAGAGTATGCACACCTTTAACTTAACTAAATACCACCAAATTGCTCTCCAAAGTGTTTGTACCAATTTATACTCTTAACAGAAGTAAGTTCCTATGTTGTTTGTTTTTTGAGACAGGCTCTCACTCTGCGGCCCAGGCTGGAGTGCAGGGGCATGATTATAGCTCACGGCAGCCTTGGACTCCAGGCTTAAGCAATCCTCCTACTTCAGCCTCCCCACTAGGTGGAACCACAGGCGTGTGCCATCATGCCTGGTTAAGTTTTTATTTTTTGTAGAGACGGGATCTCATTATATTGCTCAGGCTAGTTGCTAACTCCTGGACTCAGGTGATCCTCCTGCCTTGGCCTCCCAAAATATTGGAATTAAAGGCAGTTTCTATGTTCTTAATCCTAGCCAACACTTTGTGCTGTCAGACTTTTAAAATTTTTACTGATCTGATGAATGGATGAGCTCTGCTCACAAAGAATCATCTTATGGCATTTCCTTAGTACTTTAATTATGAGGAAAAAAAATCTGTGCAAATTTTGTGTCAGATTTTTGGATTTTCTCATTCTCTGCTTAAGGCCAAGTAAGGTTTCCTCTTTCTATTTCCATCACTGTCAGCAGCAAAGGAAAAACTTTGCAACAAAACTTGTTATATTTTTTTCAGAAGGATTAAAGTTTGGAAGAATACCATATTGGAGGCTTTAAGTCTCAAAAATATCCCTCTGATTATACAGGGGCATAAGAAAATGAATTTAACTGCATCCATGCAAATCAATCATCACTAAGCGTATGTCGTAATGACGGTAGGTCAGTAGTGGAACAACTATGACTCACAGGCTGAGAATGCCCTCATTTAAGAAATTCTACAAAGTTGCTCCCTACCCCAGAATATCTACCCCAGGGGCTTGTTCCATGTCTCAAATTCAGCTACTAAAGTGCTGAAGTCCAAAATTTTCATATTTAAGAAAACTCCAAAAGAAAACACATCTCAAAAATCATATTTAGTACTTATAAGTCATTAGCACCTTATTTGTCACATCTCTTAAAAACACAAAAGGAATGGGACACAGAACCTGCAAGTGCTAATAAGGCATAAGGTGGAGGCCACCCTCAACTTCTTCCTCCCCCTTTATCCAGAACATTCAGACAGACAAATCTCTGTTCTTAGCATCTTGCTTAAATCTTTTCGATGGCTCCCCAAAAGGGCTAGCAGTGTTCTCCAAGTGTGGTCTAGGGGTCCCTTCTGGCTTCAGATCCTTCACTAAGGTAATCATTTAAAAAGTACAGATTTCCCAAGTGCCAGCCCAGGCCTACTTAATCAGTATGTCTGACAGGGAGATCCTGGAATCTGTTTTCAATAAATAATCCAGCTTGATTTTCTTAAAAATACTTTTTCACAATTGAGAAGTATAGTGTACAGTAAGTACAGAAAGCATAAATGTGCAGTTCAATGATTACAAAGTGAACATCCACATAACCATGGTCCAGAACAAGAAAGAGGGCCTTGCTTGCCAGCACTTCAGAAGCCCCCTTGTTCCCCTTTCAATCATTTCTCTCTTCTCTTAGTTGTATCTACTATTCTCATGTCTGACACTCACAGCTTGATTCTTGCACTCACTGGTGCTGAGAACTACAGCTACAAGATAAAGTCCACACTGCTTAGCGTGTCAGAGGTGGCTCCTGCACAATTTGGTCTCTACAATTTCATCTTCTGCCTCTGCCCTCTTCACATGTAATTCTCAAGTCATTTGGAATCAGTTATGCTTCATTTCACAATAATTTCCCTAAGTTACTGCTCATGTTTATGCTGCCTCACTGCCTCTGTGCTTCTGTACTTGCTGGGGAGTGCCTGCACTTCCTGAGTCTATTAATTTCATCCTTCCAGACCTGTCCAATTGTTGCTTGCTTACAAGGCCTACTGACTTTCACCCCTCTGCCCTACCCAAACCAGAACCATCACTCTTTCTTTGTGTGACTAAGAACATCTTATAATGTGTGCAAGTGCTTGTTTACATGTGTATTCCGCTTTCTAGACCAGGAAATAGGGCAGAGATTTAATTTTCTTGTGCTTATAGGCTTAGTGTGTATCCCTCAGTCAGTGCTTAATTGTTGAACAAGCAAATAGTCTCCAGGTATAAACATCTTAGGAAAAGTAGCACACTGCAACCTTAATACCTCTGGGTATATTTGGATCAGATCACGTTCTTCCTTGTCAGGAAACAAATGCAGACATCAGTAACACACTGGGTGCCCGAGAGGGAGGTGAAAGTAAGTGAAGAAAGAGGGATGAAACACTGCAGGAGCGGGAGCAGGGGAGCTAGTGATGTTGTCTGAAGGGCTGCCAGAGCCTACAGAGCAAGGAGTAATCAGAGTGCTCCCGGCAGCACTGAGCCTTCCCTTCTTTCTCAGAGAGGACTCCCAGTTGTCAGACCACTGTGCTACATGGGGAGCCTGGACTGTTCCAAATTCCTTACATCTTTTCCTGCCTCTGATTGTCCTCACATTGTCCATCTTCTTCTCTGAGTATCCATTCTGCTTGCAAAATGCCACCTTTTAAGTAAGTAACCTGCCTATTTTTGACCCTAGCATCAAAACTCCTATCCATCCACAGTATGTGAGTGGGAGTGGAAGGCGACAATAAGCCACACAGAGGGGCCTTGTGTAACTGCTTGGTGCTCAGAGGATCTGGACAGAAGCATCTGGGCAGCCTGCCACAGGAAACTTCACAGCAATGTCAATAGTCCTGACGAAAACGAACCTTGACTGCTGGGCAAACTGAGAGGGTGGAAGGACAGAAATGAGCATCACTTGAAATCTACTGATGCCGGAAAAGATATTGTAAAGCAAAATTTAAAATCAAAAAGTAGTTAATAAATTTTGGCCCCTTCTACTGTATGGGTCTGAAAGACAGCCATCACTGGTGGTTTGATACCTGGGGAAGGGGTGAGGGCAGCTTTGAGTGGAGATGATCAAGGCAGGTCTGGAGCCCACACTTGGGAGATGCTTGCATCTGCAAAATGAAGAAAGAACTGCAGTCTCAGAGAAAGTGGGCTCTGCTCTCCTCCCCTAAGGAACCAGAGCAGCAGATGGGTCTCAAGCAGCACTGGACCAGTTTGGCACCTGGTGGGCCAGTTTTCTGCAGCTAAACAAGGACCGGAACAAACAAACAGGGCATCAGATGTGGCCCAGATGCCAGTTCTGTCACTGGGTGTGAAAGCCCAGTGAACGTCACATTTTGAACTGCAAAAGCTCTGGGACTGCATAGGTCCCTGGAACAGGAGGATCCTTAAGAAGATATAAAGAGATACATGCTTGAATGATTAATAAGGAAAAGAGACTATTTGTGACATCAGATTAAAGCAGTTCAAGCCAGCTCTATATCTATAAATATATATAAAATCAATATTAACACATTCAATTTTTTTTGTAGCTAGTTGGGTGATAAGGCAACTCAGGATGGCATCTGAATCAGCATGGTCAAAGAATTTGGTGTGGTGGGGTATCTATGCCTTGAGGGTCTACCATGTGTCAGATGGTAGACCCTCAAGACATGTAGTTATACAGGCCAGATGACATTAAAGTGCTTGACACATACTTTTTAGCTCCCAGATTTTGTTGACCTCCTGGTTTTTGTTGCCCTCTGCAAACAAGTGGATAAAAACAATTTTGGGACAGATGACATTAAGTGCTTGACACATACTTTTTAGCTCGCAGTTTTTGTTGACCTCCTGGTTTTTGTTGCCCTCTGCAAACAAGTGCATAAATACATACAATTTGGTTTTCATTTTTATTTGTAAACTGCTTTTGAAGCAGGATCTTTGTTAAGTAACATTTATTTTTTTCCTGATTTTCAAAGTAATGCATGTTTATTGTTGAGTTTTTTTTTTTTGTTTTTTGTTTTTGTTTTTTGACGGAGTCTCACTCTGTCACCTAGGCTGGAGTGCAGTGGCACGATCTCAGCTTACTGCAACCTCAGCCTCCCGGGTTCAAGTGATTCTCCTGCTTCAGCCTCCTGAGGAGCTGGGACTACAGGTGCATGCCACCATGCCCAGCTAATTTTTTGTATTTTTAGTAGAGACGTGGCTTCACCATGTTAGCCAGAATGGTCTCGATCTCCTGACCTCATGATCTGCCCACCTCGGCCTCCCAAAGTGCTAGGATTACAGTCGTGAGCCACTGTGCCTGGCCAAAATTTTTGAAAATTGAAAAAAAGCATAAAGAAGAAAATAAAAACTATCTATAATACCATCACCCAGAGATAATTACTGCTAACATTTAGTAAATTTCCTTCCATGTTTATTTAGGTAGAGAGATTACAGGTTGTTTTGCTCTGTTCTATTTTTACCCATAACATTATGAGCATTTCTCAATATTATTAAATATTAATTGAATATATTCCATCATATAGATATCTTATTTAACTAATACATTATTTTTTATTTTTTTCCATTTCACAAATAATGTTGTAATAAAAATGTATAAACTTAGCATAATATCTTAGAAGTGAATTTGTTGGCTGAAATCATATGGACATGTTGCAACTCTTGGTTCGACTTGCCAAACTACTGTTCTAAAGGTTGTTTATTTTTTTTACCAGCAATGATGAGCCCCTAACCTCTGCAACACTGTGATTATTTGGAACAGTTTATTTAAGGAATATAATTTATAGTTGGAAAAAACCCTTATTCTGCCACTATGAGAAACTTATAGTAAGGAATGAAAATACAATAATAGATAGAAAACTTTAAAGTTTTTGACTACCACATATTATTGCCAGTCCTGGGTAAGCTGAGTCATGATGTATAAGTCCAGGTACACGACAATATAATTCAAACTGTAAAGATGTAACTTTGCAGTTATATGCAAACGGAACTATGTTTATCTGTATTTCAGTAGTTTAAAAGTCTCTCATTGTAGGATATATGCATTGTCCTTTCAAAGTATCCGCTCCTAGAAGGCAGTGTTGAGTAATTTGTTGTGGTAATTTGTTGTGACAATTCGCCAACTCATCAATATTAACACATTCAATTTTTTTTTTTTTTTTTTTTTTTTTTTTTTTTTTTTTTTTTTTTTAGCTAGATGGGTGATATGGCAACTCAGGATTCTACCTGAATCAGCATAGTAAAGTATTTGGTGTGCTGGGGTAGTTTTTGAACCCATTCTGCTTTTCTTTCCTTTTCCTGACACTTACCTCTTGCAATCCAAGCGAAGAGAGAAGACTGGCTGCTGTTTCTCTGCCCCTTTTCCCTGCAGATCTGTCCCAACTACTCCATCCCAACACTCCCATCTGTCCCACGTCAAGAGGCTGGTTTAGAGGAGTTTATGTGAGGATGATCTCTTCTTTGCCCCCTCTGCCTTTTCTTTCCATTTTTTTTAGGGGAGCCCTGTACTTGGTACTTTTTCTTTGGCTTTTCACTTCTCCCAAAATAGTTATATCTACTTTAGTTACTTGTCATAAGTACAGACACATCTTCTGTAATCTCCATCCTCTTTCCCCACTTCCTTCCAATTCTTGCCCATTTGCTTCAAGAAGGGCTCTCTTCCTTAACATGCTCTCTTCCTATTTCCTTGCTCCTTTCATGAAAAAGCCAACATCTTGGCTGACAAGTCACACACCTTTGTCAAGGAAACAAACAAAATCCTCCATCCACCCTCATGATGGAGGGTACTCCAGCTGCTGGGTCCTTTGGCTGCAGTGTAGACCTAGAGGAAGAGAGAAGCCCAGAGACTGAGCTGGGAGAGTGGGCACAGACTTGACATTCATCTCAGCAAACAGGGTGGAGAAGGGTAAAGCCAAAGCTGGGACTGTGAGGAACAGGGTGGCCAAGAATGCAGTGTGCAGTGGAAGACGGTTTGAATACATTCCAGAGATGGGGAGCAGAGCACTTTAACCTACTCTCCACCCTGGCTTGTGTTGTTAACAGACAATTATTAATGGCCAGGAATGAGTGGACCGTAGCCAGTGTGGCTGACACCTAAAACAGTGTTACAGATCAGTTAACTATACAAGTCCTGCACAGTGGATGCTGGGAGAAAAGGGAAGGAGTGGGAAGAGAAGATAGAGTTGCGGAGTTTTAACCACTGTTGCCAAAGATAGGGGATAGAAGAGAAAGAAAAACAAGGCTCTAATCCTTAAAAAATTTCCCGAAATTCTCTTAAGAAAGTCTTTTCAAAAGTTTCCATTTACATTTCTTCTGTCTTAAACACAAATTTTAACCACAATTACTATTCAGTCAATTAAATGTTTGGTTGTACTTACTGCCTAATATACTTTTCTGCTCTTTCTATAAGCAATGTGTAGTATAAATTTGCTTATCTGTAGAAGTCAATTGGATTAGATGATTTCTAGGATCCCACCTAATCCCCCCAAAGTCTGTAACACTTGTATTTTCACTTGTATTTTATAAGCACTGGTAGCTCATCCTGGGAACCTAACCATCTCGGGTTTTTTTTTTGTTGTTGTTGTTGTTTTATTCTTACAACAGAGATTGCATTATAAGTTCAAAATAACCAACTTATAAAGAAATAAGCAATTGGAAACTAAACTAGTTGTATGATGAATTTCTGCAAGGTATTTGAATATATTTTGAATATACAAAAGAGGATGAACTAGGTAAACTTTATAATCCTTTATACCTTAAAATTCTATAGTATCTTGTAATAAAATACAATGGATAAAGGTTTGCTTATTTTTCAGAAGAGCAGCTACTTTTAAAGTCGTGGCTCTTGAAATTATGAGTTATTATATATTCCTATTAACTTGTCTTTAAGAAACTTGTTTATAATCTCTATATATTTAAAAATACTCAAATTTCCATGCATTTAAAAGTTTATTTAGTCTACAATACACTTCCAAAGCTTTGAATTTCATATCGCAAAATAAGGGAAATTTTAATTATATTTCTGGTAATATGAATATTCTACATGACTCAGTTAATTGTAGGGCTACCACCACACAGAGTGGAAAATTTGTTAAGTATAGAATTGTTCTGAGGCAATAATAGACGAGAATTATATTATACCTTAGATCTTGTAGGTCATAAGCCATAATGTTATTCTTCCTCTCCTCTAAGAACATTTTAAATCTATTCTTTTGTTTGGAATTACTGAAGCATTTTAAAGTAAGAAATCTTTCCGAAAATAATAAATTAATGCTCTTTTAGTGAAATTTTCATTCAAATGTCAAAATCACTACCAACTTCTTACATTTTTTTTTTTTCACTGAAAACTTTTTTTTAGTTTCACAAAGTGGAAATGGTTAAGGTTTTTTTTTTTTTTTTTTTTTTGGGTCAAAAGAATCCCTTATTTTTGCAAATGCTAAAATAATGCACTAATCATTGAGCAGTTTTAATAACAATTTCTTAAAACCCCTTTTAAACATATATTCACTGAATTCAAGAGAAGTATAACACATAGTTGCTCCTTCCAAGGGGGCTTACTGTATACTTAGGATGAACATAATTAAGTAACTAAAGATGCATAAATAACTATAAGCCTTCCATGTGGTACCAAAGAGAAGTGGAATGGGAGTTAGGGAAAGCAGAAGCTACTGAGGGAAGTGGAGCTCACAGTGATCTTCAAGGAAGTTAAACTGGAGTTTTAAAGATGGGAGAAACACTTGTGTCAGTGTTTCTGAAACCTCCAGCACTGACTTGGCTGCTTAGAGCTATCTGTTTAATGGTCCAGACATGGGCTGTGGGACAGAGATCTTGGCCTCAAAGCCTGGCTCTCCCATGTTACCTAAACAGGTAATTTTAGTACCCCATATTTCAGTTTCCTCAGTTCTACCAGAGAATGAAGTGAATAATAGTGCATACTTTATAGCGCTGTTGCGAGGATCAGATGAATTAATACTGATAAAGTGCTACCAGCACTTATTAGGTACTCGATACATGTTAGTTATTATTTTCTTGCACCACTAAAATAGCATTTATCCTTGGGAGGTGAGCTTCAGCCCAGGAGTTCGAGACCAGTCTGGCCAACATGGTGAAATCCTGTTTCTATAAAAAATAGAAAAATTAGCCGGGCATGGTGGCACGCCTATAGTTTCAGCTGCTTAGTAGACTGAGGTGGGAAGATGACTGGAGCCTGGGAGGTTGAGGCTGCAGTGAAAGCCATGATTGTGCCACTGTACTCCAGCCTGGGTGACAGAGTGAGACCCTGTCTCAAAAACAAAAACAACAAAAAAGAGAGTTTACTTAATAGTCCTCATTTTAAAATTAAGGGTCTTTGCTCAAGGAAATGTATTTAAAAGGTATTTTGAGATCGTTATTCTAAATGCATAATGAATCTCATTTGCCTCAATGGAAGATAACCATAAAAACAAATACAAGGAAAACAGTGCTATTAAATTCTAGCTATATACTGAGGCCTGCCAAGGCTCTGAGCTGAAGCCTGTTTCCTCATTGTAAAAAAAAAACAAAAAACAGAATTCAGCAAGTATTAGAAGGATTACAGACATACTGGCACCAATTTAAATTTCCTCCTTCGAAGGACTGAAAGAATTGAAAAGGGAATAGCTTGTTCAGTATGTGGTTTACTGCTATTTAATGCCAACGTGCATCTTCCATCTCGAATCATCTCAGCATGCTTCTGTACTTTGACAGAGCCATCAGAAGACAATGTGAAGGAGCAGTGTTCATTTACCATTGACTGGTCTTGTGTTCAAAGGTGTGTCATATATACTGACTGTATATTGTCAGTGGCATACATTATATTCTATTTTCCATGAATTACAACTTCCATTCAGAAGCACAAAAAAAATTATTCTCTTTCTCTAATTTTTAAACCTGAGAGCAGCCATAAAAAAGAACAGGTTCATGTCTTTCGTGGGAACGTGGATGGAGCTGGAGGCTGTTGTTATCCTTAGCAAACTAACACAGGAACAGAAAATCAAATACCTCATGCTCTCACTTACAAGTGGGAGCTAAATGATAAGAACTCATGGACACGAAGAAGGAAACAACAGACAGCGCGGTCTACTTGAGGGTGAGGGGTGGGAGGACGGAGAGAGGCAGAAAAGACAACTATTGGGTAGTGGGCTTAATACCTGGGTTATGAATTAATCTGTACAATGAACCCCAGTGACACAAGTTTACCTATGTAACAAACCACATGTGCCCCAGAACCTAAAATAAAAGTTAAAAAAAACACACACACACAACTTGAGAGAGGAAATCTGGTTTTCTGAGAGGGGAAATAAACCTGGTGATTTGGCTGTATACTGTGACACACTCTACAACACGGATTAAAATTATGAACACGCCTGTAAAATAAGCTTCTCCCAAATCTACTCCTAACAGGTAAAAACAAAAACTAAGTCAAGAAGGCTTTCAAATTTTTTAAAAAGTGTTTTCAAAATTTAAAACCATACAAGTGATATTTATTTAAGACATCAGAAGTAGCTCTGTCTTGCCCTTACTTTTATATATAAGGAATAAGCCTGGGATGATATTTGCAAGAGATAGAGTTAAGAATAAACACATGAATAATAAATAAAAAAACAGAATTTGATATATTTCTCATACCACTTTCCAAATGGTGTTAAAAATTCAGAATCTGGTGTATTTATTAACCCTTTGTAATTTATTTAAAAATAAATTTTGTGCCTAAAAATCTAATATGAATTACTTTAGGAACATTCTAAAATTACTTCACAATTTACACACTGCTTCAAAACATATTCTAACTCTTAATATTTTATTGAAAATGTTATATATTTAATCAGAAGTAGGCATCACATATTTTAGACACTTCTATTAGGAAATACAATTCATACTAATAACATCTACAAAATACAAAATTCTGCTAGTTCATATTTTCCATTTCATTTATTCAGCAAATATTTATTAAGTGACTAGTATGCGTCAGCCAATGTTCTAGCCACTGAATATACAGCAGTGAATAAAAAATTCTGCCTCTTGGAAATTACACTCATGTCCTTTAGGCTCTTAATGAAATGTAACATGAAATGTGATTTTCCATGTATAAGAAAATTATTTTTATTTTACTATTTGCATTCGACGAAGTATTACAAAAATAATATAGTCTCATTCCTTAGTAGTTTTTATATTCATCTTTTAGAGTGCATGAAAAGACAATCAAAACTATAAACAGAGACAAAACATTTTCCTTTGTCTTTTAGACTTCCTTCTGTTCTCCTTATTTTCACTGTTTTATAGCAAAGCCCTGCGGGCAGGGAACCATCCATGACTTACTTGTCTTTGTGTTCCAAGCATCCAGCCCTAAACCTGGCACATTCTTGGTGCTCAACAAGCTGTACTGAATAAATGAATAATTTCAATATACAGGTATTTATAATAAAATCACACCAGGAGAAACCAAAACTATTGCATGGACGTTTAACAAAAGATATCCAAAGTGGTCTGAATGGCAACTATTTGTGTTAGCACATTCTTACACCTGTCTGGGATGCCTCCAAGAACACTCTAAAGCCTTGAAACTGTTTGATCTCTTCCAGAGGGCCTTCAGAGGATAATCAGACACCATAATTGTTACCTTCCAGGATGGAATGTGAATCTCTTTGCTTTCCTCTAACAAATCCTCAGGGCGTGGGAGTGGGAGAAGACTGTGTGTGTGCTGGAGTCGGGAGGAGGTATTAGGGATGGCATGAGTGACAAAACCTGGTAAGGTGGAAAAAAAGAATCCATCGTCTGACTTGACTCAGATACAGGCGAATGCTTCAGTTCTTTTTGAGCTACCATATTGACTACAGTGTTGTCATACAGACATACAGAATTGGATGCTTAAAAGCTTAAAATTTTATCTTTCCTTCATTTTCCTTCCTCCCACCACTTCCCCCAGCACCACAGGGCATTTAAGGCAAAGTAAAGTGGGCCAAAAATGCCATTCTTAATGTGGGAAGAATACACTATCTAAATGTGCCCAGAAAACAAACAAGGATAGATTCCACTGTTTAACTGTAGAAACCAGATACAACTCAGAAGAAAAAGTATCTGTCCTGACACATTTCCTTTTCAGCATCATGTTCAGCCAGACACAGACAAGCTTGGGAAGAGGATTTAATGTTGTTTCTTCCAACTCTGGAAACAATTCCACTAGAAGGCTCAATAGTTCAGGTAAGACCACTCATTTCGTGACTCATGAATCCGTGATTATACATCTTTACGGAAAAAAGTTCTTTTTTTCTAGCTTTCAGAACCAAGAGTGTTTGCAAAACATCAAGATTCCATAGAGGAATTAGAAGAGAATTTTGCAGATTTCGTTGCCTGAACATTACCTTCCCCACCAACCAAGAAATTGCCTAAATCGTCTTTAACATGACCATCTAACTTTCTCTTTAGTAGAACAGGATCCACAGCTGCAAAAACCGTGACAATTAGGGAGACTAAGAGAAACTTCCAGCAGTGATTTCTGCAGTTAAAGAATTTCAGGAATTAAGCAGACTTATTCATTTGAAATATCAACTCAACTACTCCAGACAAAACCTGTCACTAATACTGAAGAAAAAGATTTAACTTTAATTATATGTATTCCATTGCGGCATTACTCATTTCTATAACATGATTTCGCAAAAAGAAAAAAAAAGGTTCTGTACTTTATTAAAGTCTTTTTCTTTCAATATCATCATCATCATCCTATCCCTTGCTGCAACATAAAGATGTGGTTTGAAGAATTTCCCATCTCAAAGAATGCCTTGTATCCCCATCAGCGAAGTAGGCACACTCTGGGAGGCCAGCCAGGGTGTGGGAATGGCCTCCTATAAAACTTGATTTTTATGTGTATGTTAAAATGGGATTCTACCTGTCTTTGCAGTAGTTTTATATTAATGAATGCTCTCTAATCTTCAAGAACACAATGCTAAAATTCTTTAATTTTTCCACTTTTTGCAAAGAATTGAAATATAGATTTAAAAAACAGACTTCCAAAATTTTTTTGGCAATAGCTTAAGTACATTTTTCTTCTTCTTCTTTTTTTTTTTTTTTTTTTTTGAGACTGAGTTTCGCTCTTGTTGCCCAAGCTGGAGTGCAATGGCACGATCTTGGCTCACTGCAACCTCCGCCTCCCGGGTTCAAGCTATTCTCCCGCCTCAGCCTCCCAAGCAGCTGGGATGTCAGGCATGCGCCACCACGCCCGGCTAATTTTGTATTTTTTGTAGAGACGGGATTTCACCACGTTAGCCAGGCTGGTGTCCAACTCCGGACCTCAGGTGATCCGCCCGCCTCGGCCTCCCACAGTGCTGGCATTACAGGCGTGAGCCCTGGCCAGCCTAAGTACATTTTTGAAGGTGCTTTAATACTTTGGTTAGCAAAGTTTATGCAAACCAAAAAATTCTATATTGTGCCTTGGGAACTCTAATTTAGCACACACCAGCACTATACTAGCGCCGTAGTTTTTCTACACCATGGACACAAAAAACATTAAACAGTAAAATAAAAGGCAGATTTTCAGGAGGTTAAAAAGGTTGGAATTAAATTACCCGGCCAGCGCGACAGTTGTCAAAGCTGTACTTCGGACTCCCTGGTTCCATTCCTCCCTCCTCCTCCCGTCCCAACGCCAGAGCGGAGGTGGGGAGGGGGCAAGATGGGCGAGGCAGAGATGCTCTCCCAGCCGCCGGTTCTTCCAGCGCCGCGCACCTGCCGCCCCTTCCTCCATGCGGTCGCTGCAGCCTTCCCGCCGGACGCCTCGCCCCCCCGGGCAGGGGCGCACCTGGACCACCTGCCTCCCCGCCTCTGCCCCGAGCCTGCGGGGGCCAGGGGAGCCCGGCGCGCTGTTGTTTTTTTTTTTTTTTTTTTTTTAAAGTCAGCCTCCTAGAGGATGTTGGATTTGGCGGGTGTGCTCTTTGAAATACTATATCGGGAACCTCACACATAATTTTTTTTTTTTAATTGCAAACCTTCCCAGTTCACTCCGCAGCTGGAGAGCAGGCCGGAGGCGGCGTTCCCCACCCGTCTCCCTCTTTGTCGTCCCCTCCCCGCGCCCGGAGCGGGACTCGCGGGAGCCGCCCACTCCCGGCGCCCACTTGGTTCCTCCCAGCTGCCGTGTGAATGGGCCGTCCTCCGGATTCCGCGGAGGGGGCGGCGGGAAGGGGCCGAGCCCCGGGCCCAGCGGCCGCCCCCGCCCCCGCCCGGCGGCGGCCCACGCCGGGATCTGCGTCACTCGGCCGCGCGTGGGCGGGAGCCGGAGCGGCGAATGTAGCAAGAGCGGAATCTCCCAATGTGACAGCGCGGGGTGGGGGAGTGGAGGCGGCGGAGGCGGGCGGGGGAGGGGGAGGAGGGTGTAGCGCGCGCGGGGAAGGCAGGGGAGGGGAGGGCAAGGCGCGGCGGGGGAGGCGCTGCCGCCGCCGCCGCCGCCCGCGCGCCGCAGCCTGGAGGAGCCGCCGCCGCCGCCGCGGCCAAGCGAGCGCCGTCGGGGCGGGTGGGCGGGAAGAAGCGGCGGGCCCGAGGTGGGGGGGAGCAGAGAGAGCGCGCCCACCACCTTCCCTTCCCCCCTCGATGGGAGCGGGGGCGTCCCGGCTCCTGCAGCCGCCAGAGGAGGGAGAGCCGGGGGCCGTCGCTTCGGAGTTGGGGCTGAGCAGTCCTCGGGGAGAGCGCGCCAAGACCGCTGCAGCCGCTGGCTGAGTACGTACCGGAGCGGACGGTCGCCACTCCCGGTCCGCCAAGTGCGGGACACTTTCGCGGCTGAGCGGCCACGGGCGAACTTGGGGCGGCTGAGTCGCGGGGCCACGCGGGCACTTTGGGGGCGGTGTCCGGGGGAAGCGGGCTCCGCGCGGCCGCCGCCGGAAGGAGAGGGCGGCCCCGGGCTCGTGTGGGCGATTCCCGGAGACATTCTGTGTGCCAGGGCGGCGGGGAGCGCGGCCCTGACTCGTGCATTTTCCCTCCGAGAAAGGTTGGGGTGCCGAGTCCGTTTTGCTAACGGGGCTGGGGGCGTCACACGGCGCTCTGGGGGTGTGCGATGTGGGTTGTGCGCGCCGGCCCCAGAGTTTTGCAGCCACCTTCGTCAGGGCAGTCTTTTTGTTTGTTTACTTTATAAAAGTGCTGCACTTACCGTCTCGATTTTCTTCTTGGGTATCTTCCCTTTCCGAATGTAGTTTTCTTTTTAAAAGCGGAAGGAGAGTTTTACATGGAAGTGGCTTACAGAAACTTGGCGCTGAGGTGCAGGGAAGCCAGAAACTCTTTGTGTCTCTAAGGCCGATGAGGAATTTGGAAACACATGTGGGACATACAAGCGTTGGATATAGAGGTGTGTGTGTGTGACCTTATCATGGAGAAACACTGAAAATACTATCAAATCTTTGTGGTCTGCAAACTCAGAGCTTCCAAAGCTTGAGATAGGAAATGACACTTCTGTTAAGCCTGAATGTTGCAGGATCTCGGGGAAAGGGATAGTTGAGATGGAATATACATTTGTCGATTCTGCAGACCAAGCTTTGCAGCGAGTGATCGGGAGGAATCGTAGACTTGCATGTACTTACACCTCGCTCCCTGAGATTCGGGAGGCACGGAAAATTTTGGGATGGCTGTTAATTTAAAATTTCATCTGAAAGAGTCGATTTGGAGTAACTTGTCACTACCAGTTGGTTTGCCAGTGACGTGTCTGCCAACTCAAAGAGTGCAAAGATCAGAAGCTGAAAGAGGAATTCTCAGATCTTGTTTAAAAATATTTTGGCAGTTTTAATAGATAATATGAGATTGCATAGGAACAGAGGAGCCGAATTTAAAATAGATTAGTCACGTAGGAAATGCTTAGCTGTTGTAAAAGTGTTCACGCAATGACTTACCTTCCTAGGTTTTCACTTTTTTGAAAATTTTTCCCTGAACAACATACTGAATTATGATATTTCATAATTTGTGTGTGGGTTATAAGAAGTATGAGGAGAGAGGATGCATAGGATTTGCTTTTTCTGTTTTGGGTGGAGATTGAGCTTTTCCTGAAGACCTGAAAGAGCTGCTTCTGATCTAATCTGAGTGCCAGTAAAAGTGGCTCTTAGATGAAAGGCTTTTTCTTCTCCATATTGGTGTCATTTAAGACATACAATATTATCTTTAAGTTTAAAAGATTATATTTTTTCATCGGTATTAACATACAAATAAGGGTTTTCTTGAGTCTTTGTAGATGACTGGCTAGGTCAGCCTTTTTTATCCCTGATTTGGGTATTAGATATTGGAACATTAGGTCTTGAAAGAAAATTTCAAGGAACTTCTGGAAGAAGCTTTCTTGTTTCAATTTTATTATTTTTACCATTTTGCACTAAAGTTAATATGCCATTTCGAGATTAAAAATGTTTTTTTCCCGACTCTGATGGTCTCTTGTTACTTGTGAAGGTATCAATAATAATGTAATAATGACAACATTGAGGAACTGTAGATTTTTATTTTATTCTGCCTGCTAATTATGGATGTAATTCAAATGACAGAAATTCTTAGGATTACTATGGTTGTTACAAGGACATTTAGTAAGCTTATATGTCTAGTAAATAACTTGATCTATCTAAAAAATACTTTATCTCATCTTATTTCAAAATTATTCAGTTGAGTAATCTCTTTTTTGTAAGTGGCAAATAACATCCACTGTCGTATGAGAAAGTTAATAGATGTTTATTCTCCTTGTTAGAGAAACACTGAAAGCATTAGGTATTTTCATCACGGTATAGCTAAGAACCTATTGGTTTATTAAAGATTTTGGGGGTTTGCACTGTGGATGCTTCTTTGAAAGAAGAAATTATAAACTGGGGGACATCTTTGATGAATTTGTTAATGAACTTTAAATATTTAAAGTTCAGGTTGGATGAAAACAGAAGTATGTCAGTTTCTAAAGAAAATATAGACATGGGGTCTCGCTGTGTTGCCCAGGTTGGCCTCAAACTCCTGGGGCCAAGGGATTATCCCACCTTAGCCTCCGAAGTTATGTCAGGTTTCATTGGCCTAAGACTTAGGACTCATTTATTCCATTATAACAAGCCTGGAGCTGTTTTTTGTGAGTGCTATTTATGTACATTTTTGGAAATGAAATCTTTGTAAAATTTACCTTTAAATGCAAAGCTGTGTTTTGGATGGAAGTGACCATTTTATAATATGTTTTGAACAGTTTAAGATCATGCTAATGTATAATCAACCCGTCTATGCATATTTCATTGTGGAATTTGCTAAACATATTATAGCATAAATAATACCCACTTGAGCATAATAGAAGATTGCTAGACCCTTTGCTTTGGATTTATTTTTATCTTACCTGCTTCTTTTATCCTTTTCAACAGTAGAATGAAGAATGGTACAATTGTTATATTAAGTGCAAATTCCCTTTCTGATCTGACATGTTCAATAACTCATACAACAGTAGAATATACTCCTTAAACTTAATAATGGAGCAAGTGGGAAATTTGACAAGTTGATGCTTGGAAAAAATAGTAATCCTCATCTTGTGAGAATTCACACAGCTAAAACATGCCATTAAGCTTTCAAAGAGTTTGTCATTTCTCAATACATTGTATTTAGGGGGTGACCCATTAATTTGCATGGTATATTAATTTAATGATTTTTACAGAGAAACTTCTGAAAAGGTGAAAAAAACTTATAAATATTGCCTGCATACTCTGTGCTCAGTGGGTACTTAATGTTTGTTGAATGACTTGATGGTTGGTTGGTTAAGAATTTCCAGCCATTGTACGAAATGCTAGTATTTGCCTATTGTTACTATAGTTAAATGAATAAATACATAGTTATCATTTAGCAAAATCTGGTTTAGTTTTTTCTAATTTTGGCAAGTAAATTTAACCTCACACTGAATATTTTTATTAAAATTTTAAGGTGTCTCTAAAATTTTTTTCCAGCTTCATTCATTCCATTCAGAATTTAGAAACGAATCAATAAGAGACAACATTTTAAGTTTCCCAAATTACAGTCAATTCATTAGAAGGTATATATTTAATTCATAGCTAAGATCCAGAAGTATCTTGACTTATATGGTACACCACTGAATGCTTACTAATATGTGTGCCTAGGTAAATCACTGGAAGCTTGAAACACATACATGGGAGTTAGTACCTAGGCCAACCCTACAATCTTAAGTAACCCATAAAGTGTAGCTGAACTATATTTAATCATTTTAGCTTGAGTTCTGGGTCTAGGATGAGAATAAAAGCGAAAATAATTAATTGCATAGAGCAAGCTTGTCCAACCCGAGGCCTGTGGTTGCATGCAGCCCAGGAGGGCTTTGAATACGGCCCAACACAAATGCATAAACTTTCTTATCAGCTATCGTTAGTGTATTTTTTGTGTGGCCCAAGACAATTCTTCTTCCAGTGTGGCTCAGGGAAGCCAAAAGATTGGACACCCCTGACACAGAGGCTCATCCTTCCCTAAATCAAATTCTTGTTTGTTATAAACCTTTTCTGTTTCAGCCTCTCGTGTACCCATTTCACCCTTCTCTCAGGCCCCTGTACCTTCAAGCTATACTCTCCTGAACTTGGAATACTTCAGAGGCTCTAAGTGTAGTCTTTCTGTCCTCAGATTTCCTATTTTCATTGTCCCCATTTCCCATCTCAATCTTTCATTAATGTGCATCAGATCTTGTCTAGATGTTAAGAAGAAAACAATCTGATGGAACTAATTTACCTTTATCTGTAAATGACTCATGAGCTCTTAACTCTTCCCAAGGTTTTTCACATTTTTTGTAAGTCTGTAAGAGGTTGCTATTAACTCAGATAATTTTAAAGTAAAAATTGCAGGCTGTGTTGGGGGAAGGAATTTCTAGTCTTATGCATAAATAAGTCAGGCCTTACTAGGATTTTGCCCGTGGTTTCTTCCCACTCCTGGAAGTGTGTTCATATGTGTATTGCTATATATGTTTGTGTATGTGTATCTAATAATGATTCCCATAGCATGGAGGGGAGAAGATGCAAGAATAGTGATTATAAATCCCTTTGAGTGTATGGATCATTAATGAGATAGATATTTGATGATAACTTACACCGTGTTTAATTTATAGGAACAGAGAAGAAAAAGACCTAGGATCTCATGACTGAACTTGAATTCTTAAAAGGCAGGTGTTGGGGCCGGACTCGTTGCATGATGTATAACACTAACCACTTGTAGTTCCTGTATTGGCAGGAACTTTTGCTTTCTTGGGAGAATAGCCATGTTATAGGAGTGCACCGTATAGCTTTTTAAGAAAGAAGAAGTATTAAGGATGAGAGAATGAAAAGGATTGTAGGTAAAGTAACAGGATGCCCTGTTATTGGATTGGCAATTCATTGAGATACTGGTTTACACAGAAGGCCTCCCCTTTGGAATATGAAAGGTTGCTGATCAGATTCTGACTCAGACATTGGGTTTCATTGCACAGCAACCTTTCCAGAGATGTTATTCATCATTGAAACTTTGCTAGGAATAAATGGGGATAAAAGAGTAATGAAACCTAATTCCTACCCTTGGGGTGCTTATAACCTAACAGTGACTTGTTCTGCAGAGCCAGGCAGGTTGCCTTCCTTGTGCCATGACTCCTTCACAGCTGCACAGCATTTACCACATTGTTTAAGTCTCTGCTTCTTGTCTCTCCTTGCTCTTAACTGACTCTCCATGAAGGACTGTCTTTCCTCTGTTCCCCAGAACTGGCTTAGTTGTTGGTGTTATTTGAATAAGTTCAAAATGTAAGAGAGACAAAGTGTTGCGGGGTTCAGAGAAGGGAGATGACAGCTGCAGCCAGGGGTAGTGGGAAAGACATTTTGGGAAAGGCTGTGAAGGTTGGAGGGAGAGAGGATGCCTGGCACAGGGGCAGGGAAGTGGAAGGCATATTTGAGGAATGCCTAGTGTATCTGCTTGGCACAAGTATATGGGCATGTTAAGGAACAGAGAGAAGGCTGGAAAGATAGGCTTGGGTCTGGGATGCCTATATGAGTAGTTTGGATTTCTTTCTCTGCACTGGTGGAGAAGTTCGCAAATCTGTAAACTTGGCATTGCAGTGTGGGATCTATTGAAGGTGAAGGAGCTTTTTTCAAAATTGGGGCAAGAAGCAATGAACACTAGAATTTGGTGCTTTTGAGGCAGAGAAAGAAGTGGTGGTGTAGCCTAAGGACATGTAGATTTGAGGAAGAAAGAAGAAAAAGCAAAAATGGAATCCAAACTTACTTAAATCCGGGAAACTGAAAGACCAATGGTGCAACTGAAAGAACTAAGAGAGTTGGAAAGAGTAGACTTGGGAATCTGGAAGAAGGGCAGAAAATGAGAGAATGTACTTGATTTTGGACACATCAAATTTGAGGTTTTGACAATGCCCAGGTGGAATGCCAAATTACAGTTCAGAAGAACAGTTTGGGCTGATGGTTCTGAACTTTTCAGGTGTGAGGATAGCTTTTTAAATAAAAACTTGCAAATATTTATGACTACTTTTAGTATTTGTTTTTTGAGAATACATGTAAAGACAAAACAAAAATTCAGCTATACTGTTAAGTGAGTTTTACTGAATAACAGAAGTGTCTATTTACCTTCATTTGCAAAGTAGACGTGTGTGAGAGGCATCTTTTTCACTCAGCAGTTGGTGCTTTGTGTGTATTTGGATTTGAGAACACTTGGAGTGACTCCATGGCTCTTGTCCAAGCTACAAATACAGATTTGGAGGTCATCTGCCTATAGTGATAATTAAAGCCTGGGAATGGGTGAGATCATCAAAAGAAAATTATGGACACACAATAGAAAAGAGATGTAATATAAAAATTTGGAGAATTCTTAGAATATAATAGGTGAAAGAAGGAAAAACAAATAATATAGCATTACCAAAGTAAGGTGAAGAGCATCTCAAGGAGTGATACCATGCAGCAGACAGATTAATGAGAGAGAGGCCCAGAGTTTTGATAGAATGGTGAGCCCAGAAAACAAGCTGGCCTGAGTCAGGTTTGAAGGAATGGTTCTTCTTTTCTCTAGTGACAATTAAAGCCCTCTGTCCTATCAAAAAATCCTCACATCCCAGCTTGGAGACTGTCAGGGAAATTTTGTTTTCCATAGCGAAACAGGAGTTGACCGGTAGTTTTGTGGGCCAGACTAGCTCCCTGCTTCACTTAGCACAGTTGGAATCTGGCAGGTGACTGATGCTACCCTGTAAGGAGCCAAAGTGAATTTTAAAAAAAGTTTTGGAACAAATGATTACCGTTTAAAAGATCAGTGAATAACAACAACAAATGGTCTTAAATTAATGCATTGTTTAATTCCTCTTCCCCTAACATCATTGGGATTCTTTTTATAGGACTGAGCAGGGGGAGGAACATTTAAGCTGATGGAAGTGGAAGTGGAAGTTGCTGTACATTGGCAGCAAGGCCTCCGAGTTAGCTTTTGAATGCAGTTAACTGGTTTCTCTTAACTGTGGAATTCATTGAAAAGTCAGACTCCGAGTGGTCGTTCCAGGATATCTTGAAAAGCCCAGGTAACAGTAGTTTTCAGCTGAGTGGATTTACAATACTCTAAGCTACCTGTATATAACGTGTTAAGGACCCATTTTATATTTACTTCAGATTGGAGAGAGGCAGGTAGAAGCTTTCTTTTGACTTATTTGACCTTCATGTTGAATCATTAATGGTTATAGATTTTATGAAAACAGAAAATCTTGTAAAAGTTTTCTTTCAAATCACATCAAGTTCATGTATGAAGGGGTGGGTGTTTAAATTATCACAGCCGGCTTTGGAAGGAAACTGAAACATTCTCTTAAAGCAAAAGCTTAGGAGGAGAACTCCTTTTCCAGTAGTAAGTGTGGGCCTCTAGAAAGCCTCCAGGGACCGAATTGGTTACTTAGTTATGTTGCATCTGTTATCTTGGCTTTGCAAATGTAGACTTGGTCCTATCAGTCTTTATGGAGATATTATATTCATAACTACTTTCTTACCCATGCAGAGGGCTTTCTCTTAAGAACTAGGGGGTTTCATTTTTTTTTTAAGTGGGTAAAGATGAGAAAGGATAAAACTTGAAAATTATTTTCTAAAATCATTGCCTTATCTCAGAAGAATAAAATATAAGCTTGAGTCTTTTAGTTCTTAAGTTTCTCTTTTGTATTTGTCTAACATATATTTTTTCTTATTGCTCATAAAAAGATTTAAAAGTATTTTTCCAGATTTCCTCATGTAATCTCTGCTCTATTCCATAATGTGAGGAGCACATATGCTGAGTTAATTGATCACCCTGTAAACCTTGCAAAGTTACAGTCCTCTTATTAAAAAAAGATAGTGTGTGTACTACTGAGAAGCCCCATGTCTTGGAGCTTCTGTGTCTTCCACAGTCTATTTTGATCATGTGTATGTATATACACATTACACATGTACTTTTTTTTTCTGTATTGCGTTGAAAGCCTATGGAGGAATTGCACGAGGTGTATGATAGGAAAGTAAATGTCCTTTCTTCCACCTCCAACACTTTATAGCAGCCCTTCTATTTGGTATAGTGTAGTTTAATATAGCTCTAAACTTGGGTCTGTAACTCCTGAGAGCTCTGTTTTTGTGAGTTAGTGCCCAGGTGGATGATAGATTCTCCCTGGAGTGGGAGGACAGGCAGAGCCTCCTTTAGGTGATTTAGAAGATGCAAGAACGTTTTTATCCAGAGGACTGAGGTGGCATGAATGTGAAGGTTGACCTAAAGAATTACCTGGGTCATCACAGTACCTGTAGGAGTTTGTGGTGCCCGGAGGATTTATTAAGTAGGAATCTTGTGCAGTGTGTCATATTTGCCTAATCATGGAAGTCTCCTGAGATGCATCTCAGGCACCTGGGAAACTGTATTTTTCAAAAGCACCCCAGGTGATTTCCTGGGTTTTAGTAGAAGCTACTGGGCCCTAATTCAGCCTTTGTTGTCTTTTGGGAAGTCATCAGGTAACCTGGTTATGCCCATACTAGCCCTTGCAAAGAAAGAGACATAAAATTTGCGGAAGTCAAAACAGATGTGGATGACACAGAGGTTCCAGGAGATGGGACTTCCGGTAGTCAGTGCTTAGAGTGGTAGGGACACCCATTCTCCTGGCTTGGAGTGACTGAGACTAGAATTTTGTGTAGCATTCTGATTGGTGGCATAAAACAAAAGTCCCAAGTTCAGTGACTTCTTGGCTTTCAGGGACGTCCCAGTTAACTATTGCTGCATACTGTCAGAGTTGAGAGTGGGTCTTCCATTTTTCTCTGATGCACATATTCTTTTAGCCTTCTGTTATTTTCTCCATAGAGGGCTACAGGGTACTTTTAATCCTAAGGGTGCATTTGATTACAACAAGTTTATTTGTTTCTCTTAAATGGAAGTACTTGGCCAACTCCTCTTTGTATGTGGGAGGTCTCCAGGCAACTGTGAACAACTTTTAAAGGCTGCTAAGAGGTCAAGAAGTACTTTGCTGAGTCTTGTTCTGTCTCTTTAAAAACAGACTTCTTTGTCTTGCTTGGGCTCAAAAAGTATGTTTCTTCCTTGGCTCTGTCTTAGGCTTTCTGCTGCTGCTTTGGAGTGATCACCCACCCTCCTTATTTTATCCTACAGCCCTCTCCCTGATACGTAGTTAGATTCTAGTCTATTATTTTGCATGCAGGGCCATTCTACATAAGCCTTCTACCCTGTGCCATGTGCGAGTGCCATGTGTTTGAAAGGGAATCCCATCATCCTCATTTTTCTGTGTCTCCAGTGCCTGTTAGAATTCTGAACTCTCAGATGTAATCTCGTAGTCACCTGTAACTCTTCCCTTAAACCACAGAGTGTCAATAAATGGTAACTGTTTTCTTCATCAATAAATGTCAATAAAGAGTAACTTCCTTCCTCACTTAGATCTAAGTGATCACCAAGTCTTGTCAGTTACTTGTTTGACTTTTCTCTACCTCTTCTTTCTTGATTCCTAAATTAACACCTTCTATTTCTCACCTCCAATTCATACTGAAATCTATCTTCCTCTGCCTGCCAGACTCATCTTGCTCATTTTTTCTCTATAAAATGGGAATAACTGTACCTGTGTCACAGGGCCATTGTGAGAATTAGACATACGTAATGTAAAGTGTTTATTGTATTGCCTGGCACAAAGTAAGTATTCAGCAAATGGTTAGCATACTCTGCTTCTTACCTCCTGCTAAATTTGACTATCTTTCACTCCACCTGCGTCCAAACCTTGGCAGTAGCAAAGTATATAGCCAAAAATACGGGACATGGAACCTTTGGTTTGATCCTTGGTTTGAACCTCCAGATTCCTGCTTACCATTTATTCTCTTTTGGGAAAGTACGTCAGTTTAGTTACTGACCTATAAGGTTTTTAGGAGTTCAGAATGAGATAAAGTATGTAGAGAGAATGCTGCCTTCACAGGCAGTCACGATGCAGATGCTTCTCGTTTTTGTTCTTAAAACCTGTAGTGTAACCTATTTGGTGTAAGGAGTTTGAAGCAAGTATGATGAGTTTTTACTTTTTTTTTTTTTTTTGGCAGGTTAAACCCATCCAGAGTAATGGCTGCGGCCTTACCCAGGACCCTGGGGGAGTTGCAGCTGTATAGAATATTACAAAAAGCCAATCTACTTTCTTATTTTGATGCCTTTATCCAACAAGGTGGTGATGATGTCCAGCAACTCTGTGAAGCAGGAGAAGAGGAGTTTTTGGAAATCATGGCACTCGTGGGCATGGCTAGCAAGCCCCTTCATGTTAGAAGGCTGCAGAAGGCTTTGAGAGACTGGGTCACAAACCCTGGGCTTTTCAATCAGCCACTGACTTCCCTTCCTGTCAGTAGCATACCCATCTATAAATTACCAGAGGGATCACCAACATGGCTGGGAATATCCTGCAGTAGTTATGAAAGGAGTAGCAATGCCCGGGAACCTCATTTAAAAATCCCCAAATGTGCTGCCACCACCTGTGTGCAGAGCTTGGGACAGGGGAAGTCAGATGTGGTTGGGAGCCTAGCACTGCAGAGTGTTGGTGAGTCCAGACTCTGGCAAGGCCACCATGCCACTGAGAGCGAGCACAGCCTCTCCCCAGCAGACCTGGGCTCCCCCGCGTCCCCAAAGGAGAGCAGTGAGGCGCTGGATGCTGCTGCTGCGCTCTCTGTGGCTGAGTGTGTGGAGCGGATGGCCCCCACACTGCCAAAAAGTGACTTGAATGAAGTGAAAGAGCTGCTAAAAACCAACAAGAAGTTGGCCAAAATGATTGGTCACATCTTTGAGATGAACGATGATGATCCACACAAAGAGGAGGAAATTCGGAAATACAGTGCAATATATGGCAGATTTGACTCAAAGAGGAAGGATGGGAAACATCTCACACTTCATGAGGTACAAAGCCCGCGTTGTTCCTTCTGTGTGTGTATGTGGCATGTTGCTAGTCGTTAGAGATAAATTTGGTAATAGTTTGCCACAAATGTGATACACTACCTGAAAGCAGTATTAAAAACATTGAGGTGTTAGCAACATGTAGCACTTTTGTGAAAATAGACCATATTTATTGTGTTCAGGGTATATTTGTATTGAACTTGAACATGTTTGAGCTTTGGAACTACAGTACGAGGTGACTTTTAGAAAAATGTCAGAATTTAAGCAGTGAAAGCGTAAAGTCTTTGCATTTGTAAGGCTGTTTGTTTTTTAATTAAAAAATAAAACTAGGTTTTAAATATAACTTTTAAAAAAC
Organism: Homo sapiens; assembly: GCF_000001405.40. Classification (NCBI taxonomy): domain Eukaryota; kingdom Metazoa; phylum Chordata; class Mammalia; order Primates; family Hominidae; genus Homo; species Homo sapiens. Next base: position 190,660,348 of record NC_000002.12, read on the forward strand.
ATTTTTGTAGGCTTTTTTTAAAGAAAAAATTTCATAAAAATAGCAAGAACTTAAAGCAATTCTCAGCTAGCATAGAAAACAGTTAGATGAATGTTGGAAGAATTCTCACTTTGAACATTGTTTTGGTTTGATGTTTGGCATTAAACATTTTTATTTTATCTTTATAGTACTCTAGACATAGTCTGCTTAAGTTCATGTGTGTGTATATGTGTGTATAGATATAACATTTTGTCCATATAACATTATACTTCACGTGTGTGTATAAACTTTGGCATTTACTCCTTTTCTTGTCTATCTGGTCAACACATATCTTTAAAACTCAGCCAAGAATAAGCTTGTGTTTTCTGTAATCTTTTCCTTCAAGTAGAATGACCGTTCCTTTCCATTTTTATCCCTACATATACTTTTGTCACAATAACTTTAACTTCTTATTGTACTTATTTGTATACTGGTCTGTGCTTCACAGTATACTCTGGGTTTCTTCAAGGCAGAGATAATGTCTCCTTCATCTTTATATCCCCAGAGTCAAATGTACACAATAAGTGCTTGGAAAATAAATGCGTTTTCAAAAGTTAAAAAGACTATGTCATAGCTAATTTTTTTTTTTTTTTTGAGATGGGGGTCTCACTCTGTCACGCAAGCTAGAGTGCAGTGGGTGCAGCCTGGACCTCCAGGGTTCAAGCAGTCCTCCCTGCTCAGCCTCTTGAGTAGCTTGGACAACAGGTGTGTGCCACCACACCAAGTTAATTTTTTAAGTTTTTCATAGAGATGGGAGTTTCTCCATTGTTGCCCAGGCTGGTCTCAAGCTCCTGGGCTCAACTGATAGAACTGTCTTGTCCTCCCAAAGTGCTGGAATTACAGGTATGAGCCACTGTACCTAGCCTGATCTTTTTAAATAAATGATTTTAGACATGAATGTTGGAGCTTGAGATCAGATAATTGGTTAGCAGAATTACTTAAGTCATAGCCAGCCTGTGACTTGATCTATTTTGGGAGTATCCTTTGAACCAGTAGAGGAATCCACTAAAAGGGCTATATGGCTGTCATTAGTAGAAAAACAAAAGGCAAAATGTGTTGGCAATTTTAGTTTCATGCTTTAACCTAGTTTTCTTATAATTTTTAAAACATAGCAGATGAAATACAAAGTTGAGTCGAAATACATGTGTTTTTTATCAAAGTAAAAGTATTTCTAAAAGATTAACAAACCTAGTTAACCTGACTTAAAAAAAAATCATACCCTACTTTTAAAAAATGTAAAAAGAATTATTTTACACTTAGCTTTTGCTAAGGGGCTCTTTGCCTCTTTAGATAAGTAGGTACATATGATATTTAAGTGATGAGACCATGAATTTCACAAAATAAGGAAATACTCAAAATGAATGCCAGTAGGCTGAAATGTGGGGGTGGGGGCTTTGGAAGTTGTGGCTTGTGTTTTTGAAACTTAACTTAGGCCTTCTTGTTACTTGTACTCCAGTATGTGAATCTGGTCCAATAATATAGTTTAGGATAAATGTTTGTGAATCAGGAAGCTTTCTTAAAACTAGTAACTATCCAAGATCTTGGAAGAAATTACAGAATCCTGGGGGAATTGAAAGAAGGTACTATTAGGTATATCTTTTAGGTATTATGAGAATTTTGTATTTTTTCTCCTGATTATTTAAAATTAGCAGAAGTTTTTTTAGTTCTAAGTTCCTGAGATTAAAGAATGTTGCTAGTTTGTACTCAATTTCCACATAAGGAATACATGACTTACTCTTAATTCATTGTTGGCTTAATCTCACTGTTCTGAGGATTTTCTTCATATAAATTGTGTGGATACTGTTCTCTTAATCTTTCAAGACATAGAGCTGTATGTAGGTCACTGGTGGATGAAATTCAGGAAGCTATCTATACCTGTAAGTTTTTTTCAACTGTTCAAGTACATAAGATTATTTTTCTTGTAAGAAGAAGAAAATATTTGTTTATATATTTATAATAACATAATTTGTTTCCAAATGTACACCGTAAAGAATTATGGAATGACTTATTGTTAAGCCCCTCTTTTTTTTTTTTTTAAGCTAAAGAATCAGCAATAGTCCTACAGCCTGGCTAAGTACAGTCTGTTTTATAGGTGTCAGATTGTGAAGAGAGTGAGGGCTGAAGCTTAGAACCACACACCTTGCTGGTGTTCGGCAGGTGCCAAGGGACAAACCCAGAGGCGATATCAGAAAAAAGCCAGCAGGCAATGTTGCATCTATCATAAGGGGTGTTAATAGATAGTAGGTGGTAAACTAGGCAAGCAGTGTACCCCTAATGTTAAATCAGTGAATGGATGAGGAGAGAGCAACTAAAACTTGGGAACAGCAAGGCAATAGAGAATGTAGAAACTTGTAATACTCAGAAATGTAAGCAGGTAGATAATTTGGCATTACAGAATATTTGTCAGCAGATAGCAGCTTCCAGTCAAAGAGCTCTAGAAAGATAGGAAGGAGAAGAGGAGAATGTAGTCAGCGGGTAACTGTAAGCTGAGCAGAAGAAACTCTGCAGGAATTGGGGTGCTGAGCAGGTTACCAAGATAAGGACCCAGGCCTATAGAATAAACAGTGATGCCAAGCTTAGGTCAGTTTCCATTATAGTGCTGAGAAGTCAAGGCTGAGTGTTTCAGAGGAGGCCAGCAATTTCACCTTTGAGAGAGGAGGAATGCTGAATCTGAGAACCGCATAAACGTGGTCACATTATTAAGTTAGCTTGTTTTATTCTGAACTCTCAATCTCAGAATTCATAGATTTCAGCATCTAACACTTGAAATGCTGGACTTTTCCTTCTGATGATTTTTAAAAATGAATTATGGTAGTCTATTTCTTGAGTCAATTTTGGTAAGTTACATTTTTCTAAGAATATCCATTTCATCTGAGTTTTCAAACTTAGTGGCGTAAAGTTATTTATAGTTTTTTAAGACCTAATATTGACCTAATATTGATTGTACACTTATCTCTCCTTAGCTCCTGACCAACCTTGCCAAAGGTTTGCCAATTTTATTCTTTTTTAGAGATCTGCAAACTAGGGTCTGTGTGCCCAGTCTCACTCACCTCCTGTTTTTATAAATAAATTTTTATTGGCACACAGCTGGGCCTATTTATTTATGTACTGTTTGTGGCTGATTTTGAGCTACAATGGTGAGTTAAGTAGTTGTGACACAGGCTGTTTGGCCCGTAAAGCCTAAAATATTTACTCTCTGGCCTTTTACAGAAAAAGCTTGCCAACCTCTGATCTTTTTGAAGAAGCCACTCTGGGCTTAGTTGCTATTCTTGCTTGTGCTGTACACGTGTATATATTTGTCTCCTCTCTTAGTTATTTTATTGTTCTTATCTAACTTAATTTGGGTGCTTAGTTCATTAATTTTTAGTCATTCTTTTTCTAATATGAGCAATTAAAGTATAAATTTTCACTATGTATTGATTCAGTGTTATTCCCAAAGTTTTGTTATGAGGTTATTTTATTATTTTTCAATTTTAATTATTTTTATGATTTCTGACCATGTGTTATTTAAAAGTGTTTCTTTATTTCCAAATATGAGTAATTTTTTTTCCTTATTTTTCCTAATGATTTCTGACTTAATTACATTGAGGGCAAGAGAACATGGTTTGTGTGATGCCAACCCTTTAAAATTTGTTGAGAGTTTAGTTATGATTCATTTTGTGGTCTGTGTTTTTTACGTTTGGAAACGATATCTTAAGCAGTTGTTAGTAGAGTGTTCTATATGTGTCTGTTCTAACAAGCTTATTAATTCTGTCATTCAAATCTTATATTCTTAACTATTATTTTGTCTGCTTGCTCTGTCAGTAAAAAGAGTTGTGTACTAAAATTTTACTGATTGTAGTGTTGTCTGTTTCTCTTTGTATTACGCAGTAATCTTATTAACCTTTAATAATGTATTTTGCTTTAGAAAGCTATTTTCTTTAATGTTGATATAAATACATGAGCTCTCTTTTTGTTAGTCATTGCCTATTACATCTTTATATCTTTTTTTTTTTTGGAGACAGGGTTCACTTTGTCACCCTAGCTGGAATGCAGTGGTGAGATCACAGCTTACTGTATCCTCGACCTCCCAGGCTTAGGTGATTCTCCCACTCAGCCTCCTGGGTAGCTGGGACCACAGGCATGTGCCACCACACCTAGCTAATTTCTTTCTTTTCTTTTTTCCTTCCTTCCTTCCTTCCTTCCTTCCTTCCTTTCTTCCTCTCTTTCTTTCTTCTTTCCTTTTTTTTTTTTTTTTTTTTTTTTTTTTGTAGGGACAGGGTTTCCACGTTGCCCAGGCTGGTCTCAAACTCCTGGGCTCAAGCGATCTATCTGCTTCAGCCTCCCCAAGTGTTGGGATTACAGACGTGAGCCACCACACCTGGTCTATTCCTTATTATATCTTTATATCATCCTTTTATTTTCAGCCTTTCTGAATCCATGTTTTATATATATCTTTTATAAATACTGATCAGTTGGATTTTAAAGAACCCAGTCAGACATGCTTTGTTTTTTAACTGGAATATTTGGTCCATGTACATTTATTATATGACTAATATTTTGGATTTTTTTCCATTATTTTATTTGTATCTCCCCTCTAGCCCTGATATACTTTCTGTACAGATTTATCATCTGGGATTAGCTTCCTTCTATCGAAAGCTCTTTTAGGATTTTCTTAATGAAGGCCTACTGGTGGCAAACTCTGTCCTTCCCTACCTACTGGAAAATATCTTTATTTTGCCCTCATTTTTAATTACTATTTATTTGGGGTATTAAATTCTATAATGTTAGTGGTTTTCCCTTAGTAATTAAAGATACCTTTGTGTAAATTAGCGGGGCGTGGTGGCGGGCACCTGTAGTCCTAGCTACTCGGGAGGCTGAGGCAGGAGAATGGCGTGAACCTGGGAGGCGGAGCTTGCAGTGAGCCAAGATCATGCCACTGCACTCCAGCCTGGGCGACAGAGCAAGACTCCATCTCAAAAAAAAAAAAAAAGTTAGTGGTTATTCTGCTATTTATTGTGTACTTTTAAAATCTTGTTTCTGTCCAATTCTCCTCTCCTGATTCTCAAGTTTCGTGGTTATTTTTACTGTACTGCTTTTTAGTCGTATTTTCAAATCCCTTTGTTTCTTCAAATGAAGTCTTTGAGGGTCTGATTTTGCTGTCTGTTGTTTCTACTAGTGTTCACTTTTGTTGCCTTGTTTCTTTTGATGTTTTATGATTTATGTGAATTCATATTTCTTGGAACTTTAACTGTGAGAACATTTGGAGTCCCGGGAAGAAAGTGAATTCCCTAGAGGTTATTTGCTTTTTCTTTTTACTGGGCATCTGGGGACATTACAAATCTAAGACCCTATGAAAATAAATTCTCAGCCCACTTAGTGTGAATTATGGTTGATTGGGGGTTATGAAATCTTAAGAGAGTATCTTCTGTTCTCTCCCAGTCATTACTAGGGTTCAAGACAGATAATTTTCTTTGCATTCTCCTGGGGGTACAGACGTATTTCTAATTCAGCCTTACATTGGGTGTGTGTGGTGAGGTTTCAGCTTTATGGAGGAGGCATCTTAGACTCTTCAATTCTGATGGGCTGTGGGCTTTGCCTCTTTTTTCCTTCCCATTCTCCTCAACCCCATGAGGCCATGAAGATTGAAACTCAAGCTCATCAAGTTTAGCGACTGTCCCTAACTTAAACTTCTTTGAGGTACTGTACTCATTAATTTTGGCCTCAATGTCCTTATTCTCATCAGCTCATTGAGCATTTAAAAGATGATCCCCTCCCTATTTTATTTAACATTTTTAGTTTTTTTTTTCTGAGAGGGGCCAGTAATGGTACCTAGCCCTCCCAGTGCTGGAAATGAAAGTCCTGATTGCCTTTTGAGCCTCCCTATCACACAGTTGTTCACAGTGTTTTTGTGCCAACAGTACTTAAAGTCACAATCATTTAATTGTTGGAGATTATAATTTTAACAACCTGTAAAGAAAGTTTTTTTAGGAATCAGTAAACCACTCTTCTTAAGGATAAAGATAACTGTAGTAAGTCCAGTTTTTAAGTCCGGTTATAAAAGATAGCTAACTTTAAGAGGCCGGGCATGGTGGCTCACGCCTGTAATCCCAGCACTTTGGGAGGCCAAGGTGGGTGGATTGCTTGAGGTCAGGAGTTCGAGACCAGCCTGGCCAACATGATGAAACCCCGTCTGTACTAAAAATACAAAAAAATTGGCTGGGCATGGTGGCACATGCCTGTAGTCCCAGTAACTTGGGAGGCTGAGACAGGAGAATCGCTTGAACCCGGGGCGCTGAGGTTGCGCCACTGCATTCCAGCCTGGGAGACAGAGTGAGACTCCATCTCAAAAAAAAAAGAAAAAGGAAGCGAACTTTAAGAAATCTTTCACATAAAGATATGGTGGAATTTTGGTATTTTGGGCCACAAAAAGAGGAAATGGAGGAAATAAGTAAACCAGTAAGGGAGAATATCTTGTTACTTTATCCTTTTAACAAAATTAGAGTATTGGCATTCAGAAAAAGCTAACAGTGCTGCTGCAAGTGACGGGAATATTTTCATATTTTCCCAACTGCTTGGGAATATTTTCATTTTTCTTTTGTAATTATATCATGATAGTTATTGATGTGTTCATTATTAGCAGCTAGGGAGCATGAAATCTAGGTAACTCTGACAGAACACGTGTTTTTAAGGGAGAGGCTTCATGAATCAGCTTTTTATTACAACTTGGGGGTGAGCTAGAGTTACTTCTCCAGCCTCAGTTTTTTACCAGGTTCCCTGAGGGCCTGGAGTTTAGTCTACTTTTTTGGTTTGTGGGAGCCTGAATTCAGTGACAATGAATGCATTATGTTTATTTTTCTTGGTTTCTGGAAAGGTAAGAGAAGGAATACTAGAATATTGTTTTCAGTTTATGTTGAAAAGTTATTTTCTGTGTTTGTGCATAAGCTAGTACCTCTGAAATGTTGTCAGTTAAAACATCTTACTGAAAATCAGAGGTTTCCTTAGTAATTTAGATTTATTAATATGAAAAATAAATCGCTACATAAAAAGCTATTTGAGAATCCTCTTCAAGGTCATTTAGCTACTGCCATGCTGAAACTGATTTATTTTGAATATCATTATTTAAAGTATACATTTCACTTTTAACTCCAATAACATTGTGCCTTTCAAAGGCACTTAGGGGAGGAATTTATCTATTGATGACTCTTTAGGAGGAGTGGAGAAGGCTGAAAATAAATTCTTCCTTCAATTATGCTTTCATATTCAGCTATGGGTTTAAAATAGGAGACCTGGGTTTATTATTATAACTTGCTGTCAGTGGCCAAATTAATTGTCTCAGAACAAATTAATATAAATTACAGTTATAAATTTGGGGAGGAGGATGTTAAATATCTATATCATACCATGTACCATAACACATTCTAGATGGTTTAAATACTTAGGTGGGAAAAGTAAAACGATTAGACTAAATTATGGAACATTTATATATTATTAGAGTAGGAAGAGATTTTCTTTGCCTGTCACCCAAGGCATAGAAACTGTATGGCTAATGACAAACTTAAAAAAAAATCCCATTACATATGATGAAGAGTTAATGCTGTTAATAAAGAATTCCTGAAGTTCTAAGAACATGAAACATTGTAATGAGTCAAAGATGTAAGAAAAACCTTTAGTTTCATAGTCAAAGGGATGCAAATTACAACCAAATGCTGTTTTAGAAATATAAAATTGGTAAAGTTTTAAAAAGATAATAACTAGTGTTGGTCAAGATTGTAGGAAATGGACTCATCATGTAATTATTGACAGCATTATGATTTAGAGAAACTTTTCTGAGGGTAGTTAGGTGGAATGTATAAATTTCTTAAAATTTTAGTATACCCTGTGACCTAACTGGTCTATTTGTAGGAATTTATTGCAAAGAAATAATTGGATATGTGTGCAAAGGTACACATTTAAGAATCTCTTATGCAGCTTTTTTTTAAATAGTCTATGGAAAACTGGAGGTAGTTTGATGTCCAGAGTGAAGGTAGTTTAAATAATATATGGTTGTTTTCTACAATGGAATATTGTATGTGTGGGTAGTAAAAGTGATATTATAAAGGATTTTTCAATTCATTCGTCAGTCAACAGATATATATTGAACTTCCAGCCCATGCCAGATGCTAATGTAAACAAGCCACGTCTCTGCCTTAATACATCGGTAGAAATGAAAAATATAGCATATGTAACTGAAAAAAGTAGATTACAAATTTGTATGTACATATATACTTAATGTTTATATGTACACTGAAATATTGGAATAATGTATATTAGAATATTGTCATTCTGGATGGAATGATTGCATGCTATTTATTTTTGTTTTCAAAAATTTTAAGTAAGAAAAATTATTCTAAATAAAGATGAGATGCCTGGGTAGGGAGAAAGGGTGACTACAGTAGTCCCCTCTTATCTGTGAGGGACACATTCCAAGACCCCCAGTTGGATGCCTGAAACTGCAAATGGTACCAAACCTTATATATACTGTTCGTCCCTATACATGCATACCTATGATAAAGTTTAACTTATAAATTAGGCACAGCAAGAGATTAACAACAATAACTATTAATAATAATAAAGTAGGACAATTAGAACAATATGCCAGCATTACTGCTCTTGCACTTTGGGGCCATTGTTGAGTCAAATAAGGGTAACTGGAATATGAGCACTGAGATATCAGAAGAGTCCATCTGTTGACTGAGATGGCCACCAAGTGACTGACAGCCAGGAGTATAGACAGTGTAGATACACTGGACAAAGGGATGATTCATCACTTGGATGAGACAGAGTGAGATGGCACACAGTTTAAAACTTATGAATTGTTTATTTGTATAATTTTTCATTTAATATTTTTGGGTCCCAGTTGACCACAGGTAACTGAAACCTCAGACAGCAAAACTGTGGGTAAGGGGGTACTGCCGTACCTGATTTCTTATGAAAAGAAAACAAGAATTAACACTAACCACAACCTTATGCCAGGTGTGTCTCCTCATCTACATCTTGTTAGAGCCTTTTGGGATAGTGATATTATCCCATTTTGCCTCTCAGAATACCAAGTACCAAGCCTCTCAAAAGTTTTGCATGTCCAGAGTCACAGCTGGTAAATGATGAAGCAGGACTCTCCTCAGGTCTGTCTGCCATCACGTCCCATTTTCTTTTTGCTAATCATCATGCCTTGGCTAAGTACATCTTTTGCATATTAAAAAAGTCTGATATACCTCTTGACAGTTTCCTATATCTATTGACAAAATTATGTGAAAAAATTTCTAGTTTGTTAAACAATTACAGATTTTGTGTTTAGGGTAACAAAATTTTAGTACAAAGTGTTTGGTCAACTAGCAACTCTATATTGGCAATATTTAATAATTACTGAATTATGAAAGGGTGGTAGAATTAGATGGATCTTAGAGATTAGTCCAACACCTTGATTTTCCAATATAGCCCTAGTATATGATAACTCTGTTTTTTACTAAGTGATTTGATAAATGTTTAAAATCATATGGTCTTGATTCCTTTTTAAGAATTTTCATGTCAGTTCATAAAAAATCTGTCAGACCATCTACATTCATTTTTGGTTAGAGAAATGGTGTCAGCAAATCCTGTATTCTAATATTTTGGGTTTTTTTATAAGCGAGTTGCAGAATATTTTTTACTTTTTATTTTCCTTGTCGTCTATAAACTCTCCTATCTAACCAAAAAAAGGATATAAATAAATAAAATCAAGATGACTATTATGATTAATTTGGGCTCTGTGAGATGGCAGATGAGTTGGTTTTCTTCTGAAATTCGGCATTAGGAATAATTAGGAATAAATACCATTCTGATTTTTATGAATAATGATTCCATTATATAATGGTGTAACATTCTTATATTTTAAGTGAAACCTTTTGCATTTTGATGAAATTAAAATGTTCTTAATTTTGAAACTCTGTTTTGGATATCCAGCTCACTGTTAATGAAGCGGCTGCTCAACTCTGTGTGAAGGATAATGCCCTGCTGACAAGAAGAGATGAGCTTTTTGCCTTGGCTCGACAGATTTCTCGAGAAGTCACCTATAAATATACTTACAGAACCACCAAGTAAGTATTTAACTAATCGTCATTATTTTTGCATTGCTTGAGAGAAGTAGAGTTCGAAACATCATCTATTGATAGAATATAAGCATTTCTGAAAAAGTGGAAGTATGATTATTGTTCTATGAAACTAAACAATGCAGTGATTTTGAAAACATTGCCAAGGTGATTTTTGTTGTTTAATTCTCACTGTTCTCTTTTGAAAGGCATCATTCTCTAGTTACTATAGCATTGTTCTGGTAGTGGTTTTAAACATTCTTCTCTCATACACACACTTTGGTTTTGAGTGTGACGAGGGGATTTAGTCAGACAGCATTTATAGACGTATTTGTACACCCGCTAACTACGTGAACTTGTTGAACTCTGAGGAAATAGAATGGTCCTTTTTGCAAGGTGTTTGAATCTGATGAGATTAGCTGAATATGTAAAACGACTCTATTGACTAGTATCTAAGGGAAAATTGAAAGATACTTCTATTACTAGCACATGGGTTATGGAACACAAGTTTGAAATAAAACGTGATGTTAAAAAGCAATGGTGGTTTCAAAATTTAATGTAAACACAGCATATTTTTCTTCACCCTATCCTTACTTGAGCCATAAGCATTGTCTACAGGATAGGACCATTTGATTTTGTTCACTTGATTCCACACAGACCCCGATTTCCAGCCCGCATTGTGTTGTGCCTGCCACTGTTTCTCTGGATGCAGATGACCACTGCATTAGAGTAACTCTAAGTTTTTGTTGAAAATTCACATTCTGAGCACCCTTTCCAGCCCTAATCAATCACATTCTTTGGGGATGGAACTCTGGAATCTGAACTTTCACAAGCATCCCAGAGCATTCTTGTGCATCCTAAGTTTGAAAACCAGCACTATAGGCATTTGCCATCATTACCATTATTTTTCCTAATTCACAGCAGTTTCATTTTCTGCCCTACGTCAGTACCTACGTATTTATAACTGACAAGTAAAATCATGTAGACTAAGTGAACAGGGTAAGAATATACAGCAACATTCTATGGGATTATTTATAAGGTTTTTTTTTTGGAGTTGGATAATCAAGAGCTGATTCGCTGATTTTTAATTTTCTTCATTGTATTATACACTATTTTCTTTCTGAGTACTTTATTTAAATAATTTTCTTTAATCAAAGTGATACATGTCCACAGTTCAAGAAGTTGTATAACATGTAAGGCTAACAATGAAACTCAACGGTTCCTGTGCTCTGCCTTCCCGCTTCTCAGTTCCATGTTCCAGAGGCAACTGCCTTCACCGATTTTTAGCCATTTCCTCTAGTATTTACCTTCACCTTTCCTTTTTTTTTTTTTTTTTTTTTTTTTGAGACGGAGTCTTGCTCTGTCACCAGGCTGGAGTGCAATAGCTCGATCTTGGTTCACTGCAACCTCCACCTCCTGGGTTCAAGCGATTCTCTTGCCTCAGCCTCCCAAGTAGCTGGGACTACAGGCGTGCACCACCATGCCCAGCTAATTTTTGTATTTTTAGTAGAGACGAGGTTTCACCATGTTGGCCAGGATGGTCTCGATCTCTTGACCTTGTAATCCACCCACCTTGGCCTCCCAAAGTGCTGGGATTACAGGCGTGAGCCACTGTGCCTAGGCTCACCTTTCCTTTAAAGTTAAATGTACCTTAAAATATGTTAACACTTTTACATAATTTAGAAGCCACCTTGGACTCCTAAGGTGCCCTCATTATTTTTTTACGGCTGCATGGTATTGAATTGTGTGGATGTGCTGTGATTCATTTAGCCCCTATTGATGGCTACTGGGGTTGTGTCTAGTCTTTTATTGTAAAACCACAATAAATAACATCATACATAATATGTTTTGTTGATTCTGAGATGTACTTTTTCACATTTTAACAAATCTTTTATATTGAAGTATAACTTGTAGTTGATGGCTTGTCATAGTTTAATTAATTTCATAGTGGTACATGAAATAATTCTGTGTCTTACCATTGATGGAGCATCATTTTATATATATATATGTAGGTACCACTGGGATAGGTTTTCCCAGCAGAGAAATTGCTGGGTCAGGGTAAATACATCTGTAGTTTCTGTAGATAGACAAAATGCATTTTAATCTCATGTAGCCATAAACATACATCTTAAGTGGTCATTTTAGTCATTTTATCCTAAATTATTCCTACTGAACCATAAAGGGATATCCTCCTTGATTTTTTTTTCATTATGTGATGATCATTAAATATTTATTAAGTGCTAGGCTGGGCACAGTGGCTCACGCCTGTAATCCCAGCAATTTGGAAGGCTGAGGTGGGAGGATCACTTGAGCCTAGGAGTTTGTGGCTAGTCTGGGTTGAACATAGTGAGACCCCATCTTTAAAAAAAAAAATTATTGAGTGGCTTTCATACCAAAGCCAGAGGTGGTGAGTTCTTAGGTAGTGGCCTTTTAAAATGTATAATTGTATCTATACCTTCCCCTAGTGTTAACTTGGAAATGATGAAAGATCTTTTCTTCATTATTTTAATGATCATTATGAATATGTCATTTCTGGTGTTGGAGTTTCAGGGTATATGTTTTGGTGGAAGGTTATAGGCTGAGATGCCTTTGGAATAAAATCAGTTACTTTCTCAAGTTTTTTTTTTTTTTTCTCTCCCCTTTCCCTTAGGTCAAAATGTGGAGAAAGAGATGAATTATCCCCAAAGAGAATTAAAGTGGAGGTATGGTCATATGTTACATTTTCTTATGCTGATAATGTTTGCTTTTGTTTTAAGATCAAGCAAAATCTTAACTAGTTCAGACAAAAAAGATGGTCCCATAAACTAGTGAAAAATGGCTTTCAATAAATCTTTTAAAAATATAGAATTTTGTTACCTTGAAATACAATATTTACAGTAATTTGAATTAGCAGACCAAGGAAAATTTTTTTAAACTTTTTTTTCATGTAGAGATGTGGTCTCGCTATGTTGCCCAGGCTGGTCTTGCACTCAAACTCCTGGGCTCAAGTGATCCTCCCTCCTTGGCCTCCCAAAATTCTGGGATTACAGGTGTGAACCACCATGCCTAGTCCCAGGAAATTCTTAAAAGAAAACTGTGGTGACTAGTCCAGTCAATTTATCAAAGGTTGATTTGCAATCGGTGTTTCTTACAGATTTAAAACTTCACGGGTTAAACCATTCCTTTCATAGTTGTATTTACATCATTAGTCATCAAATACAGAGGAGCTAACTTTTCGTTTCTTTATATTAACTATCTAAGGGAAATGATAATTTAGTAGCTATAAATTACAGAGACTTTACTGTAACTAAAGCCTCTTTTAGAGTGTCACGGTTGAGGCTGCTCTTTTGATTTTAGATTTGCAAGTGGTAAGGTGGGAGTTAAGAAAAACATACTTAGGACTCTCCGAACTATAGAATGGTTTCAGAACTATTGTTTCTTACAAATACTTTTTAAAAAGTCTAGTTTGCAGCAGAGTGGAAATCTGGTCAGGTGGCTCCTTCCTTTCTTTTTGTTTTAGGCAGGGGATGGAGGTCAGTGTTCTCTTAGCCATCCTATTATTTAATTTCAAGTTAAAGCAAATAATCTATGCTTGACCACCCTAAATTTCTGTCATCAGTTATATCTACAGAGTATCTATATGGCAGTAATCCTTTATTCATATCAAAGCCAGAGTTATCTTATAAAAACATAAATCCCTTTCTTGCTTAACTCCTTTCAGTGGCTTTCTACTGTACCTGGAATAAAATCTAAACTTTTTTTTTAAAGGATCTAAGACCCCACATGATCTGACTGCAGCTTGCATCTCCTACCTTGTCTGCTGCCACACTCTCCATTCTTACTGTGTTCCAGCCGCACTGACTGACTTTCTGTTCCTGAACATGCCAAACTCATTTATGCCTCAACACTCACTGTTTTCCCCCTACCTAGACTTCTGTTTCTTTAGATGGCTTCAAGTCACAGCCGAGTTTCCCCTGACTTCCCTGCCTCCCTTTCTAAAGGGGCACCCTCTCCCCAAAATCACACTCAGGCTTATTCTCCTGGTTTGTTTTCATAGCATTCGCCAGTATTTGAAACTGTTAGTTACTTGTTTTAAATTTATTATCAGTCTGCCCCATTAGATGAGAATAGGTCTCTTATCTGTGAATCTGCTGCTGTATACTTAGAGTTTGTAACAGCCTTGCACCTAATAGGCACTTAATAAAATCTATAGAATGAAATAATGAATGGCTGCAGATAAGCATCTTTGACTTATAAACACTTTATCTGAAAGCAGTGGTTCTCAAGGAAGAGAAGTATTTTGTCAAAAACAAAAAGCCACATTAAAAAAAGAAATGTGGGCTGGGTATGGTGGCTCACACCTATAATCCCAACACTTCGGGAGGCCAAGACAGAAGGATTGCTTGAGCTCAGGAGGTCGAGACCAGCCTGGGCAACATGGGGAGACCCTGTCTCTACCCCCAAAAAAGTACTTATATTTGTAACCTACCTCACTGTTAGCTCTGGAATAATGTTTAAGATGGTTAACTCAGAAAATGTTGAAATTATCTAAAAGGCTACATTGAAAGATGATATAACTAGTGAGATGTTTTATCTCTTGCTCCCCCAGATAACAGGTAACAGAGGGTCCTTGTGGATTTGGCTGTTAATGACTCACTGCCACTGAAAGGGAAAGGCAGGTGAACATAGAAACTGCTAAGAAGGCATGTGCCATTGGAGGATTGAGAGGAAAGAAAGCACAGAAACTACCCAGGGGCCAAAAAATTAGTTGCTAGGCTAGAAATATGTCTCTATCTATTTCTCACCATTGGCCCTAAGTGTGATCATGATTCAGGCTGCTCACATTTAAGCCACACTTGTCTAGCTTTAGAGGTCACTAAATATTGAAATTTGTGATCATGAATCTCATGGACTGTTTGAGCTGCAGTTGTTTCTTGATGAGTTTTATTGGTAAGTCTTTCTGACCCTCTCAGAGGCCTTGTATTTCATTACAGTGCTTTCAGTTTCTTATTAGAAGCACAAAGTGTTGGGCTGTAACATTAGATATGACCTTTCTGTTCCTTTAAATATACTCCACTAGAGATACTTGAGTTATAGTTCTATACGGTTAGTTTATTGGTTTACTGGAGGTCACAAAGCCACTTGAACAGCTCTGGATTCAAAATTAAGATAATCAGTGTTACTTTTCCCTGTGAATAACTCTTCTAACCCTTCCTAAATAAGACAAGCGACAATCGGCCCCAGGCTTCTTTAAATGCTTTTATAGACACTAGACTTTTGATTTTGTTTCCCAGAAATAAGTAGTAACTACACCTTTGAATTTAGGACAGTGGCTCACTTTTTTGTTGTTGGTTTGTTTTTAATTTTGTTCTGTTCCTCTTTCTTAAAAAGCACTTGTGTATTGCAGGTCATCAGTATCTCTTGAACGTGTGTGTGTCTTGTGTGTATGTATACCTACACATGTAGATGGTGTAATCCTTTGCAAAATATATAGTATTGGTATGAATCCTTGTCTGTGCTGTACTATAAGTCAAATTTGAGATACCAGAACTATTTCCGGAAGCTGTTATGAGGTAGATAGTACTGGCTGTATAAAGTTACCACTCCCTTAAAACTTTTCACCAAGTACTGGTGCTTTATGTCTACCTTCTATATGGCTTCTGGGGAGAGGGAGAATTTCTGGTATGAGAAGAGATCAGGGGAGACTATTGGGAAGGTGTAATTTGAGCTGGGTTTTTAAAAGAAGGGTAGAATTTCAAAAGGTAGCGATGTGGGGAGGGGATTGGGGTGGCATTATAAAGATAGACTAGCATGGGCAAAGACAGAGGTAAGAAAATACTAAGCATGTTCAGAGAACAATAAGTTTGTCTAGGGAATGTGATTGACACAAAGGACCTCATAAATAAAACTAGAAAGAATTTAGAATTCTTTTAACATACTTTTTCTCTTATTTCATTTGAGTCTTTCTCTTGTGATTCTCAGCTTGTTATTTTCTATTTAAAGAAAGTAATATACAAGACTGAGCATGGTGGCTTATGACTGTAATCCCAGCACTTTGTGAGGCTGAGGCAGATGGATTGCTTGAGTCCAGGAGTTTGAGACCAGCCTGGGCAACATGGCAAAACCCCATCCTTACAAAAATTAGCCAGGCATGATGGCATGTGCCTGTAGTCCCAGCTAATCAGGAGGCTGAGGTGGGAGAATCACTGCCCCACTGCACTCCAGCCCGGGCAACAGAGCACAACCTTGTCTCAAACAAAGGAAAAAAAGTTTTTAAGTAACGTACAAATAAACTTAAGCTTAGCCCATTTTATAGTGTAACAGATTTCTAATTACAAGGCCCAAACTAATGAGACAAGTTTTTCTCTTTTTTCAAATCTTTAAGTGTTCTAAAATCCTTTATAACAATAAGCATATGTGCCACATTGCTGGCTTTTTCCATCTTAAAAACATAATTTTTACAGGGAACAAAAAGAAATGTAATGTTGAGCAGATAAAATAAAATAACATCAAAATAATTTGACATGTAAAGGAAAGAGAAACATTTTTTTGCTTGTCATTATTAATGCATTAGGGTACACTAATACAAGTAGTGCTGTGTTCAAGCTCAGTAAGATCTTTCGTTCCTAAATACTGTGTTTTCCTGATCTATACATGAAGGCTTGGGTGGAATGAAGTTATAATTCATTGACTTGTCTGATTTTTCTACCTGGAAAGCTCTTATTTATGTAGTAGGTTGTTCCCCCTTAAAGGATAGTTACTTATTTGATTTAAAAAAAAAATAGCAGTATACACATTGCATAGAAGTAATCAAGATAATCTGTTGTCCTTAAATAGTGTTCCTCCTTACAGGGTATGTTAAACATTAAAAAACAGATTTTGAACTTTAATTCCTAGAATATATGAGATGGACATGGAGAAAAAGATCGCCTGCTAGCTTAGGTGTGCCTTAAGGAACCTACCATTTGGAATGAAATCTCTAGGGAAACGTTTCTTCAGCTAGTTAGTAAGTGAGGTTGGAATCCTTCTGCTTAGACGGAATGAATAACATGTCCACTGGAACACAGCCCTCTGTGAGTCCACTTTCAGCTGAAATGAAAATAGATTTTGTTTATTCTTACTTATCTTTTGAATTAGATCTAATTAAATCTTCTCATTCTGGGGCAATTGTAAAAATCGCTACTTTGTATTGCTTTTATTTTGTGTCAGTCCCTACTAGACATTTGGAATTCATTATCACAAACATTCTTGTCTAACCTATGTGGAGGCTTTATGATTTCCATTTTACAGCCAAGGAGAGACCCAGACAGGCTCAGTATCTTCACCTGTGTTGCCAAACTGCTATCCAGTAGCAGAGCCGGGGCTTCCTATCTATGTCTGATTCCTGAATGTCAAAGCAGTACCACCTTCCTAGGTGCTAATGATTATTCACAAAGCATCTTACCTGTGAAAAAAACACTATTGGGGTTATACCTTTCCTCCTAGTACCGTGTGAAGGGCGAAATGTGTGCAGGACTGGTAGTCTTTGAAAAGGGTGGATGGTGGCAGTTATTATTTTCTAATCCAAGAAATGTTATGTAGTAAACAGTTACAAGTTTTGAGTAGAAAATTTAACAATGTAAATTACAAAATATTTAAATATAAGAAATTTTCATTTGATATGCTGATTGTTTATGAGTAAAAACCTTGTGTTGGGAAGATACACAGAGTAAATCAGAAAAATTAGTTTGATTTCCTTATGTCCTACCTATGAAAGAACATATTTAAGGTGGCTTGACAGCTCATTCAAGGGGATGAAAAATCAAGAGCCAAAGTCCCTGGCTCTCTTGTCTTCTCCTAAATTTTTTTAAATGTTAGTTAAAAGTGAATTCAATTGGTAACCTTTCTTTTTCATTAAGAACACATTCAGTTCCATGAACAAATTTGTTATTAACTCCAATGTTATAAGTAACATCTTAGAAGGGAGGAAGGATATATAAAGCTACAGTCTCAGACCTGGTGATGGCAGCTGACTAACTGGACTGAGTGCTATTTCTCATTTGAGTTTTCTTCATTCGCTGAAATTGCTGGAGACTGGGCAGAGATGGGAAATGACAGCATTCTTGACCCTGTGGGAGTCAGAGGTGCAAAGCATTCAGAGATAAGTGGATGAAAGAAATGAGGTTTGTTAATAGAGCCCAGGAAGTCAGAGAACTGGGGCTTGAAGAAGAAAGACCTAAAGGAAACATCTGCTAGCAGTTCCAGCAAGGTGGGGGTGGGAGAGCAAGGAAGGGGGAGGAAAGAGGTTCAGAATATCCACCTACGCTGCTACTAAGCTTGTTGAAAAGAAAGCTGGTCTAATTTGACGTAGACTCTTCCCCTCTGGATCAGAAAAAACAGAAGCATTACAATATGCTATTCATACAGAAAGTGTGATTAGAAAAAAGGAAAATGCACATGTGGGGTTGAGAACATCTGCTGTAACAAGTCATCTAGAGACAGCTAAGCAGTGGCTTTAAAGCAGCTTGCTAGTGTTCGGCAGAAAGGATGAGGAGGCATGGGGATGGAGACCAATGGGATGAGAGTAATTAGGTCATGCACCAGCCTCCGTCCCATAGCTTTTATTTTCTCAGTGATCAGACCCAGAGTCTCGTCAGCAAGGAAACACTGTGATTAATGGCATCAGCCAAAAATATGACATGGAGATAGATTGCTCATAGTATGGTGCAGCTAGCTGGTGCCTGGGAAACAAGCTTACGAGACATAACGAAATTGTGCACCACACATAATGTGAAAGAGACCAGTTTCTTGGGAATGTTCTTACTTTTATTTCTAAGTCATATATTTTGGGGACCTTAAATCTACTTTATGTGACATGCAGTGATAGCTACTCGATTTTGTAGTTTTTCCATCCACAGTGAACTGTCAAGACTGTAGGAGTAAATAATGACTAATGTGCTCAGTTGCAGAGAGATCACTGATTACTTTGGATAATTGTTATTTATTACTTATTTTAGGCTTTTATTTATCTTTATTAATGGTGGAATAGTGTCCATTTTCTAGCAACTTTCACATGTAGAGTTTGAGGTTCCCCCATCCAGCTTTTTCAGTATTCTCATGGTTGAATAATCCTGACTTTAGTGCCACCAGGTATTTGTATGGCAATGTGTACTTTTCCAAGGTTCACTTATTTGCGTTACTTTATTTAATCCCCACAAACTTCCAGTGGGCAGATACACAGGTGGTGTAATCCTAATTTAAAAATTTGGATCACTGGAAATAATGAGGTTTACTTTTTTGCCTGAGATCACACAGCTGGTTCCTAATGTGAAATGCCTAGATCATACCTTTCTCCTGCAAGTTCTTCCAGAAACAGTATTGAGGCATTGGGGCTCATGGGGATTCTGATTGGTGCACTCCACTCAGATTCTGCTGATGAACTGATAACCCTCTAATCTGGGTCTCCAGCCTTGATTTTACCCCAAGCTCCAAACTCACTGCCCCTGCTTACCTGGCTTATCTACACACGGAGGTCTCACTAGCAAATGAGCTCAACCGAATTCATCAGTGTTCTGGCCCCTCCCAGACCTCGTGATCTTGAGTTCCTTATTCTAGAGAATGTCATAACCAAACTCTCAGTTGCCTTATTTCTGCGGCACCTGCCACTGTCCAGGGCTGGGCCTTCACCAGCAGCCCTCTAACCAGTGTCCCTGTCACCACCCTGAACTCCCCTCCTCCGCGTACATTCTCCCCATCACATTCACATGTGATGGGCTTTCTGAAATGCAAATCCGATCAGTCTCTTCCCTGAGACTTTCAATGGCTTCTCTTTGTATTTAAGATAAGATCTAAAATTCTTAACATAGCTTACAAGGGCTTACAGAATCTGGCCCTGTGTTTCCACCTTCCCTCACCACTCCCTCTTTTTCAGTGTATATTGAATATTTTCCGGCTTCCCAGAGTGTGCCCTGTTCTTTTTGCCTCCAGGCATCTGTACCAGCTGCTTTCTTTTGGAACTCTCAGCCTAGACACCCTGGCCTCTGGGATGCCTGCTCTGCCACAGCGCCCTCTGCTGTGCTCTGGGTCTCCGTCCATTTCCCTCCCTGGACTGTGTTGTCAGGAGCGCCTGAGGCATGGCCATCTTGTTTGACGTTGTATTCCCATATTGAGTACAGTGTATGAATCAGCTGGGTGGATGCGACATTTTTGTTGAATGTATAAACACATGTTTCTAGATTTCCAGTGTTCTTTTCACTGAGATAGTTCCCCACGAATGTGCTTAATATTCTCTGGTTGATTTTAGTATTAAATGTTGAGTTCTTCCTTCTCTAAGATGTCTGTACTTTGTAATTGTCCATAAAATTTCTCTTTTTTCCCCAGTATGATGCTTTACTCTGATTAAATCTGGTGGCTTTTTGGATGAACTTAACAGATATCAGTAACAAACATTTATCAAGTAATTCCTATGGGCCAGGCACTGTGTTAAGTATTTTTCATGAATTTTCTGCTTCCTTAAAATGATTCTGCAAGTTAAGTACTATTGTTATCCCCATTTTATAGATGAGAAAATAGACACAGAGAGATGAAATAATCTACCCAGTATCACAGCAAATAAGTAGTAGAGTTGGGTTTTGAACTCTGCAAGTCATATAGTTAAAGCCCGTCCAGCTTATGAAAAACAGAGCTATAATTTCTGTTTATAGAAATGCCTGTGTTTTTGTGAGTTTCATAAAGGTAGTAACTCTGAATTTATGGACTGAGCATAGGCTTTGAAGCTAGCGTTGTAGCTGTAAAAAAAAGGAAACCCAGTCTTGTCTGTGATGAAGATTAAATGAAATAATGAACATAAAATATAGAACATAGGGACTGGTATATTGTAGACCCCTGGAAAATGATAACCGCTTATATTGAAGTTGTTCTAACTCTTCTACTAGCTTACCTCACTGAACTTGAGAACTTAAGCAGTTCCAGTGGGGTGGGGGTTTGCTAAAGAGAAAGTTGGATTTTTCAGTCTAAATAGAAAACTTATTTATAAGAAAACTGGAATGGCTAAGAAAAAGGGAACTTTGGATTTAGCTTGGACTGTATACACTTATATGAAGTTCATTTTAGCTTATTTTATGATTATGTTCCATACACATCTGTGAGCCAACATGGAAACCTAGAAGAGTGGCTATTTTCAACACTTCAAAAGTGCTAATTACATACTGGCCCATGATAAAGCTACATAGGACCATCTTAAGACGTTAAGTTTATTAGCTCTTGGCTCTATATCATGTCTTTGAATTTTAAAAATAGCAAATTAGTTATTACTTGGGGAATGTATTTTGATAGATAAAATATTTGAAAGAAATCTGCAGTGGAGAAATAATTTATTGAAAAGACCCTGATGGGGGAAAATTTTTGAACCACTATCTTATATCCCAAATAAGGTAAAATATTTTGTTATTATTACATTATTCCATCTTTTTCTGCTGTGTATTGTAAGAACTTTGGTTTTTAAGGATTTGCCCTCTGCTGCAAATATATAGCTTATCAAAGAAGGGGAGAAATAATGTTTTGGAGTTTAATTGTAAATGCTAATTTCTGTGAGGAGTCCTTTAGGAGGTTTCACTAAAGTTACTAAAACCATGCTGTCATGATATTTTGTAGTTATAATGATCATGAGCAATAAACAGTCAAAAAAAGAAAACCTTGAAAAAAGTAGGTGGAATACCAAGTATAAAATGGAAGTAATTTAAGTTGAAGTTTTATCCAGTGCCCCCAGATAGGCCCTATTTATTATGGGAATTTAGTATGTATTGATATACTTACTTATTTAGTAATTATTACATGCTGAAGGCATTATCTCACTTGCTTTATCTCATTTGGTCCTCACAACAATCCTAATAGATAGGTTCTCCTATCCTCAATTTTCCTGTGAGGAAACTGAAGTTCAGAAAGGTTAAGTTACTCATCCGGTGGTCACATAGCTAGTGAGTGGTGACAGGCCTTTCGAATTCCAAAGCTCCATTTCCTGTCATAGGTTATGATAAAGGTGAAATCGCAAGCCAACATGAAGGAATCCTTGAGCAATTCAGGTTGGGATTATCGGTTAGCACTTTAAAGAACATTTAGTTTGGATCGTTAGCCACATTTCATGTAACAAAATTAATTTCAGATAGGTCAGAGGGTTAAATTTAAAAAACAAATCAAACTTTTAGAAAAATTAGAGGGTAGATTTAAGTACTGAACCAAATTTCTGAAGCAGAATTTCTCTAAACTTTATAGCAACAGTTGAAATCACAAAATAAAAGTATGTACAACTATAGCATATAAAACAGGCATATAAAAATTAAATGATTTTTGAGTATCAAAAGTATAGATAAATTGGCATAAATTAAGAAAACAAGAATTCTTAGTGCTGACAAGGAAATTGTCATGTATTGCTTGTGGTATGATAAACTAGTAAAGGCCCTCTATAGGTTTAGCGAAAGTACATAAGGCACAAAAATATCATCTCTGCAGTAATTCTGCTTCTGGGAATCTTTTGTAGTAGATAATCTAAGCTATCGAAAATGCTATCTCCATGAAAATATTTTTGCAGTGTTTTTCATAAAACCAAAAATTAGGAAAAGAATAAAAAATGTCCAATGCGAGGATAGTGGCTAATCAAACCCCCCACTAGGTTAAATGTTTTTTATGTGTTTTGTTTTTGTTTTTGTTTTTTTGAGACAGAATCTCACTTTATCACCCTTTGTCACCCAGGCTGGAGTGCAGTGGTGCAGTCTCGGCTCACTGCAACCTCCGCCTCCTGGGTTCAAGCGATTCTCATGCTTCAGCCTCCCAAGTAGCTGCCCAGCCTCCCTAGTAGCTGTGATTTCTGGCGTGTGCTACCACTCCCAGCTAATTTTTTTTTTTTTTTTTTTTTTTTTTTTAGTAGAGATGGGGCTTTACCATATTGGACAGGCTGGTCTCGAACTCCTGACCTCAGGTGATCTGCCCACCTTGGCCTCCCAAAGTGCTGGGATTACAGGCGTGAGCCACTGCACCCAGCCTAGGTGAAATGTTATATAACCGTTATTATCAATGATCATAAAGCCTTCTTTCCAGTGTAAAACAATAGGAATGATGACATTTTTCATCTTATTTATGTTTCTACTGAGGTTACAGCTGTAGAAAATAATGTATGTTTCATAAAAGGCTGAAATGAAATATTTTATAACCATTAAAATCTTAATCATGATTATTCAGGTAGTGAGATTAAGAGTTTGCTTTATTTTCAAGTTTTTGATAATATTTTATTATTTACAAACTCTAAATATAAAGGACTTCTTATTTGACCCACAGGATGGGTTTCCAGATTTCCAGGATTCTGTGCAAACACTCTTCCAGCAGGCTAGAGCTAAGAGTGAAGAACTTGCAGCTCTTAGTTCACAGGTAACATAAACTCCCAGTTATTACTCCATGATAGTATCTGAAGGTTAAAAAATAAATGACTACTTCAACTAGCTTCAGTTTTAAGTATCTGAGGCCTGACTTTTTATTTCCGTTTGTTTTTTAAAACGTCATCTGAGCCACAGCTGTATCAACATGAGAGCAATAACAACTTGGTTTGATTCAGTTTATGAACGGAATCTGATATGGTGCTACTTATTTATTCTTGTAGTTTTGTAGGAAGTGAGACAGATTCTCTGCTCAAGAAAACTTAAACAGTTTGATAATCAGGAAAACCAGCCATGTTGACCATGGCTGTGTGTAATGCAACTCTGAGATAAAATAATACTAGTTCTCAATAAAATATTAATAGTCAACATTGTAATTATTGTTAAATCTTTTAAATTCATATTTATTGAAAAACTATTAAATGAATATGTGGCTTCAGGTGCTTTTGCCATTAAGTTATTTAATTTTGTCTGTATACTGAAATTAAAATTTTAAAATGCTTTCTGCAAACATCATCTTTTAGAAAGCACTGTAAACTTTTATTCCTATTGAACAGCTTCTTTGTAATAAGTTGCTTTTGATCAAATTTAGTACTGCTAAGTTTTGTTTTTTTCATGTTAGGATGAAAAATACATTTTTTACCTCAGATATGCTTATTTAAATTTTGTCAATTTAGTAACAAGTTCAAATGAAATGAAGTTGTAGTTACTTTTGATTTGGTTTATATGCACTCAGAAAAATAGTGTGTTTATCATGTTTATTCTGTGAATTAATATATTTTACCTACTGATTTTTACATTGTGAATCAGGGCATTTTGTAACCAATTTTATATAGCAGCTTTCTTGTCCTACTCTCTTATATAGCATGGTAGTGATTCATATCTGTGCATTTTGACTATTATCTCCTTGGCAAAATACCACAAATACACTGCTCTGAATATCACATATAAGTAATTTAGAGCAGTGCATTGAAAAGGAACTTATAAAACACATACAGAGATAAATTTATATGTCAGTTGACTAATTGTATATTTAAAATATGCCTTTTTATGATTGGTTGGGAAATACTGCAGTTTCATTTCATGATGAAGGTAAAGATGCTTATTGGCACTGATGTTTTTCTGCATAATTTACATTGTTTAATTTTAGTGGGAAGTGTATTTGTCTTGTTCTTCTAGACAGCCGTTTTACACCTTTTCTCCCCCAAACATATTGTCATCATATCAGAGTCTGTGTACTGCCAGATCCTAAAATAAAAATGCCAAGATTTCGCCCCAAGTGTTAGAAGTAGTTTATAGCAGATGTTGCTGTTGCTTTTAGATTTCTGTTTTAAAAAATCCTTTAAAGGACTTAGTACCTTGGAAAACAAAGCTAAGGTTATGTTGCTTTTGAGCTGACATGGAATTCTCTTGAAAGAATTGAGAAGAAAGCTTTTATCTTTTGTACAATATCCAGCCTTTTATGTTTTAACATGATGATATAGACATCTATGCATATTTATGGAATTTGTATACCACATGAAGTGTGAACTAATTTTAATGAATACTAAATATATTTGCTGGAGTCTGAAATTGGCATCTTTAAACCATTAAAAAATCTAGAATGTTTCAGTTACTGATTTGATTTTTGCTTTACTTACTAGCAGCCTGAAAAGGTGATGGCAAAGCAGATGGAGTTCCTTTGCAACCAAGCTGGCTATGAGAGACTGCAGCATGCCGAGAGGAGGTTGTCTGCAGGGCTTTACAGGCAGAGCTCAGAAGAGCACAGTCCTAACGGCTTGACTTCCGATAACTCAGATGGACAAGGTACATCTTTAGAATATCCTATGCCTTTAGGGCCACTATGTGCACTTCAAAGAGAAACAGAAGACAGTGGCTGATTTTTAAATTATGATATTTTGTAGAGATTATTTTACAGGTTCTCTTATCAAAATTATTTTTTGAATTCTTCATTTTTCTAAAAAGATAATTTATCCTGCAAATTTTAATTTGTAAATTTTTTAATCTTTAAGCAGTTGGCACCTGAGATTGACATGTATTATTTTGTAGGGGTTGGTGGGAATGTGAGATGTCAACAGTACAGATTATTTTCCCCGAAGAAGCAGATTCCGGGAGAGATGTTTATCCTTTTTAAATGACCAAAACTTCATATTTTTTTAGACTTCAAAAACAAGTTTGTGAAATTTACAGCATTTGGTTCTTAAAAGAATATGGTGACTGCATCTAAAGTGTTATGACAGAGTACAGCTCAGGTTTAGAAAGCCATGTGATTCGTGAGTGTTTTTACCATTCTAAAAAGTACTTCATTCTTTTCACATCCTCACATAAAGAAAATCCCAAGTCATTGTTATTCACCCAACCAACAGGCATTTTATTTTTTTAGCAATTCCTATGTGCCAGGCACTCTCCTAGGCACTGAAGATGCAGCAGGGAACAAATCCCTGTTTACCTGGAGCTTACATGTAGTGGAGGGAGATGTACAGGTTATATATCCTCTAGTTTCAAATAGTAATAAGTGTTTGAAGAAAAAAAATAATTTTATAGTGCCTCCTTTTTATATATTATTGTTATACTTTTCTAGAGAGTGGTTATTATTGTAAAAAAATAAAAGGATTCCTAGGTAAGGATACCATCTTAACAAGGATTCTCCAGCCATGGACTGAAATATTACATGTGTCAACACATCAGAGTACTGGAAGAGAAGAAAGTTCTTCCTTTTAAAAATATTACAGGAACCTCTGAGTTGAGGTCTTGTTTAACTTCTCCAATTATCCTTAACAGTTAAGAAGCAAAGGCAATTATTAAAGATTTGGTGACTCTAATTTGTGACACCAGGATAATTCAGTGTGGGGTGACAATTTGCTAATGTGATGGATTTCAGTACATGACAACATGATTGGGTGTATAATTTTTTCCCATATTTGTGCTAAATCTGTTTTTTCACGGATTTTGCTGTAGTTTTTTTTTTTTAATCTTTAATTGGCTTGAAGCCTTCTGTGTCTTTCTAGTACTTGTTATTATATGATTAATGACATGCCTTGGTAAAATGGTTGTTCTAGTAAGAAAATGCCTTATAGAGGAGATGTATTATATGCCAAAACTGGAATGCTCACAGGAATTCTCAGTCTTTTGTTTAGCTCTTAAAAATATCCTGGCAGAATTGTAAACCTTGGGACTGGCATGAAATGACTTGCCATTTTCCTCTTAAATTATTATTTAAAATGTTTTTTCCAAGTCTTATTTAAATTCTTCAGTGCTCGTTGACTCTCCTCACTTTTTTCCTAAGGAGTGTTCAGGCAAAATTTATTTTTAAGAAAAACCATGGTATGTTTTTAATATTATGCATATTTCTTTTTTCTTTTCATTAGGAGAAAGACCTTTGAATCTCCGAATGCCTAATTTACAGAACAGACAACCCCATCATTTTGTGGTGGATGGGGAGCTGAGCAGACTTTACCCCAGTGAGGCAAAGTCCCACTCATCAGGTGAGAACGTGCTATATGATGAGAGGGTAACACTTGAATAAAAGCATCTTTAAATTCTGTTCTATTTCCTCCCCCATCAAAAAAAAAAAAAAAAAAAAAAAAGTCATTACTGACAGTGTTCCTACAGGTTGAGTATCCCTAACTGGAAAATTCGAAATGCTTCAGGATCCAAAATGTTTTGAGTGTCAGAATGACACTCAAAGGAAACCCGCATTAGAACATTTCAGATTTGGGATGCTGAACCTTTGGTGTAATGCAAATAGTCCAAAATCTGAAAAAGCTCAAAATCCATAGCACTTCCTGGTCCCAGGCATTTTGGATAAGGGATGCTCAATTGTCAGTTTTTCTCCCCTTGGAAGTGGTAGATTGCCATAACACTGGCTGCTCTCACTAGTCTTTTTGCAAACTTCATATTCCGAACAATGACAGGGAAAACTCATGAAAGTTGAGATTACTTTGATTAGCCATTATATGAATGGTGATGTTTATATGAAAGTTTAATAATAAATAGCTGGTTTGAGTTGTGTTACTACCTTTTTTGGCAATAACATAATATGAAATTGATGGACTACATGTTTGCTTTGACAGTGAGAAAACCTTGTGTATCAAAATCTAGACTTTTCATGCAGATGTATTTTGGAGGTGATACTCATATTTCAGAAGTAAACTGAATTCCATAAAAGGATGAGCAGCTCCTTATCATAGTTAGATATTTACATATTTTTATCCAAGTAAAGTGAGTTAGACCTAGTTAAAGCATTAGAGACCAGCACAATTTGAAAGAATCTGTTATCATTCAAGTCTTTGAGTTAAAGTAACTTTAGGAGTCACTTAATCAACGTCACTGATTTTATAGATGAGGTAGCTAAAGCCAAATAAATAGCTCCAAATTTGCATTGTAAGTCAGCGGGAAATGTAGTTTTACAAGCATTAGGATT
This sequence comes from Homo sapiens, assembly GCF_000001405.40. NCBI lineage: Eukaryota > Metazoa > Chordata > Mammalia > Primates > Hominidae > Homo > Homo sapiens. The sequence goes on from NC_000002.12 coordinate 190,688,256, forward strand.
AAACCTGACTTTACATCTGTTATCTAGATAGAATGAATTATGTATTTACTAGAAAAAAAGTGTTATCAAGAGCATTTATGTCTTTCAATTTTAGATCATACTCTTGGTAGCAGATGCTAAAAAGACGAGTTCTAAATAATGTTCTGGTACTGTGACTTTAAAGCATGCTATTGCATACTTGATTGTAGCCATTTTAATAATGTCAAAGGGAGGTTGGGAAATTGAAATTATCCTAAAAAGATGACATCCTGGTCTCATGTTTTCCATAACACAAAAAAAGTGATCTTTAAAGTTTTTTCAAAAACGAACAAAAAACGACTTTTTACCAATTTATATTCCTTAGAAGACTCTATGTAACAGGAATACTCCAATTACATTGATCATGTGTCTCATCATGGGGCATATTTACATATTTCATGGAGATATATTACATAGAGATATAATTGATCTAGGTTTTTAGGTAGAACCGAATGAAGAAATGCCTGAAAAAGCGTCTTTCTTTCTCTTTTTCTTTCTTTCTTCCTTTCCTTTCTTTCCTTCCTTTCTTTCCTTTCTTTTCTTTCCTTTCTTTCTTTTCTTTTCTTCCTTTCTTTTCTTTTTTTGAGATGGAGTCTCGCTTTCTCGCCCAGGCTGGAGTGCAGTGGCTCAGTCTCGGCTCACTCCAGCTCCTCCTCCCGGGTTTACGCCATTCTCCTGCCTCAGCCTCCCGAGTAGCTAGGACTACAAGTGCCCGCCACTGCACCTGGCTAATTTTTTGTATTTTTAGTAGAGACGGGGTTTTACCGTGGTCTCAATCTCCTGACCTTGTGATCCGCCCGCCTCGGCCCCACAAAGTGCTGGGATTACAGGTGTGAGCCACTGTGCCCGGCCACCTTATTCTTTATTTTTAACTGAATAGGAATAATACAGGTTTCATACAGTGCAAGCCTGGGTCCAGATCTTAGCACCGATACTTGACTGAGTGACCCTGACTGAGTTACTTAAGTACTCGTCCTTCAGTTGCTTCATTGGTAAAAGAGAAGTAATTTCTACCTCGTAGGGTAGTTAGGAGGATTAAACAAGATAGTGTACCTGCATCGTACACTATCTATTCCAGCCAGCAGGAATTCAATAAATAGTAGCTACTTTTTTTTACTACTCTTACGCGGAACTTAAAATCCCCTTCTGTTTAGATAGAGAGGATTCATAAATTGAGCTATTTAATTTCAGATAAGCTATTAGTATTGATTACTTTCTAGAATCCAAGGTGTGAGTGTATGTGATGTGGATGTTTGCATGTATATGTGTGTGTACATATCTCCCAGTATTTGTACTTTACATAAAGGTTACATTTGATTGTTATTCTGTAGTGTTTGTGTATGGTTGAAATAACTGTACACATAGAACTCCATGGAATGATTTCTCATGAAAATAGTGTTCATTATTTTATCCCTATTTCCCCTACCTTAATATGTCATTGTCGGAAGAACTTTAAAAAATAGTTCCAAGGTTATGAAGATATTTTTCAGTCTGATTCCTTCATTGATGGTAAATATTTTAACCAGTAACAGTTATTTATGAATAATCAGCTTCCTTTTATATATTTATCATGTTGGATCAAGCATTAAATAAAAATTAATATATTCTATATGCTAAATGTTTTATGTGCATTTCATTATTTAACTTTCGTGCCACTTTATGTAGATACTATTCCTATTTTATAAATGAAGACATTAAGGCTTAGAGAGGTGTATAACTTGCCCAGAGATGTATACATCTATACATATATGTATACTATATGTATACATCTAGTAATTGGCAGAGTTGAAATTTAAATCCAGAATCCAAGCTCTTAACAGCTCTATGAACAAAAATTTTGCATGGAATTACAGAATCATGAATAGTTGATACTATTTGATATGGAGTTTGGGGGTTTGTTTTAAAACTTTGTTTGATTTTTGTAGTCCATTGATTAAAATATCAACTCACTTTGTTTCCATTTTTATGTAGAGAGCCTTGGGATTTTAAAAGACTACCCTCATTCAGCTTTTACCTTAGAAAAGAAAGTCATCAAAACAGAGCCTGAAGATTCAAGATAGCTGTGATTTCTCTCACCGTTCTCTGGAAATGGCATCAGATTTAAGGATAATACTCCATCATAGAAATAAGCCTTAATAACCAGTGTTGCCTCATTCAGCTCAAACAGATTTCATAGCCAAAGCAAAAGGACTGGTACGGTAGTCTGTGGAAACCAGGAAGATAAAACAACAGCCACAAAAGAGAAAATCAAGAGTGTTGCAATCTATAACAGTAATATTGATTCATTCACATTCCTGTGTTAAGTCATTTTATATGGAAAGGCTTACAAATCAATATTGTAAGCATTCATTATTTAAGAATGTACAATGTATTTGTGTAATTTATAGAAGTAAAATCTAGATGTTGAGACCTGTTTGGTCTAATAGATGTGGATACAGTTTATTTTACTTGAAATTTTGTTGTCTACTTTGTGTGTTTAACGTAAATATATGTCAGAGTTTAGAATCTGCCTGCAGTTGTGAAAAAGAAAGCTTAAGTGATGCAGTTATTGGCAAGATTGCAATGATTATGGAAAAATAGAAAGCGAATACTCAGTTTAAGCCAAGGAAAATATTGTGGATTTAATATTTGATAAAACTGATTTTGTTTAACAGGAAATTTTTAGCATTCAGTCATATAACATCTGGTTATCAATGCACGTTTACACAATAAATACTTGAGTGGAGGAAAGTTAAAAAGATGAGCAATAGAGTAGAAAATATATCTTAAACTAGTTGACCTAGATTGTATTAATAGCTACTTAAGATGTTTCAAAGATAGGAAGCTATTGCTTGGACAGAGAACTTGAAATAAGTGGACCCATGTATAAAAGCTTTGACTTAAACATTGATATTTCAGAATGTGTTAAATAGATTAAGACACAGTAAGTTAACCCTACATGTTATAAAGATGGCGACTGTTAACAAAGGCTGTAACAGATTAAGTACTATTTTATATCCAGAAAGTCTTCTCTATGTAGAGAAGTCAGAGAGACTAGATGCTTTCACTAGGGAATGTCTTCCCACCCAGCCATCACAAATGTGGACAATCACTGCATCCACATCTGTAGGCATATTTCTATGGAAGTTTAATTGACAGCTATATTCATTATTTATTTTACAATTTCATTTTTCTACACCTTTGAGATTTATGAATGCAGTTTTTTCTTAAAATTTATTTTAACTTGACAGTATGTTTTTAGTTCCCCCAATTTAATTAATGGACCATGTGCATATATATGGGAGTGTGCTTACATGTTAATAATTTACTTGCATACTTATGAGAATTTCACATTGGAATTCATAATGGTAAAACAACATACATCTGCCAATATACGTTTTTTCTGTTGGTTTAAGAGAAGATAACTGACAGCTTTACCTACTTCCTACAGATGCATCTAAACCCAGATATTACTGAGAAGAGTGTATTGACTCTGAGTGTAAGAGAGTATGTGTTTTTTTGTTTTTAGTTCTGCTCTAGATCATAATTGTAAAAAATATTAAGTCATAATCTGTTACACTAAAATTTGTCAGCCAAATGTTAGATGAAATGTCTGCACTGTAGTCTCAGATCACTGTCACGTATATAAATTGCTTCTTCATTTTAATTTGTAGAAGTACTTTACAGTAGGAAACGCCAGTAAACAACTTTTATACTGTTAAAAGGCTTTTTTCCCCTTCCTAAATGTTTTAATTGTACCATAGTGTTTTGCTCACTGAAGAAGCTTCTTATGGACCTTGCAACTTTGTTGCTAGCTTGAGGTTGATTATTGTGGTTGTATTGTTCACTGTGTGTAGAAATAGTATGAGTACGATTTCAATAGACTGTTCAGTTTTTAATATTAGCCATAGCACTGGTTAGTATATCTCAGTAGTTTCATGAAACGTTTCCTGTATTCTAATCTATTTTGAAACATTTTGTTTTTTTTTAATTGTGTCTTACAGTCAAGTTTGTAGATTTTCATAAGCCACAATTTTAAAAGATGCAGTAATCTTCCAACTTCCAATATTTATCCATTCGTTGTGGACCCACAGATTGCATCTTTAAATTCATAATAAGTTTCCTTAACTATCTTATGTTTCTAGTCTTTCAAGCTTAGTGATAAGGTGGAAGCACAAGAAAAATTTCAGTAGAATACAGTTTTTATTTTGTAAACACTAATGTATTAAACTTGCTATACATTAAAGCAAATAATATATATTTTTATTTGAATTGTATATGTGAATTGGAAGTTATAATTAGTTGATTTTTTCATTTTGTTAGAGGTATTTTCACTGAACAAGGTCAATTGGTTACCTCAGTATTACAGCCAATATAGTCCAAGGGACCATTTCTCCCCGAGTCTCTTACACTTTATTGTGCGATGTCCACGTTTTTGTGACTCTTCAAGCTGTTGGTGAGGTGGGACGAATGCACTTGCTTCCTGTGGCAATAAAGATTTTCTGTGCCTCACACATTTATGTTTATAGCATTTTCTACATAGAAGTTTTCCAGTGACTAATATTAACCCACTCTACCTCGCTTATCTGCTTATTTAAGCTGGGTTTCAGTATTAAGGGACAAGAACTTACGTCTTAGGTTGGGACTAAATATTGTCAGCTACCGTCATTTCTAAAAAATGATTTGGTAAACAGGTTCTCAGTAGACTCTTGTCTGGCAGAGAGAGGTCAATTTATATTCTCATTTATGTAGAAGTTTATGAAGACGTTTTTAAAACTTCACCATTTCTAAATATTAATAAAAGGAACATTAGGATTTAACATCTATAATACATATATGTATAATATTAATGTGATTTGGGTTCAGTGTTATGGGTTAATTATATGAAATTGAGCTAACCTGTAGTAAAGAACCAGGAAGAACCTTTCAGCAAGTATTGATGAGTTCTATAGATTAATGAAGATCATCAGTGTGCCAAGCACTGTGCTAGGTGCCAGGGAAGAGGTAAAGGTCACAAACGAAATATATGATCCTTGCCCAAAACCTAGCTGCGTAGGAACTAATACCACTCACATAAAAATTTCAGTGCCTTACATATTGGGATGAGGAGCTGACATTTAAGTGCATTCTGTATTAGGCAGACATTGTGGTAGCAGGCACTTCACAGGTGAGAGAAAGCACATTCAGTGAGTGAGATTCAGAAGAGATCGGTCAGGACTGAAATCAACATTCAGAGGTGGAGTTTGATAAAAAGCCATAGTGGCAGTACATTTCACTTTGAGGCTGCTTTTTTGTTGTTGTTTTTGTTGTTGTTGTTGTTAAATTACTGCAATTTTATTTTGAAACTGCATGGCAGTTAGATCTGCTTGCCTGGGTAATCATTCCTTTGACGATCCACTAAATCTGTCAAAAGGCAGCGGGGAAAGGTGCTTTTCATCTGTCCTTAATTAGTGAAACCACTTGGGTAAAAGCTTTAGGATTTGGTAATTATGAGACTACTAGCACCTAGTGTACCTTTACAACTATAGTTGACACTATTTAAGACTTAAAAGCTAAATAAGTATGCAGGGAATTTCCTAACTTATGGTCTGTCCACTTGGGTCTCAAAATAGTTAAGTATTATTAACACAATGCCCATTTTGCTTGTGACTTAATGTACTACATCAAGTCTTCAAAAGAAAACCAAGGTATTAACCAACCTGATGAAGCCAGAAGGTCTGCCTCTTTTAGGAAATCAATTCAATTAGTAAGTAGCTGAAGTTAGAATTGAACAAACCTTGTATGTTTGTAACAGCTTGAATGACCAAATACAGTAGTTGCTCTTTTACTAAAAGCCACCATATGGTCCAGCTGTGCATGGGTGGTGTTTCAGGGAATGCAAGCTTCTTATCTGTGGGTGTCCTCATAAATGAAATTTGTAAGTAGGCCTCCAAAGTTAATAAGAGAATGATCCAGTGCCTGACATTTTTATTGTAAATACAATTTAATATCAAAAATCTTACTGTTAACTATGTCCATAGTGATCCTGTAAGACAATTTTTTATTTCATGTAGAAGTGATCAAAAGCAAAATGCTGGAGCTAGGATTTTTCTTACTTTCTGAGTATGCAACAGTTAAACCTTTAAAACATCTTTGGGAGGCTGAGGCGGGCAGATCACGAGGTCAGGAGGTCGAGACCATCCTGGCTAACACGGTGAAACCCCATCTCTACTAAAAAAAAAAAAATAGAAAAAAATTAGCCAGGCATGGTGGCGGGCGCCCGTAGTCCCAACTACACGGGAGGGTGAGGCAGGAGAATGGCGTGAAGTCGGGAGGCGGAGCTTGGAGTGAGCCGAGATCATGCCACTGCACTCCAGCCTGGGCGACAGTGCAAAACTCCGTCTCAAAAAAAAAAATCTTTGGCATCTGTTTCTGCTGACCTATGACATTTTTTTTTTTGTGATCACCTCAAAGGTGTTTTTTTTGTGCAGAAAAGCCTAATCAGAAATTTATTTTTTAAGTTCATAATCAACTTATTAGAATGCAAAAATGTATTGTGCTTAAGGTTAAGTTCAGCTTACAAATCTTTACTTTCTAAGTTTAGCAAATCGTAATCACTTTTAAGGGAACTGTGAACTGGTTCTGTTTACAAAGTTGGTTAATTAAGCCTTACTCTTTTATAGTCTTCCCATCTGTTAGGTCACACAATTCTTAAGTGTTAAAACGATGTCCTGTTAAATTCTAGGTCTCCCAGCTGTGTTTGACTATTTGGTCACAATTTCCAAATTGTTATTCTGACTGCTAAGTGATTTACTTTCAAAGTATTGCTCCAATAATGTTAAAGGTCTGGCTTCTACCACTTCATCTTAAAGGAATTTTTAATGAGTTTTTTTTTTTTTTAGCAATTGGGGTAAAACCCTCAAGGAACATCAGACTCACATAAAATAGTAATCTTAGTTCTTATTTCAACATCCATATGAAATCCTTAGTTACCATTATTTTTCCATTTTATTCTTTTAATTTTAAAATATTTGACAAAAAGATATTGAAGTATACAGTGTGATGGTTTTTTATACCAGTACATTGTATACTGATTACCACAATCAAGACACTGAAGTGGGAAATTACCTCTCCTAATTTTTGTTGACTTTATATTTAGTGCACTTTAGTCAATTTAGTTATTAAATATCTTAAGAATAACTTTCAGTAAAATGTTTAAAAAATTTCCTCTGCACAGAGCATTATGCTACATTTATGTAAATCGAGAAACCTACCTAAATACAGTTTTAAGTTTTAGAAGTTTCTATTGAAATGTTTGCTTTATTATACAATTCTATTTAAGTTTTCCATTCTAACTTATTAAAAGAATCAGCTTCTTCAGTCTCTGAGAAGTAGTGATAGTTCAATGTTGACATCAAAACATAATGTTGCAAAATGTAGATTAAGTACATCACATTGGTTCAAGATGGTAGTGCCACACATGTTAAAATCATGAACCCAATAATTTTTCTCACTTACTAAGAGTGACAAATTTTGTGAATTTCCTGTTAGTCCAAACAATTTGGTAATCAACCTAGCCTAGTTTTGCTGTGGGTGAGCACTAGTGATGGTATAAATTAGAATGTGCTTCATATGTACACATTCTGAAACCTTATGAGTCATCTTTGCATTAGAAGTTTGCACCTCATAAATTTGTTCCAAGTGCCATGTTCAACACCCACACATAATCCCAAGCAAGCATGGCCATTCTCTCGTAACTGTCACAGACACCCTATGTTGGCAGGTCACTTAGGCTGCAGTATGTAGGAAGCTAGTTAAGTAGTGCATACGTAGGTGGCATCTTACTGGTAACTGTTTCAGCAGAGACATTTTATAATTTTCTGAGACTACCTATCGTCTTCGACTGTGAACTGTTAAACCAAACGTCTGTGGTCTAGCACCCACCATACCCTGCTATTATCCTTCCCAAAAGACAAAGTGATTTTTTTTGGTAGCATGTTCTTACACTGTAGGCTCTTCAAAGTCTCATTGTTTTCATTATTTTCCCCCAAAAAGTATGTATTTTCCATCCCCAGATCCCTGACAACATAATGTAAGCATGTTTTTCATCAGCAGTTAAAATGAACTAGGTCATTCATTTTCTTTTTGAATTCAACCAATGTCTCCATCATCAGAAAATGCTCATACATTGACTTTTATGAGTTTCTTTTGCATATATTGGCTAACTTTCAAATTGGAGCACATCTTTCTGATTTTTATTGGTGAGAAGGCAACAGAAAAATTTGTATAGTGAGATAGGGACATCGCAGATACAGCCAGGTACTTGATTCCAATTCTTAGGATAATAAAAGGCAATTTCCACTTAAAAAATTAACATTAAAGGGGAAATTAATTAGAGGTTATGTAATTTATTCAAAGAGAGAACAATTTTAATATATTTTAATATTTAAAAGTGAGAGGAGAGGATTCCATTTCTCAAGACTTTTCCATTTCATGTCACAGGTATGTGACAGCTGGCTTATAAGGGAAGTCACTTTTTCTATGATTTCTTATTTAAAAGACAGGATCTAGTTCTGCCTTGCAAAGCAAAAGATTTAAAACTCAGGCTTATATTCTTAATCTGGTAGGTAGTGCCATATAAAAAATCCTCCATTTCCTAGCACTGGGCCAACTACTTTACATGTAATCCTCTGCAACTCCAGGAGGTACTTATCACCCCCATTTTGCAGATGAGAAAACAGACGTCTCAAGAGATAATAGTTATTCCACAACTAGTAGTAGGAACTTAAGCCAGTCACTTGTTCATGAGCACCCGATCCTGTCAAATATCCTTTGAACTGAGTGGCCTGTACTATGTGTAGACATTTTACATGGTAAACACTTTATAGATAAAGCTTGAATACACACATGTGGAAAGAACTAGGCCATATGTGAGTACTGATCAGCTGGTTGTTAGTGGTGTCTAGCCTGCAGCAGAGGCTTCCCAAAGAAAGTAAACATCAAGCCTTTCTGAAGGCAGCTACTGAAGCGGAGAAGTGAAAGGGCATTGCAGGGCTTTGGAATTAGCATGTCTGAAAGGCCCAGGTTGGGAAGCAGAAAAGCTACATTCCAATACCACTGGAAAATGTAATGGACTAAAGCAGAAAATTCAAATAAAAGTTTAATTAGATATAAAACATCTAGAAAAGAGTGCCTACTAAATGAAATCCTTTGAAACTCATACAAAGTTCTCATTCAATCTGGGAAGCAATTAGAAGTTGTTTTGTTTGTTTTTGTTTTTTGAGACAGGGTATTGTTCTCTTGCCCAGGCTCGAGTGCAGTGGTGCAATCTTGGCTTGCTGTAACCTCTGCCTCCTGGGCCCAAGCAATCCTCTCACCTCAGCCTCCTGAATAGCTGGGACTGCAGGTGTGCGCTACCATGCTCAGCTAATATTTTAAGGTTTATAAGCTGTTCCAAGACGCCCCCAAAGGGCTTGATTCTGGCTATGTTATGTGGAGGCAGTGACTAGGAAGCTGTTGCGGTTGTTCACCCTTCAGGTGGTCAAACTTGAGCAGTGACAATAAAGACCAAGGGGAACAAGAGTGAAGGATATGCAATTATTCAATTATTCATTCATTTAGCAAGCATTTGTTAAGCCACCTGCTTAAAAATGCCCAGGCATAGTGTTAGGAACTGCCCTTTAGGGACACAAATTAGCTAGGTTTCAAACCATGGTTTAACTTAATTTGCATCTCCAAATTTCACTCACAAATTATTTATTAATTACAAAGGAGACAAGTCAATTTTACAATAGTGAACTCTAGACTATTCTCCCTTCTTGCGCTAAGTGGAAAATTCTAGAAATAACACCTTTATTTAAAGGTTGCAAGGCTATCTTTATCATTAGTTGTGACCTAATTAATCCGTTTCACAAACCAACAAATTTGGCACTATTATCCTCATCTTATAAAGGAGAAACTGCACCAAGAAATTTAGGAACTCATTGATACCTAGAGAAGAAATCAGTTTGCAGGTGATAAGTATTATTTTTGCTCTGGTTTCTGTCTGTAATGAGAAGGAAAAATCAGATTGTGCATTTTAAAAATATAGGTTTTCTCCAGCTCCTTGATGTGGGCTAGTGTGAGGGCCCTAATAAGACAGTTGTGCAGGGACTGAGGAAGCAGCAGCACAGCAGCATAGCTACTGATGACTTGAGAGAAATTCAAAATTAAATGTAAGTATTATATTTTACCTGTGTCTTAAATTGAGGGTTTTTTGGTTTTGTTTTGTTTTGTTTTGTTTTGTTTTTGCGACAGGGTCTCACTTGTCACCCAGGCTGAAGAGTGCAGTGGTGTAACCATGGCTCATTGTGACCCCAACCTCAACAGCTGGGACTGCAGGTGCTCATGACACCATGTCTGGATAATTTTTTGAATTTTCTTTAGAGATGGAATCTCACTATGTTGCCCAGACTGGCCTTGAACTCCTGGGCTCAAGCAATCCTCCCACCTTGACCTCCCAAAGTGCTGGGATTACAGTTGGGAGCCATTGTGCCTGGCCATTAGGCACAATGGCTCCCAACTGTCTTTTTTAAAGATGGGGAAAATGTTTTTAAAAACTCAAGTTTCCTAAACACAACAAAAAATTATCCTCATTAACATTTTTAGGCACATCTAAGGACAAGGTGACCATAAGAACAAATTAAAATATGATTTTTGAGCCTGAAAGAGTTGTAATCTAAAACAGACAACCATTATCCTGAACAAATACAAAGAATGTAATAAAGCATTATAAACTGCCCACTACCCAGACTCATTCTCTGCTCCCACTCCAGGACATGAATGCATACCGGGAAATCAGTACCACTAGGGGCCACCCGGGAGACTGCCTTCCACAATGAGGGAGACAATGAATTCTATTTGGGACCTGTGGAGTTTGAGAGGCCTTCCGTTTATTTCAGTGGAGCTACTTAGGATTTACTTGGAGACAAAAGTCTGGAGATCAGGAAAGCCTGGAATTCAGGTCAAGACCGGGATCTTAGATTTGATAGTCATTGGAGTCTCCTAATTGGCCGCTGAAGCCACGGGAGTGAATGAGACAACAGGAAAATAAAAGAGGAGATGGGTAAGGCTAGATCTCTGGGAAATATTAACTATATGGGGTAGGTGGAACAACAACAAAAGCCACCAAGGATACCAAGAAAGAGCAGTCAGAGAAATGGGAGGACAACGGAGAGAAAGAAACATCCTAGAAGAACAGGCAGGAAGCCACAGAATAGAGGGTATTGGGAATGTCAAACTAGGTAAGAGTCAAGCAGGGTGAGAACAGGCTGTGGAAGCAGATTATTAAAGAGGCTACAGTTAACTTTAAGAACGTTAAGAGAGTGCTACCAAACAGGGTAATTGGGAAAAATAATTGATGCAATAGTTTAATTTACTAAAGTAAAACACAGCATACTGACAGAAGTAAACAGGAAGAATATGAAAATGAGTAATGGACTCACTATATGGCATCTTTTATTCAAATGTAAGGGTTGCCTGTTCCTCAATAAACACCACATTCCTCCTTTATTCAGAGAAGGTTGGAGAGATTTTCTTACAGCTGTTTGATACATCCAAGCTCACTAGGCACACCACCTTTGCACTGTCTGTACCTAAAAAGGTCAAAGAAGAATCCCATAGAACAACTAATCAGGCAACACCTAAAATTTACAGCACAGCAAATTAATGTAAAAGAAAACATTTTTTATTTTCTTTGTTTTTCCATAAATTTCAGTAAAATGACTTTTTAACTGCAATATATTAATGACTCTTGACCCAGGATACCAGGGTACCCTCATTGACATCTGGCTGTATATACTAGCCCATGTTTCTTTGGTTTAAAACACTTTGCTTATCTTATCACTGCTTATCTGTAGTTGTTATGGCTTCAAAAATATGTAGTGAAAAGCAGGCATGAAGAGAAGTTTTAGAAGGCAACAGTAACAATTCACTAATGATTTTTTAAAAAAGGACTTGAAATATGTTTAAGCCTCTAAAATATATTTATTTTTCTCCTGTTAAGAGCAGCTTTGACTTATGATCAGAACACTTTAATAGCAGTAGTTCAACCTAAACATATTCTTCCTGATCTCACAGAAATGATGAATTTTGATGACATTAATTCCTTGAAAGTAAACTACATCTGCTTCTAGCTTCTCCCATCAAAGAGAGTGAATTTATACACGAGAAATCCTAGAAAACAATATGTGCTCAACCACATATTTGGGGAAGAAAATATCCACTAAAACTCAAATTGGAATTGGAAGTAAAGAGCTATCATATTTTAAAATTTTAGTAGCCTACAATACACTACTCTTGAACTAAGTTGCAAGGTAATTAACTCATAAAGACTCCTGAGTTAAAGAAATTAGACTAATTGTTCCCATCCTTCGTAGTTTGCTACTTTTAGCTTAATAAAAATGGCTTTCAAAATTCACTTCATTCTCTCAAAAACATCTCACAGCATGTCCATTTTGTTTGTTTGACTGCAGATAGGGCACCAGAATGCGAATTCTGCCACATTATCACATGGGCTATGATACACACACAGAAGAATCAAAAAAGCCTGTTCTATTGAAAGAGTGTAGCATGTTGAGGTCACCTGTCCCATTTCCCAAAGCAAATCCAGGCCCAGCTGTTAAGTGACTTGTCAAAGCTCTCACACAGTGAACAAGTGACACAGCCAGAGACCCCAGGTCTCTGTTTCCCTAGTTCAGGTCTCATTTCCCTGCGGCACCCTTCTTCTCTGCTAGGTGAGATTTTTATTACTTAACAAACAACAACAATATAAACACAAAATTTTTACTATTAGTGGTTAGAGATAATTTAGGAAACAGGAGTTTGAGTCCTGGCTCATCCACTATTTATTTGACTGCCATCAAATCATTTTATATCCCCATATCTATAGCTGCATTTTTCTTATCCAGAGAAGAGCACTTTGGAAGTTCAAAGCCATGTGCTACAGATCAAAGGACGGGGAGTCAAAAAACCTTCATTTTACAACTAGTTTTATCTTCAGATGATGAGACCTGTAAGCAAGTCATTCAAGCTTTTTGAGCTTCAGTTTTCTCATTTGTAAGAGGTTATCATAAAAGATGCCCTCCAAATCCTGAGATTGTGGTGAAATCATGGCATACACAAGACATAAAGATGCTATAAAATTGTCACCGCCTTTTTAGGGGGTGCAGATTTTTAGGGGGTACTTTCTCACCTGATTCCATGCATATCCCCAAGAATCCATGAGATGAATCTTATAAACATTTAAGTTATTGCTAATATTTACTGAGGAAAACAAATTCTTGGAGTCAGCAACCTTTGTCTCGCCGTTGAAGAGCATGCTTTGCCTGCTCATTACAATCCCACGTTAAAGAGGCTTTTATTTGAGCACTCAGGAGGCACTGTCGTGCGGCAGAAGAACCCTGGATAATGTTCCGGATGTGTGGATTTCAGTCTTTGCCTTGACCATTGTATTTATGTGTGACTTATCAAATCACATTTTTGCCGTGCCTCAGTTTTCTGTTAAAAAGGGATTGGGCTTTAACTGGTTGTTAACTCCTGTGTCATGTGCCCTGTTGGTTAGCTGATGAAACACATTACTCCTTTCCTTATAACAGTGCATGCACTTAACCTCAACTTTTGCATAAATTTCAGTGGGTCCACAGCCTCACCCAAAACATAATAAAATCGAGGTTAAGAGGCCCTATTTGATCTCTTCTAGCTTTAATCGTCTAGGAAAGCTACAGCCAAACTGTATCTACTTTGGACAAAGATGACATTCCATTTTCAGTTAGCTTTTTCTTCATTAAAGTTCAACCCAACTTCTCCAGTTGTCAGGAGCTTTCTGAAACACTACTAAGCACAGGGTCACTCCACAAATAGCTGACATTTATGAGGGAAAGGATCTGATGGCCTCAATATTATTTAAAATCAGGACTGCTGAATCTGTCATCCCATATATTAAGTGCTGATAATTTTTTGGTTCTCACATTTATGCTTACAACTAATACATAATGCTACCTTTTTTTTTTCTCACTCTGTCGCCCAGGCTGGAGTGCAGCAGCGTGATCTCAGCTCATGGCAACCTCAGCCTCCTAAGCTCAAGCGATTCTCCTGCCTCAGCCTCCCTAGTAGCTGGAATTACAGGTGCACGCCACTACCACCTGGCTAATTTTTGTATTTTTAGTAGAGACGGGGTTTCACCCTGTTGGCCAAGCTGGTCTTGAACTTCTAACCTCAAATGATCCACCTGCCTTGGCCTCCCAAATTGCTGAGATTACAGGCGTGAGCCACTGTGCCTGGCCATATAATACAATTTTGTAAAATGAATTCTAAAGTCTCTGTTCATATTAAAAAGGAAAGTCAATACATCCAGATGCCATTTTCTACTCTGAAGAGATAAATGGAAAGGGAAGAAATTAACTTAAATTGTGTTCTTTTTCTCTCTTTAATGAAACCTGTTTTGGGAATCACGTGAATGAGTGACAGTCACATACTCTATCAATTATGTAATGACTGACCCCTATAGTGAGCTATTGGCAAGACTCTGTGATTGACTGGCATAGAGCCCATTCAAATGAGCTTAAGCACAGGGAAGTTTTCGAGAAGAATATAAGGACATCTTAAGGAACCCCAGGGCAGGAAGTACAGCCCAGCCTCAGGAGGAACTGGAGTCCAAGAAGCTGGGGAATTCAGAAGAAAAGGTGGTCCTCTGCATACCTCTCTGAGAGGCAGAGTGTTTCCTCATCCTCCCTTCCCTTTGCACACTTGCTTTGTCTCTCTCAGACCAGCAATGTCTGCTGCAAGATGCTCATGGCTGCCCAGGCCAGCCCGACAATAACTTTCTATCCAGACCCCAATCAAGACTGACCGGAGTCTCTAAAGCCCAATTCCAAATTATCTGCAGGGAGAATTTGACTGCTCCAGTTTAAGGCAGGAATACGTTTCAGTGAGCTGGGAGAAATTTGGCTGCATCACTGCCTGCTAGCGATTAGTAGGAGCCACGGGAGCAAAATTCCCAAGAAGCAGGCTTGTATTGGTTCCCTAAAAAGAAAGCATCGGGGCAGAGTGAAAATAATAGAGAAGGAAATTACTTTCCTCCCTAGCATGTGGCAGACCTCTAATCAAAGCGAGAGAGTCAATGGCATCAGGAGCGTCACGGCAGCCGGCTAAGCACGGACCTCTGATGCTTGCTCCCGTGGTCCGAACACACAGAGAGGAAGTCTTTACCTGGGGAAGACGCCCATGGCATAGCAACTACCATTTAACAAGAGGGGCAGAGAGAGTCTATGTTGGTCATATCTCTTTCCAGATGGATACCAACATTTGAGACTAATTGCAACCACATTCTGAAAACTTCATTAGGGAAATGTTAACTAGAGGGGCAATAAATAATACCAACTTTTATAACAAAAGTTATAGGACCATTTAACTACTAGTGTTAATCTCTATAACGATTTTTAAAGTTAGTTGGGAAAATGTAGCTTAGCTTTGCAACCATGAAACTGTATTAATTAGCACTGTTCCGGTTGCTAAAAGTATAAACTCGAGTTAGCTTAAGAAAAATTATAAATTTATTTTAAGAATAGAATGATATTTAAGGATATGGAGAAAAAGGACAGCTCTATTTAGACTAAAACTTGGAATTTAAAAAGTGTCAGGAACCCAGACAGTCCTCTTTCCACTGTTTCCTCTGGTTTTGCTTGTTTGTTTGTTTTTGTTTTGTTTTGTTACAGGGTCTCACTCTGTCACTCAGGCTGCAGGGTCGTGGCATGATCTCAGCTCACTGCAGCCTCGACCTCCCCAGCTCAAGGGTTCCTCCCACCTTAGCCTCCCAAGTAGCTGGGACTACAGGTACATGCCACCATGCCCAGAAGATTTTTGTTTATTTTTGTAGAGACAGGGGACTCACCATGTTGCCGAGGCAGGTCTCGAACTCCTGAGCTCAAGCAATCCGCCCACCTCAGCCTTCCAAAGTGCTAGGATTATAGGCGTGAGCCACTATTCCTGGCTTCACCATCTCCTCTGTTTCTCTTTGTGAGTCAGCTTCATGATCATCTCTGCAAACTGGCTTATACCCTCTCCCTAATTTACAAGGTGGAATATGACTGCCAACAATAGTGAGTTTACCCACATAGCAAAGTAATTTCTTAAAATATTAATGTGTGTGTGTGTGTTTCTGTTTTGCATTTCCTTGTGCTCACCCAGAGCCATCCACATTGACTTAAAGAGAGAATTAGAGTGGTTAGCTAGTGCTAGTATGCAAAAATAAAGAAACGGCCAATGCTTTTTTGTTGGTGGTGGTGGGGGGCTGTTACAAAATAGGCTTTTTTTTTTTTTTTTCTGAAATGAAGTCTCGCTCTGTCACCCAGGCTGGAGTGCAGTGGTGCGATCTCAGCTCACTGCGACCTCTGCCTCCCAGGTTCAAGTGATTCTACTGCCTCAGCCTCCTGAGTAGCTGAGACTACCGGCATGGGCCAGCAGGCCTTGCTAATTTTTGTATTTTTAGTAGAGACGGGGTTTCACCAGGCTGGTCTCAAACTCCTGACCTCAAGTGATCCACCCACCTCGGCCTCCTAACGTGCTGGGTTTACAGGCGTGAGCCACTGCACACGGCCAAAACAGACTCTTTTCTAAGAACCTATCAGAAATAATAGCTCTGAAAGCCAAAGCTTTTGATTTGAAGAATGAGGTGGGTTTTGTTGAAAGAAAGAAAGGATTGTGAATTGAGAGGGAAGATCTTGAAGGAAACAAGGTATACAATTTCTGTCCTAACAATAATACATTAGAAAGAAGCTGCAGGAGGACCCTGACTATGACCACCCTCTCCCCAGGGGGTAGGAGAGGTCAGGTCAGTGGAGCCCTGGGGATAAAGGAACAGGATCTTAGGGAAGCCGTATGGATGGAGGCAGAGTTGGCACCCAGAGACTGTGAGTACCTCACTCCCCAGGGCTGGGAGCCACATGGGGGAGCCTAGCCAGACCTACAGATCCAGGAGCACTGTGGAGTGAGCCCACACTGCCCCTGGTGCTTTTTGCCAAGGTGCCACAGTTATCTGGGTTTTGTTGCTTTGTGACCTATACAAGTTCTTCCACAGGCAGCAGCCAGCACATACCCTTGGCCAGCAAAAAAAGGGCTTCCTGGACTCAAGACTTAGCGATCTCCATCTGTTCAGGCCATAGTGGACAAGCAGCCTTTTGAACAGAGCAGGACATTCCTAAGCCTTCCCCAACAGAGGGCGGGCCTCATCCCAGAGCAGGGCTAGTGCTGTGGCGAAAGAGTACCACTGCCTCGTGCTTGGGTACCACTGGACAGCGGCGAATCTGACCTTGTCACTGGGTCTAGCTACATCAATTGCCACTGTCTATCTCCAAGCCTAATTCCAAATTCCCTGAGAAGGGACTCTGATTGACTTATCCTGGGTCAGGTGTCCAGTCCAGTTCAGCCAACTGTGGAAAGTGGAATGGAGATTGATCCACTTTGGGCATGGGAAGAGGGAACTTTAAGGAAGACACTATGAACTGGACAGATACTCCAGTGCACAGTTTCTTTTCTTTTCTTGAGACAGGGTCTCACTCTGTCACCCAGGCTGGAGTACAATGGCACAATCATGGCTCACTGCAGCCTCAACCTCCCAGGCTCAAGTGATCCTCCCACCTCAGCTTCCTGAGTAGCTGGGGCTACAGACGTGCACCATCACGCCCAGCTAATTTTTTATATTTTTTGTAGAGAGAGTGGGTTTTGCCATGTTGCCCAGGCTGGTCTCAAACTACTGGCCTCCAGTGATCCACCCACCTTGGCCTCCCAAAGTGCTGGGATTACAGGCATGAGCCACTGTGCCCAGCCCCAATACAATTTCATATGGAACTCTTTCCACAGTTTTAATCTGTAGTATCAGACCATTGCACGTCTTAGCTTTTAGACTTAGAGTATTCAATCTTTTATAAACTATGATGTAAACTTGGACACAATATTTCTGTGTCCCAGTTTCTTTACTTAAACTATAAAGATACTGGTAAAAGTATCTCTAGGATTTCTTATAACTATTTCAGATTCTGTGATTCTCTTCATTTCACCATATCTGTAGATGATGAAGGAGTTAAAAATATGCCACTCTCACATGTTGACTATTTTGAATTAAAGGCACTTGAAAATCAGCAGGTGCAAGTAGATCATTCTGACTTTGTTTCTGTTTTTAAAAAGTAGGAGATGAAATTCCCACGTGAAAGACACCCTCCCTATATGAGAAGAAAAGGCAACATTCTTATTACCAAGGGTGAGAAGTTGAGACCAAGAGAATTCTGTACAGACCTTGTTAAAATAACTCTTATTTTTTTAAGTCTTCCCAGAACTCTAGTTGCTTCTTCAAAACTTGCTTGGTCCAATCTTTGGCCAATTCAGTATATAAGTAATTGACTCTAATTTCTTCTTGGGTCTTCATTTCATTACAAGGCTCCTGTGCCATGTAACACATCTGTTACATTCATTTGTATGCTTTTCTCCAGTTGATCTGTCTTGTGTGAATTTAATTCTCAGGCCCAGACAAAAAGGAACTTAAGGGGGAGCCTCCCTCCCCTTCATGGCTACAGGCTGATCGTTCGGAGTTCGTGTTGAAAAATCAAATTCTGTTCTAAAATTACCTTTTATACCTGCAAACATGCCACATACCTCCTCACCACACAGCATGCCCCCACCCACCCACACTGTCTCCCACCCCCACCCTGACATAGATTCACATACTGGAAATTGCTTGTCTCTACTGCTCAGGATTAAAGTCTCTGTCTTGAACTTGAGAGGAAAGAGGATGTTTTGTAGGATGGACAGGCTGTAGTAGAGGGAGGAGAGGTTAGAGAGGTTAGACAGGGCAGAATGGAGTCTTTTCTCCAAGTCTAGGCAGGTTTGGGGTCCTCTGTGCAGTGGGGGTTTGGAGCCTGGGGCTGGATGAGTTATTCAGAGAACTTTGTGAGGCTTGAGGACAGGCCAAGTTGATTCAGGAGCTCAGGTGACAGGTGTGGTTGGGAGCACGGCTGTGACACCCCCAGGACCAGCAACCATGGGCATGGGCCCTGCACCCTGGACAAGGACTCTGGAGTTCTTGGAGGCTGGTGGCTACAGCAAGCCTTCTTCTCCCAGCAGCCTTGTGAGGAGCTGATGGGACGAAGCGAAGCTGAAGTAAAAGTAGAAGAAAGGTTACGGTGCATGATGGGCAGTGCTGTTGTGGTGTGGGGACACATTTAGGACTCATTTTGCCCTATAGGACAAGGTCCTGCAGTAACTCAAACAGGGACTAAAAGTGAGTAGATCTTTAAGATCCACAAAACTTTGTATCCAGATATTATGGGCTCAATTGTGTCCCTCTCCAAATTCATATATTGAAATCCTAACTCCAAGGATCTCAGAATGTGACTATATTTGGAGATAGGGTCTTTAAGGAGGTGATCAATTCAAAATGAGGTCATTAGGATGGGCCCCAATCCAATATGACTGATATCCTTAGAAGACAAGACAATTTGGACATAGATACATACAGAGAGAAGGCGATGTGAAGACACAAGAAGACCATCTACAAGCCAAGGAAAGAGACCTGGAACAGACCTTTCCCTCACAGCTCTCAGAAATAACCAACACTGCTGATGCCTTGATCTCAGACTTCTGGTCTCTAGAACTGTGAGAAAATAAGTTTCTGTTTAAGTCACCCAATCTGTGGTACTTGGTTTCAGCAGTCTCAGCAAACTAATTCACCAGAACACTGTTTTCTGAAGGAACTTTCTAGATCTCTGTACTTTATGGATTTCCTAATATCAGGGACTAAAAGATTCACTGAGTTACAAATGTAGTTTCTTACGGACAGAGAGAAGACACTGGTTTTATCCATGTAAAGCAACAGAACAGAAGAAAAAGCTCCACCTTCAGCTCAGCTGGTGACCAGTGGCCTCATAGGTAGTGCGTTGGCCACATTTTCATGTGATTTCCTAACAAAGTTCTCTGAAACATACCAACTAACTGTTTAATTGTTGAGGATTTCCCACAAAAGAAATTATTTTAAACTCAGAGCTGGTTTAAAAGGTAAGTAGTTTCTTTACTCTGGTGGGACCCCAGTCTTTAAGAATTCATATGGACACACCATAACAAATTGAGAATATTGTGCTAGTTAATGAATTCCTTGCATAATGGGAAAAATGTTAGCTGTCCTGCTCCTTTGTGTTCTTGAGAAGAAATACCAAACAAAAATCTCTGAAGAGTATCTTTCAACATACACATGCATGTTGCACACTGCAACTATCAGTTGGGTCTCAATCATGATATATTAGTCCATTTTCACGCTGCTAATAAAGACATTCCCAAGACTGAGCAATTTACAAAAGAAATCAGTTTTATGGGCTTACAGTTCCACGTGGCTGGGGAGTCCTCACAATCATGGCAGAAGGCAAGGAGAAGCAAGTCACATCTTACATGGATGGTGGCAGGCAAAGAGAGAGAGCTTGTGCAGGGAAACTCCCATTTTTAAAGCCATCAATCTCATGAGACTTATTCACTATCAGAGAACAGCATGGGAAAGACCCATCCCCATGATTCAATTATCTCCCACTGAGTCCCTCCCACAACACCTGGGAATTATGGGAGCTACAACATGAGGTTTGGGTTGGGGCACAGAGCCAAACCATATCATGTGAGATCAGCTGATAGTCTTCTGAGGTCTCAGTCAGCTACTATTATGACACTGTGCCACATACACAAAACAAGTAATTTGTTTCAGTCTAAAATTTAAACCTGTAATAGAACTCCCAAGAAGTTTCCTACTAAAAAAAAAAAAAAAGAGAAGGAAAAAATCTATAGAAAAATTAGATAATTTTTGCCGTTTTTTTTTTTTTAGTTTTGACATTGGGCTACAGGAGTAAAGCACTAAATGAATGCGTTTTTTCCTGTTTCTCCAAAAGTTTCCTTTACAGGCCAGGCATGGTGGCCCATACCTGCAATCTCAGTGCTTTGGGAGGCTGAGGTGGAAAAACTGATTGAGTCCAACAGTTCAAGACCAGCCTTGGCAACATGACAAAATCCTGTCTCTACAAAATAAAAATAAAAATCAGCTGGTTGTGGTGGCAGGTGCCTGTAGTCTCAGTTATTTGGGAGGATCACTTGAGCCCAGGAGTTAAATGCTGCAGTGAGCCGTGATTGTGCCACTGTACTCCAGCTTGGGTGACAGAGCAAGGCTCTGTCTAAATAACAAGTTTCCTATACAAAATAGGTTTTATTTCCTGATTATGATATAGAAAAATCAAATAAAGCAGTGTTGGATATCTGTTGGGACAAATAATTACTTTTATGACTGTGTAACTGAAAGCTGATTGAAATTGGAAATGTTCTTTTCTAAATGAAGTAAATGCCACAGATTCAGTGAAACAAAATTTGATTGATATTATTGACATGAGTGACGGAAAAACTGAAATGTGAAAATCTTATGCTACAGTTCAAATAATAAATCAACTCTTTTGAACATAAAAAAGTATACAACTTTTGTTAATAAAAATTCATTTTTCCCTCTAAACATATGAAAGAGTATTTAAGTAATATTGGCTTGAATGGATGATATATAGCTTGGTTGGGCTCCACTTACATTATCTTCCCTATCTAGTTGGAAGAATTTTGTAATTAAGAAAAAGTTTCATTCTTTCCTTTTTCCTGCTTCAATGGTCTGATTCAAAAATTGTAAGCTTATCAACTTTCATAAAATGAGCTGTTCCCACCAACATATGTTTAGGGTAAACTTGAGGGAGGAGACGATAGAAACACCAACTACTCTTACTCCTAAATGGTGCCAAGATTTTTGTCTTCACTCAGACTTGAACCCTGAGTCATCTTTGAAACTTATCTTTCTCTTCATGCTTAGTCAGATATGAAGGCCTGCTAATTCTTCATTTGTATTTTCACACACACACACACACACACACACACACACACTCCTATTTCTTTCTAGTCCCATCATCATTCCTTAGTTCAGTCCCTTTCATCTCATGCATTTTCAACCTCTCTTTTTTTCTATTTTCCACTCCATTCTGTATATTGTTTCTAGAAAATTTTCTCTCAACACTACTTTTCTCTGCCAAAGAAAAACAAAACACAATACAACAAGCAATGTCAACAACTCTCTACTGCTAATAGAACACAATTCAAATTCCCTAGGCCAGCATTTTTTTCAGGCTAAGTCAGTTCCACTGAGTTTTCTCTCTATCCAGATTCCAGAGCCCCTGGCTCACCGGAAAAACAAAGTATATGCTTTGGCTCAGAGCATCCCCCATCCGGCACTTCAAACCTTCTGTCCTATTCTGCCTCATCCCTAAATTTCTTTTCTTTTCTTTTCTTTTTTTGAGACGGAGTCTTGCTCTGTCGCCCAGGCTAGAGTGCAGTGGCGTGATCTCGGCTCACCGCAACCTCCGCCTCCCGGGTTCAAGAGATTCTCCTGCCTCAGCCTCCTGAGTAGCTTGGATTACAGGTGCCCGCCACCGTGCCCAGCTAAGTTTTGTATTTTTAGTAGAGACAGGGTTTCACCATCTTGGCCAGGCTGGTCTTGAACTCCTGACCTCAGGTGATTCACCCACCTGCGCCTCCCAAAGTGCTGGGATTACAAGTGTGAGCCACTATGCCCAGCCGCCTCATCCCTAGATTTCTTATTTCCTGGCCCCTTCAGATTGAGAGTGATTTTGGGCACCTGCTTGGCTTCTAAAAAGGTACCTTTGGAATCCAGCTTCATACAGTGCAGACTGTGACATCCCCTGACAAACTTAACACAGCAGAGGAACAATGCTCTGGCACTAGCAGGCTGGAAAGGGGGATCAGACAGTCTGCAGTGCTCTCTTCAGTATGGCCTCCCATAGATATTTTTTGCTTTCTCTCATTACACAAATGATTTATTTCAGCAAATAGTCTAACTGTGGTACCCTAAATCGGAATCCCTAGTCCTCCTCACCAGAGAATGACGAGGCCCCTCCTGTTAAATTGTTCAGGCTGTTCTTTGCTGACATGGCACAATCAAGGACTCCAGCGTGGCCATCTCTATGGCTCATCATGTTCCCTGCTTCTGTGGGCCATGAGTCTCCTCATTACTGCCATTACCAGGTAGGACCCTTCTGGTAACCCACTTGGGGGCAAAGTTCCCTCCAGTTCTGTCTCTGCCCAACCTTTTGGCCTGTCAGTCTCCACTTGGCCAAACGAAATGGAGCCTCAGTGACTGTGGGAACTCTTGTGTTTTTGTTGCTTTTTCCCAAGGGAGGGTCAGATCTCAGGATCTGTCCTCAAGGCAGTGTGAGAAGTGCTGGCTGTGGCTCTATCCACATTCCTTTGTTCCACCTGAGGAGAGGTCCTTCCTGACCTGGGCTTTAAAAGGAAAATGCCTTCTGGAGATCCATCCTTCCATGCTTTCTTCCCTCCATCTCTCTGCACTGCCATTAAAGGCCCCATCCTGTAACTGGGGAAATTCCTTCCACGTAAGGAAGAGGAAGCTCTGTCCAGAGAAACCTTTTTTGAGTCTTGAAAGCTTGAGGTCCTCAGGCTTTGACAAATTGTTCTCTGGGGCACTGCTATTTATTCAGTCAGCTCTGGAAGGGAGGGATGGGCTCCAGGCCCCTGAATGAGGATGAAAGTGGCTGTTCAGTCTCCCCACCATGACAGCTACAGTTGATTTCCTCACTGGTTACCTAACAAGTTCTCACCTTTTTGCCTAAGAGAACACCGTCTAAACTCACATCTAAAAAAGGTTATTTCTTTGGTTAACTTGGCTTTTCTCTTACCCTTTTGAGAAAAATGGAACTCACTGTTTGTTGTGTCAAAAAGCACTTGTTTCTTTATTTTTTATTTTTATTTCTTTTTAGAGATAGGGTCTTGCTCTGCTGCTGAGGCTGGAATGCAGTGGCATGATGATAGCTCACTGCGGCCTCAAACTCCTGGGCTCAAGCAATCCCCCTGGCTTTGCCTCCTAACTAGCTGGGACTACAGGTGTGAGCTACCAAAACCAGCTACTTAATTTTATTATTATTATTTTTTTAAGAAACAGGCTCTCTCTATGGTTGCCCAGGCTGGTCTTGAACTCCTGGGTTCAAGCAATCCTCCCGCCTTGGCCTCCCAATGTGCTGGGATTATAGGCATGAGCCACCGCACCCAGTTGAACTTGTTTCTTTAATAGGTTACCACACCAGCTGTCCGAGAGGGGTGGCTCAGGCTTCCATCAGCTTTAAATTCCAAGTTTCCCTTTTATAGGGTTAGAACAATGAGACGGATATTCTAGTTCATCCCACCTCTCAGTATTGTGCTCAGATAGCAATTACTAACTTTTCCTTCACAACTTATATGCAGAAGATACCTGTGAACCTTATGGTACACACACAAAGAAATGAGATAATCTGAATTTCAGAAGTATGCAAGCTAACGAGCAAGGTAAGTATGTCAGCAACTAGTCATGAAGTACAAAATGAAATAACTAAGAGGTTGCAAATGAGGATGGAGGAGAGTTGATTTTGATTGGGGACGGGTGACTTTGATCAGAAAAGGTTTCTTGAATGTGATGCCATTTAATATCCTTCAGTGTGAGTAGGGTTTTGATTGGGGACAATGACATTAGGGTCAGATGAAATTACATAAGAAAGGCCTAGAGTGTTGGAGAATATGGCACTGTTGGGGAAACAGTATGGGTAAAGAATCTTGCTAGGAATTTAAGAACAAAAATGCATTCCAGTTTTTGAGCAGAATAATATTCTCACCTAAATTTTGGTTGAGAAATACAACTCTAGTATCAGTGAGAAGACCAGATTGGAAAGGTGTACATATCAAATGCTTCTTGACAGGGCTGCTGAGCTTTGCTTGGACATACCAAATTTCCATAAGGCCACCTGCAGCAAGTAGAAATTCAACCCTACTTTTCTTATGCCTTGGGGAGTCTTCTTCTTTGTTGCTTGAGGCCTTGGGTCTCCACATCAGTGCCATTAGCTGATCTCAACTACTCCCAGCAATCCACAGAGGGGGCAAAATCTCTCTGTTTTGTATTACACTAGAAATACCCTTGGAAATACATAGTAGAAACATAGGTAGCTGTTTACAGACCAAAAGGAAAAATCAGTAAAGCAAATGTACAATATGCTAATATCACTTTAATATTTAACTTTTCTATTTATGATGGTTATTATATATGTTTGAAGATCCATAAAATTGATTTTCTACCCACTAGGGAATAAATGGGCTATTTAAAACCATAGGCCCACAAACAATCCCCTGAGGTGCATGAGAGCACATTTCCCTTCTGATAATCACCCACAATTAGAGCAGACTCTTTCAGATACATAAATTAAAGCAATAAAATGAGATAACTATAAATAGCCTTGCTGTTCACACTGAAGGAATTGAGCTGTAAACCACAAATCCTCACCCAAAATAACTTGGTTCTCTAGTTGCAAGCACTGATAAGAATAGGTTATGGAATCACCAGATGGGAAGAAATTCTAGTCTAGTGCAAATCTTTTCTTCTAAACTAGATTGGATCAAACCTCCTAGAGGGACAAGAATCTGTCTTGTTCTAATCATTCAGATCAATGAGTAATTTGCAGATTAGTCTGAAAAGAATTGAGAATGCTGGTGAGCGTTCTTTACAGGTCACACCTACACAGTATCCCTCCCCTAAAAGGTGAGAATCGGGCAAAGACTGGCAGATTTCAGGGGCTGTGGCGAGTGCTCAGGGACAGATCTCTTCTCATCCCTGGTTAGGATGCTTGAGGCTAGGTGGAGTACCTGAGACTGTTTCCTGGAGATGCTTCTGAGGTGCTAAGTCTGAAATCAGGATGCCTAACCAGGGGCTTGAGGGGAGACTGAGGCTCAAGATAGGGAACCAAAATAGGATGAACAGTCAAAATCAGAGGCTCTGAAGGGCTTGGGAGGATGGGCTGCATCCTCTTAAAAGATTAGAATGAGGTGAACCACACTTTCATTTATTGGCATTAAGTACAGACAATTCTTCCTCAAAACAAGTTTTCTTAACATGAATTGCTTGAAAGACAATTGGCTAATTAGGGAGCATGTTTTGCATAACACAGATATCTTTGATCATAACAATTCCAATCAAGAACTACACCAAAATAAGAAAAATGAAAAAGCTGTGGCTAGCACAGTCTGGGAATACATCACTGCTTTGCTGTGTGGCTGGCTGCTCATTTAACTCTGATTGCTTTTGTTTATCTCTTCCTTATACCAATTTTGCGTTTTGTCTATAATAACAATGAAGGTGATAGAATTGTGTTAGAGACCCTCCAGATCCTAACCGCATCACCCATGGAAACAATTACGTTTATAATAAATTTTTTGGTAATGTGAGCTGTCCAGAGAGTACAATTATTGCACTATGGCAGAATAGGCATTTCATGTACATTTCTTGGCTTTAAATTTAGTACTACTCATTTCAAAATTACAGAAAATGACAAAAAGTGTGCTTGGAAAGATACACCCTCAAGGAATTTATAATCCAGTTTAGATGAGACCTGCTCATTTCTCTAGCCATTCAATGAACCACACTTTTCTCAAGAAGCTAAAATTTTTAATCAAGTAAAATGTAGGGCAGTTATTGTGTGTTTAGTGAATGAACTGGGTGAGTCCAAAATAGAAGACAAGAAACAGTCACCAGTCACATCACATTCAAACATGAGTTATCACAGATCATGTTGTCCCTATATCTCTCTGTTTTGAGGGCCCCTTTATAAGAATGGTGTAAAAATAGGATCTGAGTTACTAAGGAGGACACTTTTCATATTCCCCTCTTGGATATTATTACAGCCATTTTCCCTGAGTGTTTAACGTTTCATTTTCAAGGCCTCTTCTAATTGGCTAATAGTGCCTGCCTGGAGCACTGGGTTGAGTAGGATGCCAAAGCCATGACTTGGCTCAGAACAATCCAGTGCCTGATTGATTAGTACTGTCTAGCATGATTGTGGGAAGGAAGTATGTAGGTGCGGACACTGAGAATTGGCCTTCTTGGGTTTTAGAATTTTTATATATATACATACGGAATCTCACTCTGTTGCCTAGGCTGATGTGATCTCGGCTCACTACAACCTCCGCCTCCTGGCTTCAAGCAATTCTTGTGCCTCATCCTCCCAAGAAGCTGGGATTACAGGCACCTGCCACCATGCCCAGCTAATTTCTGTATTTTTAGTAGAGACGGTTTTCACCATATTGGCCAGGCTGGTCTTGAACTCCTGACCTCAGGTGATCCACCCAACTCGGCCTCCCAAAGTGCTGGGATTACAGGGATTACAGGCTACCACACCCAGCCAACGTGTTTGTTTTATAACTAATGAGGACATTCAGGGAGACCCTTCCAGAAAGGCAGAGGCCAGGGGGAAGGTTGCCTAAAAGGATGGCCAAAGAGAGTCTGAGAGAGTGAACAAAGCTGGTGGCTGGAGTCAGGAAGAACTTGATTATTCCATGGTCTCAGAGTAAGCCACTCACTACTGCCCTGAAAATTAA
Organism: Homo sapiens; assembly: GCF_000001405.40. Classification (NCBI taxonomy): domain Eukaryota; kingdom Metazoa; phylum Chordata; class Mammalia; order Primates; family Hominidae; genus Homo; species Homo sapiens. The sequence continues at coordinate 190,715,748 of NC_000002.12, forward strand.
TGGAGAACTAGAATTTCTCTCCACCCAGAGACTAGGAGGCATTTCAAGAGGGGGCTGAAGTAGAATATGCTTGAGGTCCACTGTGGAAATTAGGTGAGACTACACAAGCTTTCAGAATAGACCCTCATCAGGAGTGTGTGGTGGGATGAGACAAGCTGAATTTCATTTAAAGCTGTATCTCAGATATGCTGGCTGCATCTTAGATTCACTTGGGGAGCTTCACAAACCTATATCTGCCTGGGGGGCTATCCTAGACAAATTAAATTATTATCTTTTGGGGGCGAGCCCAGGCATCTTATTTAAAAAAAAGATTGTGGGCCACTGGCCTAGAGAAGGAAGAGCCAGTATGGTGGTATTCCCAGTTAATGAGTAGGCTCAGCAAACTCATTCTGGAAAAGAAGGATCAGAAATGAATCATGGTGAAAACATTTGAGAAGCCCTCCATGCTCACCTCCAAATAGTAGTCCACTGACCTCCATCTTGGGCTCCATCTGAAAGCTTGGAGGCCTGAAAGGAGGATTTCATTCAAGGTCTTCGCCACCAAGTCTGAGCTGAATAGAGAGAGTAGGAAGAAAATAGGAGCTGAAGGTAGGACAGGGAGAAGGGAAAAGGAAACATGAGGAAATAGCAAGAGCTATGGAAAGGCAAGGGCTCTCTCTGTCTTTAAAGGTGTTTGTAAAATATTGCTTAGGGTCTGGAAGCATGAGAAAATCAGATGAAGGAGATAGGGGTGCTTAACTGGGGAAAAGAAACCATAGGGACAGTAACTGTCTTCCAATATTTGAATGGAAAGCCAGAATGACCTAATCTCCTAATAATGCCAGCCACATGCCAGATTCTAGAGCAAACAATATCCAAAACTCTTGGCAGGTAGAACACATTAGACTTCTTTAGTGTTACTCTAGAGACAGAATTAGGACTGGGATGTTTAAAGTTCCAAGGGTGCAGAATTCAGCTCAACCACAAGAGGAAATTTCTATGAGAGACAGTTGAGAGGGGTGGAAGGTCTTTACAGTCCAATACACTGGGTCTAAGTCCTGGGCCTACCACTATTAACTGTGCGATTGAGAAATGTACTTGAACTATCCGAGTTGCTATTTCCTAACCAACAAAATTAGGGCAAAAAATAAGGTTTTGAGGCTTACATAGAGATTCTGTGTATAAAGGCCCTACTACAATGTCTAGGGTTTCATAGTGACAACACAACACTGGTAGGCATTTTTCTTTTTTTTTTTTTTTTTTTGAGATGGAGTCTCGCTCTGTCGCCCAGGCTGGAGTGCAGTGGCGGGATCTCGGCTCACTGCAAGCTCCGCCTCCCGGGTTCACGCCATTCTCCTGCCTCAGCCTCCCAAGTAGCTGGGACTACAGGCGCCCGCCACTACGCCCGGCTAATTTTTTGTATTTTTAGTAGAGACGGGGTTTCGCCGTTTTAGCCGGGATGGTCTCGATCTCCTGACCTCGTGATCCTCCCGCCTCGGCCTCCCAAAGTGCTGGGATTACAGGCGTGAGCCACCGCGCCCGGCCGGCATTTTTCTTGTTGCTCTGGAATTGACAACTGGAATCCAAAGCTGAGGCAAAGAAGTGTCAAGGAGCAAACAATTAAGAAAAGTAAATGAATGGGGATCAGGAATCCCTTTCAGGGCTGGTTAAGAAGTGGCTGAACTTCCTCTGCTTCCCTAATCTTCATCTCTACCACCTGCTTCCAGTCCATATAAACAGATCGGGGCAAGAGGAGAGACTGTTGGTGAGTCATCTGCTTCCTTGGGGGGGCTGCAGAGTGAGGAGGTGCTTTTCCTGCTCCCTCCTCACTCACCAATTTGATGTCTGCTTATACGTAGACGGCCTGGCCCACCTCTGTCCAATGTGACAAGTAGAAAAGAGAATTGGAAGGAGGCAGAGAGAAAGGGTAGAGTGCTGCAGCTCCCATGCCTACCATTTAGCATTTGGTGATGGAAGTGTGATTTCACAGATCAAAGGAACGCATAGAAAGCAGCCAGCCTTGAGCCTGTCTCACCCATATCCCACCCAAGAGAACTGGCTGCCAGGAAAGTGGACCCTGGTAACAACAACAACAATAAAAACCAGTGGGGTGAATCACCAAGGGTAGGAGCAGATGGTAGAGACTGTGAAGTGGGAGGCATCTGTGGGGCTTCTGGAAAATTCACATAAGCATCAGTGAGGAAGCCAGTATTTGGATGTCTGCCACCAGCTGCCAGCCCTGGCCAGGCAGGTGAGAAACACTTGTCTGTCTCTCCTGTTCCTCCTCACTAGTCCACACAGATGGGAGGACTGCACAGAATAGAGGAGGATGCTGCCGGAGCAGGTGTGCTACTCCACACCCTGAGTCCCTCTGGTGGGGGCTGGCCAGGGCTGGCGGAGTGGACATTGGTCATTGCATTGGACCCAGACGGAAGCTTTAAATTGGACTTGCGAAAGGAAAATATCTTGGGCTTCCAAAATCACTAAGGAAAACTCAAGCTGGAAACTGCTTAGGGCAAACGTGTCTCGCATTCTATTCGCAGTCTCCCCTCTGCTCACTGAGATAGATTCATATCTGACTTGCCTCCTTTGGAAAGGCTAATCAGAAATCCAGAAGAATGTAACCGTTTGTGTATCAGCTATCTGTGACCTGGAAGCTCCCTCCCCGCTTCGAGTCTTCCTGCCTTTACTTCAAGTCGTCCTGCCTTTCCAGATGGAACCAATGTACTTCTTACATATGTTGATTGATGTCTCATGTCTCCCTAAAATGTATAAAACCAAGCTGTGCCCCGACCACATTGGGCACATGTCTTCAGGACTTCCTGAGGCTGTGTCATGGGTGCATCCTCAACCTTGGCAAAATAAACTTTCTAAATTAACCGAGCCCTGTCTCAGACCTTCAGCGTTCACAGACTATACCGAATCGGGCTGTTAATCTTTGAAAGTGACTGGAACCCTAGAGATCTAACCAAGATATTGTCAGGGAACTCAGCAGAGAGATCGTGAACATGGCAGAACTGAAGGCAAGTGACTGTAGAAAAATAAATTATTTCACGCCTGTACTTCCTACGAACAAGGATTGTTTAGTAAACTAGATGTGGTAGCCACGATTTTCATGATCAACAGAGTGGCAACAGGCAAGACTGAATGATGGGGCTTTGGGGAATTGCACTGGCGATGAATCACCCTGAGATTATGCAGGTGGGGTTTCCCCTGAAGGGACTGGAACTGCTCACTGCCAGCTGTCCTCAGAAGAGGTCAGTCATGGGGCGGGAAATCAGAATGCTGGGACTAGAGTCAGTCTGACTGGATTTCCCAGGAAAGGTGACTGTTGAGTCCCCAGGGCACTTCCTCCTGGAGGGGGAAGGACCTGTGCCTGGCACTGACTTATTCTCTGTTTTCTGTTTCCTTTCCATTGTCCCTGAACCTTTATTGTGATCTGATCAGTGTCTCAAATATTTTGACTTCTGATGTCCTGAGAGGAATTAAGGGGAAAGGTCCACAACCAACCCCTGAGGCAAAGCAGAGGAGGGTTATGACTTCTGTCCTCAGGCCACAGCAGTGGTGGCAGCCACAGGCACCAGCTGAGAACAGCTTTGCCCCAGAGGGACCAGTTTCTGAATACACATGACAGAGCACCTTGAGAGAGTCTCAAGATTCTTTAGCAGAACAGGGGACACTGGGAGTAGGGGCAGAGGGCACTCATTTTTGTCAATAAAACTAGTGTGAGTCAAACTACGATGGCTTCAGTTACACTATAAATAGAATTATCAAACAAGGGGACAAGCTCCTTGTCCCTACAAGTGCTTAAAAAATAAATATTTTTCTTTTAAGGAGTTTTCTAATGGTGTTCCTATGACATTAATTTATTAAACATTTAACATACTTTGCACTTACTGTATATCAAGCATTGTGCTAGGTTCCTTACATACAATTTCTATTAATAACCTGGTTTTGTAGTTGAGGAAACAGAAGCTTACAAAGTGAAATAAGTTGCCTTAGGTCTTGCAAATAATCAGTAGTAGAGACCCCCAAAGGTGAGCACACTAGAATACACCAGCCTAGTCGGGGAGGATGACCATCATGGAAAACCACTCACTGATGGAGATGTGCACAAATTGTTTTGGGCGCATATGACTTAGTGTTATGGGAAAGGGAAGAATAGAGGGAGTGGTCAGAGAAGGTATCTTTTTTTTTTTTTTTCTTGAGACAGAGTCTTGCTCTGTTGCCCAGGCTGGAGAGCAGTGGTGTTCAATCTTGGCTCACTGCAGCCTCCCCAGGTTCAAGTGATTCTCATGCCTCAGGCTCCTGAGTAGCTGGGATTACAGGTGTGTGCCATCATACCCGGTTAATTTTTGTGTTTTTAGTAGAGACGGGCTTTCACCATGTTGTCCAGGCTAGTCTTGAACTCCTGGCCTCAAGTGATCCTCCCACTTTGGCCTCTGAAGGTGCTGGGATTACAGGTGTGAGCCACTTCCCAGGCCCATTCAAGGCTTTTTAAAAGACGTGTCTCCAAGGCTGAGTCTTAAAGATGTGCAAGCAGTTAAAAGAAGAAGGAGGAAGCCTCCTGGGGGCAGGTGAGAGGAGGCTGACACTCCAGACGAAAGGGCCAGCCAAGTGATTCTCACAGAGATAGATCAATAAATATTAAGTTGAATGACAACATGGGCAAAGTCACCTAATCAAGACACCACATAGCTCTGGGGTGACAGGAGGAGACTCCATGCCTGTCAGGATGAAGTGCAGAGGGCGAGGCCAGGGAATGCCGGTGAGGCTGCAGATAGCACAGGTGGCCGTGCGCCAGAGGGAGAAGAAGCAACTGTGTGGACGGCAGAAATGTCTGGAGGTTGTTTTCTGAGAGTGGATCTTGGAATCTAAGATTTCTGAAGTGGAGCACTTCCAGATGAGAGGATCCATGGAGTGATGGCTGGCAATGCTGCCTGAAATGAACAAGTGCTAAGGGTCATTGGAATTAGAGGAATGTCCCAACATTTTGAGGCTATATAGTTTCCTTTCAACACTAAGAATCTATAATTCTATTAATTACCTGGCTTTTCTTGAAATGAATGGATTTGTAAAATGCTTTGGTGTCATACAAAAACAGGTTGCCTAATTAAAAGTTGCTATTGTACTCAGCTTTTCACAAATACACTGCCAGGGTGTTACAATCAAAGCCTGTGATTTTTATGATAGTGCCAATTAAGCTTTTCAGTTTTGTGATGTGTGGACAGAGTATTTATTTGTGATTCTAATACCCTGTGGACCAGTTCACTGGTTTGCATGCAACTGTCAAGCTCAGAGATGTATCACTTGTAAGAAACAAAGGTCCAGTTAGCTTCGAGGATATAGGTAAGCAGCTTAGTCAGAAGCCTCTGAGAGCCTGCCTTATCAGCCACCAAAGACATTTTCAGTGTTTGTAGAAATCTTGACACACTTGCACTAGTCCCATGCATCCTCTCTTTAGACATCTTCCTGGTGCTTGAGTGTGATATTATTATGTGTGTGTGTGTGTGTGTGTGTATTATTATCCATATATATTGGTTTTCGCCCATAGTTCCTGGCTTCTAACTCCCATAGCCCTCGTTACAATGCTGGGTACTTCTGGCCTCAGATTCAGGCTTCAGAAAATAGAACCTCTGTCTCTGACATTGTATTTTTAGTAGAGACGGGGTTTCACCATGTTGGTCAGGCTGGTCTCGAACTCCTGACCTCGTGATCCACCTGCCTCAGTCTCCCAAAGTGCTGGGATTACAGGTGTGAGCCTCTGCTCCCGGCCTTTCCTGCACTCCTTTCACCTGCTTTTTTCTCAGCCCAAGGAAGGAGTCTTTTCCCTCCTTCCTGTCCTGGAGCTGGCCATAAAGAAATTATGTGACCTATTTTGTCTGAATGTGGGTCACAAGATCCCCATTTCAGATGGGGTCTACGCCATACCCTGGAGGAAGAAATGCTGCACAGAGAGGCCAAGAAGAATCTGAACAGACAGGCATTGCTAAGTTTCCCTTCCCAGCCTATTAGTATTGGATCATACCCCTTTTGTCCAATTACATTTCCACAAGGTTGTCAATCATGCCTCTCCAAATGAAGTCTCCATGAAAGCCCATGGGGACAAAGTTCAGGGGGCTTCCTGAAAGCTGAACACATGGAGGTTCCCTGAGGGTGGCCGCCCAGGGAGAACATGGGAGCTCTGCGCCCCTTCCCCTATGCCTCACCCTATGCATCTCTTCATTTTTATTATTTGTAATATCCTTTATAATAATCAGTAAACGTCAGTGTTTCCCTGATTTCTGTGAGCAGCTCTAGCAAATTAATCAAACCCAAAGAGGGAGTTGTGGGAACCCCAACTTGAAGTTGGTCATCAGAAGTTTCGGAGGCTCAGACTTGTGACCTGTTTCTGAGTGGGAGACAGTCTTGGGTACTGAGCTCTCCACCTGTGAGATACGACGTTATTTCCAGGTAGAGAGTGTCAGAATTGAATTGGAGGATGGTGTCTGCTGTGGGATTGATTGCTTACTTGGTGTATGGGGGTAAAAACCCCCACTCATTTGGTCATAGAAGTCTTCTGTGTTGATGGTTACTATTGAGGGAGAGAATAGAAAAAGCAGTTTGAGGTTTCTTGCCACTCAGAGTGAGACACAGATGAGCAGCAATATAAAAAGGCACATCTGAACATAGTCATGTTAGAGCACATCTGAACACTTAGGTTCTACCTTTGAACAACTTCCACTGTAGAGGTCATGACCTTTTGCCATATTAATCCTATGATTCAGCCCATTGTTCTTTTGTTCAAAAAGAAATGAGGATCCCACATTGTCTAAGACACTTGCTTAAAATGGGCTACCGCCAAATGTAATCAGTACAGCTGAACCTTTTGTCTTCTCCCCCAGCAAGAAGCTAGCATAGAAATACCAAATAGATAATATGACTCAAACTGAAAAGGCAAATTTTGATCATCTGCAAAGGCAACATGACAGACTGGAGACTGTCTTTGACAACTCACTTCAGGACTGTCTTTGTCAATTGTTACCTGCTTCTAGGCAGCTCCAGGAGTTCTGGGGAAAAAAATTGTTCTGGGTTCTACAGAATCTCCATAATTTTTTATATCTTCTGGGTAAAACTCAGAAAGACAGTTCTAAGAGACACAATGCCAACCTAGTTTCAGTCTTGGAGAATCCTGCATTGTGTCCTACGTCTCACCGCCACACTCTTTCCCTCCTGCTGCCTGGGGATGGTCCACTGCTGTCAACTCTATCATTTGAGAAAAATGTTCCCAGCCTTAAAAAAAAAAATCGGCTGCCAGTTTCAACTTGTGGTGAATTCTTATGGTTGAATTACAAAGGGCTAACAGACTGAGGGGGAACATGAGAGGTTTAGAGTGGAAATACTGACTGCTTTCTGGCTTTACCGGTGCTGACAAGCATCTACTCTACTAATCTCACAGATACAAACACGAATCTTGAACTTTTGAGTTTCTTGTGGGCTTCTCGATGAGAAAGACAGCAGAAGTGCTGACTTCACTGGAAATTCCCTGATGAAAAGACCCTTACTGCAGTTTTAAAAATTGGGTCTCCAGGCTCTGATATCGCTCATTGATCATCAAAGTAAGCATTCCCGACTAATGTAACCTACTAAAACGCACAAAGAGAAATAAGCCTTCTCCCTTAACTGCACAACCACTCAGGAGGCAGCACCTGCCGGGGCATAGATGCTTCTCCAATAGTTGTCCGGTGTTTAAGAGGAAGGGTCCAATCCTGACCAGGACACAACAACGGCCTCTACACACATAGCCTGCTATTCCCAAGAGTCTTCTGCCTTTAGACAACATTTCTTGGAAACTTGGAATAAAAAGCCTCCATTATTTTGCTCTTTCAGGAAATGATTCACGGTATTTCCAAAATCAACAGAATCTCTCTCAAACAGCAGAATACTTGAATTCCCAAAGCAGGAATTGCTCTTTGCAGACCTTCATAATCTCCTTGTTCATTAAGTTTATGTCTGTTAGTCTCTCATTTGCTAGTGATTCTGGCACTTCAGTCACAAATAGAACAACACAGAATTTTTTTAAAAAAACTAATTCCTTAAAGTAAAAAAAAAATAGAATTTCCAGTTTCCCTGAAGCACACCCAGGGCCCTGATTCTGTCTTCTAGGAGAGGGATTTGACAGTGACTCAGAGATACGTTTGTAGGGGAGTGGGAAGAACGCTGGAGATTAGATGCCGGAACTCAGCCCTGGATCTGCTGCTTACTGGCAGAGGGTCCCTGTGTTCATCCTGTAACCTCTAAGTCTAAATTTTCTCAATTATAAGAATTCTAGGCCAGGTGAAGTGGTGCCTCTAATCCCAGCACTTTGGGAGGCCAAGGCAGGAGGCTAAGGCAGGAATTTGAGACCAGCCTGGGCAACATAGCGAGACTCCATCTCTAGAAAAAATTTCAAAAACGTAGCTGAGTGTCATGGTGCATGTCTGTAGTCCCAGTTATGTGGGAGGCTGAGGCAGGAGGATGGCTTGAGCACAGGAGCTTGAGGCTGCAGTGAGCTATGACTGTACCACTTCAGCCTGGGTGACAGAGTGAGATTATGTCTCTAAAACAATAAATCTAATATAAATTTTTAAAAAAGAATTTTAACACATACCGTTGGAGTTTCCATGCGATCATAAGACCTAATATTTTTAAAAGAGATGTGAAAACCAAGGTGTCAAACAAAATATCATTGTATGCACAATTACTTGCAAATAGGATAGGATGTTACCTTTACTTGGCAGTGGGGCAGATTCCTTTGTGCTTGGCAAATTTCTCTTGGCCCTGTCCTATTTCCCTTTCTTCCACGTAGGTACTGTTCCTAGGAGCATGCCCATGCTAAGAGTTAGCACGTCTGCCCAGGACTGCCATTCTTTGAAACAGAAGCTTACAAGTTTGGCCCTTGGCTGGCATCTAGGAACGTGGATTTCAGTAGCGTTCATACCATTCCCAGAATTGATAAAAGCAGCTCACTGTGCCTAAACTGTTTGTTAAAACAAAGTGGTTTATGGCAAACACCTGCTTTTCTTATATGAGTCTGGAATTTTGTTACATGCTAGGCCAAGGATACTTACAGGGGCAGCCCTGAATAAAAACCCTGGGCATAGAGTCTCGGCTGAGCTTCCCCGATAGACAGCATTTCATACATGTTGTCACACATGTCCTGGGTGACCCCAGTGGGAAAGAACTCTTGGAAGCTTGTGCTTGATTTCCTCTTGATTTCTTTGCTGTTTCTCTCAAAACCCTTTTGCTATAATAAATTATAGCTGTGAGTACAACTATATGCTGAGTCCTCTGAGTCCTCCTACAGAATCATCTAACTCCCCAACAAACTGCCTGCATGCAAATCTCCATCATCTCAGAAAACCTGACCTAAGTCACTCCCCGCCTCACCTCTTACCCAACACTGTCTTTCTTACAACTCAATTTTAATTAATAGTGCCACCATTCTTCCAGTCCCCCAACCTTAGAATCTTAGACTCAAAACCTTCCCATCCCATTGAGAAATCCTTCCAAATGTGTCTCCATGATGTCTTCTGAATGCATGCTCTCCATTCTCGCCATCTCACTGCCATAATTTAGGCCATTGTGTTTTCCATCTAGACAATTGCATCAGTGCCCCAACTGTTCTTCTCCCAGTTACACTGACACACAATGCGGCCAATTTAATCTTTCTAGTGTAAATCTTGGAAAAAGTGAGTTTCTAGCTTTAAAACCAAAACAAACCCAAAAACTTCAGTTTTTTTCCCCATTGCTTTCTAAATAATGTTAAAGTTAGCAAGGCATTCAAGGGCTCCATAAACTGGCCTCAGCCACTCTGCCTGTCTTTTCCCTTCTACCCATTGTACTATACCTTTTAGCCATATGGAACCTCACACTATTCACCATACAAGCCCTGCATTTTTGCCTCCTTTTTCCTTTATTTATGCTATTTCTTTCTTTTCAAAATGTCCCTTTCCCATCTTCTCTTATCAAGAGTTTATCAGTGCTTTCCATGCCACACTTCTTTTGAGAAATCTTTTCTATAAAAGCTTCCCACTCCATCTCTGGAAGAATTCAAGTCTTGGCCTCCACTCTTCCACAGTAAAAATAGGTTACTGTGTCTCCTATGCCCTTTGAATGTGTGTCTCTAAAAATAATAACAAGGTTTCCCCTCCTTTCTCCATTCAGCTGGAGCAAAAGATTTGTCTAAACAAGAGCTAAAGGAAATTCTTGGGCAAGAGTTTTTCTTCCCATAGGATAGGGAACCAGCTGTAGTTTATAAGCTGTGTACTCTGGATCAGTGGTCTTCAAACGTTCTGAGTTATGTTCCCCTAAAAAAATTGAACATGAGTCTCCAACTTTATGTGTATTTATTTACATATTATATACATGTACATTATACTGGCATTTTAGGTACACTATAGAACACATACATACATGGTAATTTTCAAAGGATGAGATAAAAAATAGATACAGAAAATTCTAATATTTTCATTCCACACCTCAGTGAATCCCCTTATACTGAGGTGTGTGCACTGTTTTGTGGAGAACTCTGCTTCTGACTTTGAAGACCCTGTATCCAGTTTTCCCCCTTTGTGACCTTCCTGTCTCAAAGCAAAAGACTTCTCAGTTATGCTATGAGCAAAACTAGGAAATATTAACGTCTTTGTGGCCAGAGTGCAAAAAGAGGTCATCCTTTTCCAGGGAAAGGTGAATTTCACAAACCGAGCAAGGTCCTTGTGGTTTAATTGCTCCATTCATAGCCAGAGATCGTCCAAAAGGAATCTGAGTCTTATTTTTATTAAAAAGTTGGGATATTCAGACAGTCCCTAAAGACTTTGATTGTTGTTGTTGCTGTTGTTGGGTGGTTATGTGTTTAAATCACACCCTCTGATATGCTCCATGATTAGGAAGACTTTTCAAAGTCTGTTCTGGGCTGTAGGCAGGTTGAGGCAAAATATTTCTCCCCTAAGTAATGACAGATCCAGCTTGATAATGGAGAACTTTAAGTGGAAATGACCTTTAAAAATGTGAAGCTGTCAGCTCACTTCTGCTGTGACAACAGACTCTTGAACAAATCAAGAAGAAAAACAAGGATACAAGAAATATATAAAGGAGGGTGATATAAAAATAACTATAGAAAGGTTTTTGGGAAATATGGTCAAATGCCTATTAATGTCAAGCATAAACTTGAATATATGACATAGGATGAGGCACAGAAAGAAGGCGTATTGCAAATGAACATGTGCACAACTTTGGATTTAATGAAATCTTTGAGTTGAAGTATTAAGGAAAGATAGCCCAGAAAGATGGAAAATTGTTGTCGTACAATAAATTGTTGGGTATTACTCTGGAACCCTTCCCCCACTGACTTTCATGTAATTATATTTATGATTAATATCAATATCTACTTCTGCAGCACAGCTTATCAAACAAGTATTACTGGAAACCACTACATTGAAAGTCATTAAAAACAGATAGATACCATATGACCCCGAAAGGCAAGCTGGGCACCAATTGCCATTTCACACACCCCACACAAATGGAGGTTAAGATGGGCTACAGTTCACATTTTGGCTCTGAGTAGCATGTTTGAAACCCAACCAGTAGCCCGCTGTTAAGAATGGACAGTTTGAGGTTTAAAGTAAAATACACCCTTTTCAGGGGGAAATTTCACTTATTTCAATGAAGGTCAAAGTAAGTGAGAGAGAGAAAGGGCATAAAATTGCTATCTTCTCTCCAGTGGTGCTGGTATTGTCTATGCCTACCTGGGTTCTCCAGGCATAAGTGTTTGCCTCGCACACTGTTCCATTTTCATACGGTTCCCGGGGAGGTAGAGGCAGAGAGGAAGTGGAGAAAAGCCTGTCAAACTCTTAACAATCACTCCAGTTGATAATGTAGCAGATGCAATGCATGGGGGTGCAAGGAAGGCTGCTGGTTTGCAGTGTTCTCACACAGAACAACTTGGTGCACATAAACAAATGTACATCAAGTTGTACAGGTAATTAATTTAGGTCTATTTGCCTTTTCTGCCACTATTTGAAGAATTTAATATAAATTGTAGGATATTTTATCCAATAGTTGACTTTCCTGGAAATGGTACAGATATCTTGGAATGCAATTAGTCAGTTAATACAGAAGGAGTGTCTAAAAAAGAAGCTGTTTTTGTATAGTGAGCACTTTAATCTTTTTTTCTGTTTATCTTAGGTCAAATATGGGATGCAGAAAGCACCTCTCTTATTCAATAGCTGGTGAGCTAAGAAAAGGGACATACGAGGATTTATGAGTTTTCCTCTAGTTCTAGGGAAATAGTAATATTTGATCTTTGTAATTTAGGCTAGGTGTCTGGATAAATGGATTGAGTATGCTGTTCAGATATAATAATTTTTCAATGGGATGCGAAGCTGTTAATAATACCAAGTAAGGAGAGACCAAAGGGAAGTATAGATGGTAACTGAGAGATGAAAATGCAACTAAAATAGATCGACAATAAAGGAATATTTTTTTCTGACACTAAGGTAAATTTTGAAGCAGGAGTTCTCATTCAATCAATCAGGACTTGCCAGTGGCATTTAAAGGCCCGCTCAGTAGATCTGTAAGCCATTTGCTGCTACTGTGTTTTTTTCTTCATCCACTCTATCTTCAGTGCCCTCTCTTCATAATTTACTGGGCTTCTTCTCAGGAAAGAGAGGACCACCTGGAAGTGGCTCCCCTTCACATGCTCCCTGATATGGTTTGGGTCTGTGTCCCTGCCCAAATCTTATGTCAAATTGTAATTCCCAGCGTTGGAAGGGGGGCCCGGTGGGAGGTGATTGGATCGTGGGGCCAGATTTCCCTTTTTGTGCTGTTTTTCTGAATAGTGAGTGAGTTATCACAAGATCTGGTTGTTTAAAAGTATGTAGCACATCTCCCCTCTCTCTCTTCCTTCTGCTCTGGCCATGTGAAGACATGTCTGCTTCCTGTTTGCCTTCCCCATAACTGTAAGTTTCCTGAGGCCTCACCAGCATTGCTTCCTGTACAGCCTGAGGAACTGTGAGCCAATGAAACCTCTTTTCTTTATAAATTACCCAGTCTCAGGTATTTCTTTATAGCAGTGCAAGAATGGACTGATACACTCCCCATGGACCTAGACTGGTTGAACCCAATCTACACATCTCCTTTCCTAGGGGATGTTAGGGTTTTGGGAATAGAAAAATAATTCCTCCTCACATAAAAGTCAATATATTATTCTATATTGAGTCAGGAAATCTGAAACCATGGTAGGTATTTCAAACACAAAGGATTTAATACAGGGAATTGTTTACAAAGGTGTTGGAAGAGCTGAAGGAGCAAAAGGAAGAAAGGGTGATACACATAGAAAGCTCCTGATGTTCCTAGGCTGGCATTCATGAGCCTACTCTTGGTACTGGGGAGTTATGGATGTTGCACTTCAGGGACTGGAACTGTCAAAATTGTCCTTCCGTGGCTCAGGCTGTAATCAAGAAAGAGACTGTGCTGCTGCCTGGGCTGCCAGTGTCTGCAGTTACACTAGCCCCTCTGCTGCTACAGTAGCTCTGGTTGAATTTAGAAATAGAAAGTTTTTCCCTTTTTCCAACTTTCTGATCTTTCCCAATGCCTGCCTGCCATTGACAGATTTGATAGATATGAACAGGAAGCCACTGTCAAGGAGTCTAAGAAAGGGAATCTGCAGACTTCCAGTCCTAAGCAATATAGAGAAAATTATAAATGGTTAAGTATAAAGCTGAGAAACAATAGATACATAATCAACACAGTCAGACATTTGCTCTAAAGCAAAGCTTCCTCAACTTGTTTTTAGGTCATAGCATGTATTTTAATTGGGATAAGCTGGGAGGAATGTGGGGCTTGGTAAAACCATATGTCTTAGTCTATTTGTGCTGCTATAACAAAATACCGGAGACTGGGTAATTTATAAAGAACAGAAATTTATTTCTCACAATTTTGGAGATCAATGTGTCAGCAGGTTCAGTGTCTGGTGAGGGCCTTGTCTGTGCTTCCAAGAGGGCATCTTCCTGCTGCATCCTGCAGAGCAGAGCAATGCTACGTTCTCACATGGTAGAAGGGACCAAAGGGAAGGAGGGTGCTCCTTTCAACCTCAAGCCCTTTTCAAAAAGCGCTAATCCCATTCATGAGGATGGAGCCCTCATGACTTAATCCCATACTGAAGGCCCCACTTCTTAATACTGTTACATCAAGGATTAAGTTTCAACATGAATTTTGGAGAGGACACCATCATTTAAACTACAGCACCATCAACTGCATTTTATTTATAACTATGATGAATGAATATAATACTGAGAGGAAGACATTTGATATAAAATTTGTCTGAAATTTCTAAATAAAATATTTTGAAATTTTAACGATAAATTTCAGCTTGCTCCCATAAACCTAACTTTTTATGTTGTGATTTGTGCTTGGAATGGCTATGTATCATTCTTATGTGTTCTTCAATGAAGAGCTCCTCAAATTCTTCATAGTCACTATGGGTGAGAGATGGTTTACAAGTGGTGGTAGAAAAAGTAAAATCTTTTAAAAATAACACTTTAAAAATTTACTGCCATTTAAATTGTATTTAAAGGTGAACAGCCCTTCTTTTCTTCTTTGACAAACATAATGTTTACATTTCTTGTGATGGATATGATTTTTAAATTCTGTGAAAATTTTCAAATCCAGTCAGTGTGCTTGTATCATATACACATTGTCAGCATAGTTACCCTGCAGCTAGCTTAGGTGTTCCTAAAAGGACCCACTGGCTGCAAACAGATGGACAGATTGAATAAATGTGAAAGTAGAGGTTAAGGGCTAATGCTGGGTCAGAAGCTACAACAGTCAGCAGTCCTCGCTCAGGCTCCCCAGTCCCACTCTCTCTACCCATTGGGCACCCAGAGCACAAACTCCCCCAACAGAACACAGACTCCCTCTTCATGTTGAGTCCCTGTTGGTGTGCTCTAAGTGGCCTGCTGACAGAGGTGCCAGGTAGTAAAGCACCTTCTTGACTGCAATCCTTGCAGCATGGCAGAGTAGGGGTAAAGGATCTTGCTCTGCTTGCCATCTGCAAGTATCTTGGGGCTTACTATCACACCTCATTCCACTAAGGCATCTGTATCTCACAATACAATAACATCCATTTGTGGCACACAAATAGTGAGTGAGTTATCACAAGATCTGGTTGTTTAAAAGTATGTCGCACATCCCCCCTCTCTCTCTTCCTCCTGCTCTGGCCATGTGAAGACATGTCTGCTTCCCGTTTGCTTTGGCCATGATTATAAGTTTCCTGAGGCCTCACCAGCCACCCTTCCTGTACAGCCTGAGGAACTGTGAGCCAATGAAACCTCTTTTCTTTATAAATTACTTTATAAATTTGGGGAGCTCTACCCTCAAAACCAGCAAGAACTATATAATTTTGCCTACTGTGGGTTTCAAATGTTTATTTGAGTCTAGTTCTGCTTAAAACTCCTTTCACAGGCCAGGCACACTGGCCTATGCCTGTAATCCTAGCATTTTGGGAGGCTGGAGCAGGAGAATCACTTGAGGCCAGGAGTTCAAAACCAGCCTGAGCAACTAGCAAGATCCTATTTCTAAAAAAAAAGAAAAAAAACTTGCCAGGTGTGGTGGTGTGTGCCTATAGTTCTAGCTACTCAGGAGGCTGAGGCAGGAGGATCACTTGGGCCCAGAAGTTTGAGGCTGTAGTTTGAGGCAAAAAAGCTAACAAGAAACAAACAAAAAATTTCCCCCAAAACCTCCTTTCACTGATTTGTAAAAGCCTATATTCATTCTCATTATACAGAGATGTGCCTTGACAGAAATTCTGAACAGAATTCTATATCTCTCTAGCAGAACTTTGTATTGCAACTTTGAGTAAGACTGCTGAAAAACTATCCTTTGATCAGTGTGGTCGGCAGCTCTGAGGTGACTCCCAGTGATCCTCATCTCCTGGTATCCGTGCTCCTGTGTGTGGGTTGATCCTAGTGGTTTGGTTCTAATGAATGGAATATGGCACACAGTGATGGGAGGTCACAGTCAATATTAGGCAACAAAAGGACTCTAGCTTCTAACTTGCTTGCCCTTTCTTGGTTTCTCACTGGTTCACTGACTGAAGCCAGTTGTCATGTTATGAATTACCCTATGGTGAGGCCTTCATGGTAAGACACTGAGAGAGGTTTCCAGCCAACAGCCAGAGAAGAACTGCAATCCTTAGGCCAAAAGCTTGGGAGGAACTGAATCCTTCTCCAGTGGAAGCCGGAATGACTGCAGCCCAGTTGACACCTTGATTACAACCTTGTAGGAAACCCTAGTCAAAGAATCTTAGCAAAGCTATACCCAGGTTCCCGACACAGAAGTTGTGAGATAAAGCTTGCTGTTTTAAGTTGCCAAGTTTTAGGCTAATTTGTTATTCAGCAATAGATAATGAATACACTTAATTTTCCTCAGTGGGCAGAATTAAATTCATAAAGCATTTGATACCCGCTCACAGTATACCAGTAGCTCATTAATTGTACAAATTTTGAGACCACTGGAAGAACACCAAGTTTGAAAGTCAGGAGAGCAACCAGTAGTGACTATCATAACGTGACTCTTTCTTCTATTTTATTTATAGACTTAGAACCCTGTTTGACAATTCATAAATAAAAATGCCTTCCAATAGATTGGTGACAAATAACCAAACAAATGCAGTCTTAGGAAAAAATACTCAGGCACTTCATGTTGGTTTGCTACAAAAAAAGATGGCTAGGTTTTATCTTAGACTGCTCCCTTATTGAAACAGAACTAACAATTTTTAAATAAAATTCAAGGCATTTAGGCCGGGCATGGTGGCTTGCACCTGTAATCCCAGCACTTTGGGAGGCTGAGGTGGGTGGATCACCTGAGCTTAAGAGTTTGAGACCACTCTGGCCAACAACGTGGTGAAGCCCCATCTATACTAAAAAAAAATACAAAAATTAGTCAGGCGTGGTAGTGCGTGCCTGTAGTCTCAGCTACTCAGGAAGCTGGGGCAGGGAGAATCACTTGAACCCAGGAGGCGGAGAAGTTGCAGTGAGCTGAGATCGGAGCACTGCACTCCAGACTGGGTGACAGAGTGAGACTCCATGGGAAAAAAAAAAAAATTCAAGGCATTTGCCTACTCAAAACAAAAGTAATATTTGTCATTTGAACACTGGAAAATACAGAACAGCCCAGAAAGCAAATAAAATTTAAATTTCCTATTATCCTCCCTCCTAAAGACAATCACTATCAACATTTTGGTGTATAACTGGTAGGTGCAATTTTCAGGTCCTCCTTCTCCTGAAATATGTGCAAACTGGATGGCTAGAGCTTTGGGAATCATCTCAAGGTGTAAAAACGAAGGTCTCATTGTAAGGACGGTGTGAAAGCTGGGTGAAAAGTAGAATGGCTGTGGGTCTCAGGCAACATCTTAAATCACCCAGCCTGAACTACCTTCCTCCAGACTCTTTAATGTGTCAGAAAAACTCCTAATTTGTTTAAGCCTTTGTTTCAGGTTTCTATTATTTGCAGTCAAACATAATTCCTCACTGACACAATATCTAAGATAACAATATGGTGATTCCTTATTCATGAGATAGCTGTTTTGATGAGATTGTGTCAGGTTCATATTGATAGCCATTGTCACCATTCTTATACTAAACAATGAACAAACACGTGTTGTGTAACTGATACCTTGTCGGGTTCTGTTTTGGGCACACAAAATGAATCAGGTGCGGATCACACCTTCAAAGGTCTTATATACTACCCGTTAAAGTGAGGTTTTGGACTAACTGGGAAGAATGACAATCTCAAGATATATTAATGGAGAAGAAAGAAATCATTCTCTGGGGAACAGATCAACCATGATTCAAGGAGCAGTGGAAAACAGACATGAAAAAAGTCTAACCTTAAAAACGAATTAAGCATATTTAGGAATGTCAAATGGCATTTTCCTGCCTAAATTAGACACCAAATTATATTTTCATTTGGATCATTGTGTTGTAAATGTTATCTGTGTCATTTGCCCATATATATTGGGGGTAATTTCTAATAGTAATAGATTAAGCAGAAACTTGCACAATAGTCTGAATTATCTTTAAAATTCCCTAAAATAGCCATAACATATAGTCTACAGTCTGTTTATCATCCAGGCTTGGAATGGATCATTGATCATTGCCAATTGGGGACCTCATGAAGTTGTGTATTGGAGCCATATTAAACAAGAAAGATGTATGTTTAAGTACTAGGATCACACTTAGTTTAGCTTACACTTGAGCTTTGTCCACACTACAACAACTTGTGAAAACAGAGACACTCTGAAGCATAGCTCAAATCATTTCTTACATTATGGTCACTCTGGTGCCTAAGCATATGGAGAAAAGTGGAGAGAGGAATTGTTCTCACTGTGCAAATTGTTCTTTCTCTCTCTCTTTTCCTCTCTCATGTGTAGCTAAATTTAGTGTGCATATGGTATAACTCCTCTGTATTTATATAAGTCCTAATCCTC
Organism: Homo sapiens; assembly: GCF_000001405.40. Lineage (NCBI taxonomy): Eukaryota > Metazoa > Chordata > Mammalia > Primates > Hominidae > Homo > Homo sapiens. Next base: position 190,734,232 of record NC_000002.12, read on the forward strand.
TATCTGAAACCACTTCAGAAAGCCAATACTTTTTTTAATCAGAGAAAAGGCATACAAATTTATTTAATGTGTATACATGGGGAGAATCACAAAGTGATTACCCCAGAAAGCCAACAGTTTTTATTATATACCTATATGACCAAAGGCTTCTTTAAAGGTATTACAAATCACAGAAGGCCAATGTTAACTTGGTAATTTGCATGATGGACTGACAAGTTAAGGGTATTTTATTTTATTTTATTTTTTGCATTTTCCACAGTATATGTACTTAAGTGTGCTGGGTAGTGAAAGGAAGAGGAGTGAGGGGGTCTCCTCATTGCCAGTGGACCTACTCATCCTTGAAATCAACTATTGGCTTAGGTCCATTGCGGGGTTAGTTCAGCTATGATAACATGACCCAGCCATTATGTGAGCCAGATTGCCCAGGTGCATTCTGACACCTTGAGTAAATTGAAGAGGTGCAGAAAGGTATTTAAGCATAAAGGGACTATTCAGGTGGGGCAAGAAATAGCTCCTGAAGCATGAGACCATAAGGAAAGATGACCCAGTCTCAAGTCAGAGTTGCAGATAGAGCCATACAATGTTATAATTCAAAGGCATCATTGAGAGAGAGTCCAGAGGTGAGAAAACCTTAAGTGCCAATTAAAGAAATATAAATGTGTTTATAGGTTTCAGTTTCACCCCTTCCAACTGGAAAATAATTATTTAGGTCTCATGGAGAACTGTAAAGTCTTAGGACTTACATTATCCAATTCACTGAATCGAAAAACATCAATAAAACAAATGACTTGGCTTTTTTGCCACTAAAATGTTAATACAGTCATGCATTGGTTAACAATGGGAATACATTCTCAGAAATGCATCTTTAGGCAATTTTGCTGCTGTGCAAACATCAGAGTGCACTTACACAAACCTAGATGAAATAGTCTATTACACACCTAGGCTATACGGTATGGGTTTGTGTTCCTACCCTACAAACCTGTACATCATGTTACTGTAGTGAATACTGTAGGCAACTGTAACACAATGATAAATATTTGCATATCTAAACATATCTAAATATAGAAAAGGTACAGCAAAAATACAATATAAAAAATGATACACTGAATAGGGCAGCTTCATCATAATCTTATGGGCCCACCGTCATATACGTGATCTGTCATTAACTGAAACGTCATTATGCAGGGCATGACTGTATATGGGTATGCTTATGAAGCAGATTACAAAAGGCAGCATTATAATTTTTTATTCTGGAATTACACTTTAAACTATATTGCAAAGTCAGATAATGGATCCTGGGCTGGGGCTGATTATCACTGATCATCATTATTTTACAGGTGGGAAAACTGGGGATGAGAGAAGGAGGGAAATATCCAGAGTTACAGTGCTGATTGGTCTGTAGGCCTGGAATCCAAGTTTCTTGACTCCCAGTTCAGACCCTCCCTGAACTCATTAAGGACATTCAGTATGGGAGTCAGGATAGAGTGGTTTGGGACTTCACTGAATACTATTTGCATATAAAATGTTCTATATTGGACAAATGTTTTCATTTAATTGTTACAGCAACTACTGTTAATTCCCTTTTTTATAAATTAAACTAAAATAAATAAAGTGGGTTTGGTTTGTTAGATTTTGATTTTCATAGTAAGTTATTTTTTAAGTAACCATTAGTACTGGGTATTTTTGAAGACATATCACCTAATACTGTACTATCAAAATAATGTCATGTCTGTTATTGGGAAATTGAAGCAGAAAATATGTATAATTAGGTGCATGCATTAAATGAATACTAAATATCAATTTCAATGCCTGCAAACATGGAGATAAGAATCAATGCAAAAGCAATTTTGTGGGCTGGTCCCATACAGATAATGACACATGAAAAAAAACACGGAAGGAGGACGGCGAACGCTGAGTTTTAGGTGACATATCCAGCAATGGAATTATTATAAAATGGGCCAGTCCATTTAACATAGACAAATGGAGAAAAACTATTAATACAGATGTCAATTAAAAGAAGAGATCATAAAAATAGATTAAAAACAAAACAAAAACATGACCTAACTATATGCTATCTATGATATACTTAATTGAAATATAAGTCAGTTAAAGCCAAAAGGATGGAAAAACTATGCCACAAAAACACAAATCAAAATAGAGCTGGAGTGGCTGTATTAATACCGAAATCGACTTCAGTGCAAAGAAAATTAGTAGGCTAAAGAAGGACATGTCATAACGATAATTGGGTCAATTCACCAAGAAGTCATAACAATCCTAAATGTGTGTTTACCTAACAACTGAGGGTCAAAGTACAGTCATGCACTGCATAACAATGTCTCCATCAACAACCAACCCCATATAAAGGAGTGGTCCCATAAGATTATAATATCTTTTTTTTTTTTTTGAGATGGAGTTTCACTCTTGTTGCCCAGGCTAGAGTGCAATGGCGCAATCTCGGCTCACCACAACCTCCGCATCCCGGGTTCAAGAGATTCTCCTGCCTCGTCCTCCCAAGTAGCTGGGATTACAGGCATGTGCCACCACGCCTGGCTAATTTTGTATTTTTACTAGAGACAGGGTTTCTCCATGTTGGTCAGGCTGGTCTCGAACTCCCGACCTCAGGTGATCCGCCCGCCTTGGCCTCCCAAAATGCTGGGATTACAGGCGGAAGCCAATGCGCCCAGCCTATAATACCATATTTTAATGTACCTTTTCTATGTTTAGATTTGTTTAGATACAAAAAGACTTACCTTTTGTTACAATTGCCTACAGTATTCAGTATAGTAACATACTGTACATGTTTGTAGCCTAGGAGCAATAGGCTATACCATATAGCCTAGGTGTGTAGTAGGCTATACCATCTAGGTTTGTGTAAGCACACTGTAAGATGTTCACATGATGACAGAATTGCCTTAAGGACACAGTTCTCAGAACATATTCCTGTTGTTAAGTGATGCATGATTGTACATGAAGCAAACACTAACAGAATTAAAAGGAGAAATGGCCAAATTCACAATTATAGCTGCAGATGTTAACACCATCACTTTCAGTAATCTATAGGACTAATAGACAGAAAATCAGCAAGTATATACAGTAGGATTGGGAAGTATTTTTCTATAAAGGGTCAAAGAGTGAACACATTAGGCTTCCCAGGCACATATATTCTGTCACAAATTCTCCATTTTTTTACAACTTTTTCTTAGCTCAAGGGCAGTGTAAAAACAGGCTATAAGCCAGATTTTACTGGTAAGCTTTAGTTTGCTGACTCTGAATATAGAATTGAATCACATCATCAACCCACTGGATCAAATTAACATTTATAGAAAACAACTCATGCCAAAACAGAAGATCACACATTCTCTTCAAGGGCAAATAAAACACCACCAAGATAGACTATAACCTAGGTCACAAAACAAACCTCAACAAATTTAAAAGAACTGAAATCATACAAAGTGTGTGATCTGAGTATTATAGCATGAAATCAATAATAGGAAAATATCCACACATTTAGAAATTAAACAACACCCCCTTTTTTTTTTTTTTTTTTTTTGATACAGAATCTTGCTCTGTCACCCAGACTGGAATGCAGTGGCGTGATCTCGGCTCACTGCAACCTCCGCCTCCTGGGTTTAAGCTATTCTCCTGCCTCAACCTCCCGAGTAGCTGGGACTACAGGCGTGCGCCACCACGCCTGGCTAATTTTTTGTATTTTTAGTAGAGATGGGTTTTCACCATGTTAGCCAGGATGGTCTCAATCTCCTGACCTCGTGATCCGCCTGCCTCAGCCTCCCAAAGTGCTGGGATTACAGGCATGAGCCATCGCACCTGGCCCTAAACAACACACTTCTAAATAACCCAAAGATCAACAAGGCAGTTTCAAGAAAAATGAGAAAATATTTCAAACTGATCATAAATGAAAACATAACATACCAAAAATTTGTGGGATACAACTAAAGCAATGATTAGAGGGAAATTTATAGTATTCAATGTTTATTTTAAAATGAAGTAAAGTCTCAAATCAGTAACTGAAGGTTCTACTTTAAGAAACTAAAAAAGAAGAGTAAAATAACCTAAAGCAAGGATAAAGAAGGCAATATTAAAAATAACAGCAGAAATCAATGAAATATAGCAGAAAATAGAAAAACAAAAGAGAAATTCAATGAAACCAAAAGCTAGTTCTTTGGAACAGTCAATAAACTTAATAAACTTCAAGCTAGACTGACAAAAAGAAAAAGATGGAAGTTACAAAAATTTCTAATATCAGGAATAAAGAAGGGGATATCACTATAAACCCCATAGACATTGAAAGGATAATAAGAAAATGCTATGAACAACTCTAGACACAAAAATTGACAACTGTGAGAAAAGGAATCAATTCCTCAAAATTCCCAAGCTACCAAATCTCACCCAAGATGAAATAGACAATATGAATAGTCCTATATGTATTAAAGCAATTAAATTTGTAGCTTAAAAGTTTTTTGAAAGCAGAAATCTCCAGGTTGAAGTGGCTTCACTTAAACCAAATGTATGATTGACAGATTCAAGCATATATTTAAATAAATTAAGAACAATTCTATACAATTTCTTCCAGAGCATAGACGAGGAGGGAAAGCTTTCTAATTCATTTTATTAGCCCATCCTTACCCTGAGAGCAAAACCATGAGATCAATATCCCTCATAAACATAGATGCAAAATCTCTGAACAAAATATTAGAAAATTTAATTAAACAATATATAAAAAGATTAATACATCACAACCAAGGGCAATGTATCCTAAATGCAAGTCTGGCTCAATATTTGAAAATCTATCAATGTAATCCACCACTATAACAGTCCAAAGAAGTCCACATGATCATATGATCATATCTGTTTAAGCAGATAAAACATTTGAATGAAATTAACATCCATTCATGATAAAAAGTCTCAGAAAACTAGGAATAGAGGGAAACTTTTTCAACCTAATAAAGGGTATCTACAAAACAAAATTAACTATCTAACATCATACTGAATGATGAAAGACTGAATGCTTACCTGTTAAGATCAGAAATAGGTGAGAATGCTTCTCTCCCAACATTCTTCTACATTCCTTTATTGAGCATCCTAGGAAATATAGCAAGTACAATAAGGAAACAAACAAATAAATGGCATATAGAGTGGACAAGAAAAAATGAAACTGTTTCTGTTCACATATAACATGATTGTTTATGTAAAAAACTCCAATGAATCTACAGAAAAAGTTTCTAAAGCTAATAAATTGGTCAAGGTTGCAGAATACAAGGTCAATACACAAAAACCAATCACACTCCAATATGCTAGTACCAGAAAATTGACAACCATAATTTAAGAAAATAAATCATCGAAAGGAGCTCCAAAAAAATGAAATCGTTAGATATAAATCTAACAAAACCTGCACAGGATCTTTATGTTGAGAAACACAAAAACTCAAGGATAAGAAAATATCAACGCAATTAAAATTATTTATCAAAGAGGATATATGGATGGCAACTAATTAGGTAAAAAGACCTTCAACATCATTAGCCATTAGAGAAATGCAAATTAAAACCATGATGAGATACCACTATACACCTATGAGAATGGCTAAAATATAAAAGACGGGCATTACCTACTGCTGGTGAAAATGTAGAGAAATTGGAATTCTCATAGATTGCTGGTGGGAATGCAAAATGGTAGTCATGTTGGACGACAGTTTGGCAGTTTCCTACAAAGCTAAACATAAACTTACCATACAATCCAGCAATTGTGCTCCTAGTTATTTACCCAAATGAGCTGAAAATGTATTTGCAGTGAGCAAAGATCGTGCCACTGCACTCCAGCCTGGGCAACAGAGAGAGACTCCATTTCAAAAAAAAAAAAAAGAAAGAAAAGAAAATGTATGACCTCACAAAAACTTGCACACAAATGTTTATAGCATCTTTATTCATTATTGCCAAAAGCTAGAAGCAAACAAGATGTCTTTCAATGGGTGAATGGACAAACAAACTGGTTATTCATATAATGGAATATTTAAAACTATACATAATCAGGGCTGCTGTGCTTTTCCCCATTTTACTTCTAGTAGGAAGTGTTTTATAATTGAAATAAACTTTAAACCAGTGACTTAGTTAATTCAGGCTCTCCATGAAAAACCTCTTTCTCATCTGTGTTTTTGTTCTTTTATGTATCTGTCTATCAGTTAGTATCAGCTTCAAATGAAAGGGAACACAAAATAACAATGGTTTAAACAGGATAGAAATATGTTTCCCTTTCATGTAAGTAAAGTTCAAAACTAAGCAGTCTAGGCCTGGTGTGGTAACTCCATGGTCCCCACATTGTTTATGTCTTGTCACTCTGCCATCCTCAATTTGTTACTTAAACTAATGATCAAAGCGGGCTGCTCAAACCATGTATTAGTTATCTATTGAAGTGGAACAAAAACTGAACTACTTAAGACAGCATCCATTTATTATCTCACAGTTTCTGTAGGTCAGGAGTCCTGAAATGACTTAGCTGGGTGTCTTTGCCTAAAAGTCTCACATAGGGCTACAATCGAAGAATCCTCCAGTGCTACATTCTCATCTGAAGCCTCAATTAGGAAAGGATCTACTTCCAAGAGCAACCATTCTCTAAAGACATCTCTCATTTATCATGAAAGGTAGAATGTGTTTGCAACTGAGTGGTCTTTCAGCATGCTCCCTGCCAGTAGAATACAGGGGTCCAATGGCCTCATCATTTTGTACTATTTTTGTCTCTTTCATTCCAAACTGGCAGTGTCTTAGCAGAAATAAATCTCTTGAAAACTTCGTAGATCTTTTGTGAATCTCTGGAGTTCATGCCATTAGACAAAAGCCACACCTGCAAAATCTCTTCTCTACCCTGTGCTCCTGCAGAGACTACTGAGGGACACATTCTTAAATTTCTTTGAGGCCCTAGTGTTTGATCAAAAGGATCTGTGAGACCTACTCTTAATTACTTAAAAGGGCCAATTATGTGACTGAATAGTATTCCAAAGAACCAATTTTTATCTTGGAAGATATTAACAAAAGAGTTTACAATTATACTCTTGGCTTCATCTTTAGATTTTCTCTCCTGGCAGTGCCCTGGATTTAAACTTGGTTCAAAATCATGTCTTAATTTTATCATCTTTTGCTGCCTGGAGAGGCTGAGAGTTTTCAAAACCATCAACTTAACATTTTTTCTCTCAACTTCTCTCTTTTCTTTCAAATCTTACTATATGCAGCAAGACAGAACTAGGTTGCACCTTCAACACGTTGCTTGGAAATCTCCTTAGATAGATTATCAAGTTCATTAAGCATATCCTCTGCTTTTCACATAACTGCAGAAAATAGTGTTGCTAAGACTTTTGCCACTGCTAACAAAGATCTCCATTCCTCCAGGGTTCCTCACTTCCTTTTGAGTCTTTACCAACAGCATCCTCAAAGTCCAGATTTCTACTAACAGTATATTCAGAGAAATCTAGGTTTTTCTGTAACATTTCTTCTCAAAATCCTTCTAGCTTCCACCCACTGCTTGGTTCCAAAATCACTTCTACATTTTTAGGCATTTGTTATGGCAGCATTCCATTTCAGCACAGGGTCCAATCAGAGAAGAAGAAATACTACACACACACACACACACACACACACACACACACACACACACACACGGGGCAGGGAGGGTTTCGATTGTCCTTAATTGCAGGAGCTAGTTAAACACTATCTATGAGTCTCTTGTCTTCACATCTGATGCTGGAGCTTTAAGTCCACAAGGCAAGCAGAACAAGAAAGGGATAATGAAGATCTAGAACAAGAACCTATAAGCATGAGATTGAAGCCTGCTATGATTTGAATGTTTGCTCTCTCTGCAACTCATGGTGAAATTTAATTGCCATTGTGACAGTATCGGGAAGTGGGGCTTTTAAGAGATGTTTAGGTCATAAAAGCTCAACTCTTATGAATAGACTAATGCTGTTATTGCAGGAGTGGGTTCATTATCACAGGAGTGGGTTCATTTTCACAGGATTGGGTTTGTCTCCCTGCTTTGCCCTTCTGCCATGGGAGGATGCAGCAACAAGGTATTCACAAGATGCCAGCCCCTTGATCTTAGACTTTCCAGCCTCCATATTTGTGAGCCAATAACTTTTTGTTCATCATAAATTACTTAGTCTGTAGTATTATGTTACATGAGCACAAAAATGAACTAATAGCCCCATGAGGACAGACTGAAACCTGTGCCAGTTATTAATGCCTCTAACCATGGTAGCATGAGTATCTTGCAGAAGCCAAGGCTCACTGTCACAGCCAAACACAACACACATGACCCAGGAGTCAGAAGCTGAAGGAAAATCCAGGGGAACATGGAGCAGTTGCTGCTTCACAGCACTGAGGTGAGTCAGCAGATCAGTGACAAGGTGTGAGAGCTACAAAATGGCTGAAGCCCTCTACCTCTCCTACAAGAATCTCCCTGTGGCCTTCTCTCAGTGGAAACATACAGGAAAGAGAACTCTGGAAAAGGTGGCTCAGCCTGGCTAAATGGACATGTTATCTAGTCACCACACACCATCATGTTTGTAGTTCAGCCAGTGGAAAGGAAGAAGGAAATGAAGATCTCACCCTCTTCTAATTAAGGACACTTCATCAAAGGGATACCTTCTACTTTAACCCCATTGACTGAAACCTAGTCAGTTAGTGACTACACTTAGCTATAAAGGAAGTAGAAAATATAGTCTTCATTCCTGGGCCAGGAATTGTGTTCCTAGGGAAGGAAGAAGGATGGCTATTGGGAGATGACTTGCAGTATCTGCCACAGTATACTTTGCTCCGCTCGGAATGTCTTTTCCTCCTTCTCTGCTTGGCAAACTCTAGTTCACCCCTATAGATCCAGCTCATTTATTATCCCTCCTGCAAAGCCTTCACTCTTTGTTTTCCCATTGGGTTTTATAAATCCCTGTACCCCAGTACTTTCTTATTTATTCATTTACCAAGTTTTAAGTCTCCCCATATGTGCAGCATTGCTCTGGGAACTGGGGATTTAGCAGTGACAAAACAAAGTCCTTTCCTGTACAAAGCTTATTGCTTCATAATTATTTATGATACTTTGTATTCTAAGGCTGTCCCAAATTCAGACAAAAGAAGGACAAGATTCATGGGTAATTTCAAGCAATTTTATTCCTGACTAAAAATGTAAATCTGTTATCTAGAATTACGATTAAATAACTGAGTAAGTCTTCAAAAGTACATCATATTCCTTCCTATTAATCACAACGGTAATATTTGTGATTTATAAATCATGTCTATTTTAGGGAATTACGGACCTTGAAAAGATCTTGGAGATTATCTGATAAAACCACCTTAGTTTACATTAGAAGTCTGAGTCTTGAATCACTGAGATTATATGCCCAGGATTTTGTGCCAGGTTAGTGCCAAGACGAGAGGTAGAACCCAAGAATATTAATTCTTACACAGGTGCCCTCAATATTTTGTATTTTCATAAAACAAAAACAGAGTTTAAAAAAATTCAGTTGCATTTATAAAATTAGTCTTTCAAAAAATTATAGCTTCAAAATTCAGATGAAAAAAATTTGTTATAAGAATAGGGGTATGTTGGGGCAAATGTGTATGTGATAGTTTTAAGGACAGTTTCTAGTTCCAATGTGTGAAAAATATAAGTCATTTGAACATAAACATATTAAAGAGTGGTAATATGGATGTAAAATGTTACAGGTTACGTTTTAAGTGTGACAGATGAAACCTTACATCAAGGTCTATGTAGCCCTTTTCTAAAATTTCATGGATTCTATTAGAGTTCTGCTTCATGTTAATTTGATATCTATTATAGTACTCTCTCTCTCTCTCTCAAAAACTGAAAAATCAGAGCTTTAATTGAAACTTGACATTAAAAAAAGCCATTTGAGCAGCAGTTTTAAGCAGCCTCTGAATTCTAACACACATCTTTGCTCTTTGAACCTTTGCTCCCACACACCAACAGATGCTGTCTTAAACACACACTCCCACATTCACACCTCCACTCTCAGCCTCTCATCTCCCCTCACAGAGCTCTGACACATTTGTTCTACCTCCTTCATCTCGGGGAGACAGCGTGAAGGATAAATGAAAGTCAGGAGCACAGATGCATAATGTATAAATGGGTGTACTACACAAAACCTATGGAAAAAAACCTCCTGTGAAATAAATAGTATTAATTTATTTCATAAAAATCTAGTTTCAGTAGAATTAATGAAAATATAGCCACTTCTTTCCAGCCAAATTCATGAGATTAAAAGTGAAGATTATGATGCAGAGTTTAATTTGATCCATTTTTAATCACAATGTTTCCGAGCAAATACAATAATCAAAGATTTCTTTAAAAAGGATATAAGACAGTGCTATTGAATTAGCTCTAATAGTCCTACAAAGAAGAAATAACAGTTTAATTTTTTTTTATGTTGCAGGAAGATTAAATTTAACTCACTAAAGTTTTGCCTTGGAGCTTAAAGTCTTTCTGATTCTGCACTATATTTAGACTTAGGAGGATACAATTAGATCAAAAGTTGTATTTTTAATGTACATGAATATGAAAAATCATCAATGCTACTACTGAAAATACACCAGCCAGGAACTGTGGGAAATCCAAAGTTACTGAGTAAGATAGGTGTTATAAAGTCTCTCTGAAGCAGCAGTAATTTACTATATATTACTGTTGCTGACAAAGCATCTTGTGTTTTATAAGGTAAATTTTTGTTTATCAAGAATCTTGGAGGTTCTTAAAAGCAATAAACTTATGAAAAACAGAGTAGAATGATGTATACTTTCTCCACTAATGAGTAGAAGGAGCTCACCTCTGATACAAGCTAAGACTCTAGGGGATGAATGGGATACTTTCGGTCACAAGTAGCAGAAAACCCAACCAAAACTATGTGAAAAGAAAATTTCATGGCACAAGTAACTGAAAAGCCTAATTGTAGCGCCCAGGTTTCAAGCATAACTGGACTCAAGCTAAACAATTCAACAGTAATTGGGTTCCTCTCCATCTTATAATTCCACCTTCTGTATGTTTTCAGTATCAGGGTCATTGTGGTCGTGCTCCAGTCCTTCCATCCTCTTGGGTTCAAGACAAACGAGAAAAAGCAAGTCAGCTTCCCCAGGATCTCAGAGTTACTGACTTAGCCTTGTACTTACCACTGAGTTAATTGCAGTGGCTAAGGGAATATGATGGACTGACTGGCTTAAGGAATATATTTTGCCTTTGAGTGACGACAGAAGTGTAGTCTTAATCAAATGGACTGAGAGTAGGAGTGAATGGGTGAGGAGTAAAACTCAGTATGAATATTGAGAGCTGCTGCGGAGACAGAGAATGGATGGGATTGTGGAATACAAACCACATATGCCTACTATAGGAGGAATCTCAATTGTGGCCATAGAGAGATGGTTTTACTGGCTCCATCAAAATCAGTAGCCCTAGATTAAAGGCACTGATAAAAATGCATAGTACATCTACCATTTACAAGGCAGATGTGCCCCCGAATCATCAAGTGGCTGTATAATGACAATTATACCACTCACCATGCAATGTTTTTGGTGAGCATTAATAAACCAATGCATGGATTAATAAACCAGTGCAATGTCTGAATGTTTGTCCCCTCAAAATTCATATGTTGAAATCCTAACACCAAAAGTGATGGTATTACGAAGTGGGCACTTTGAGAGGGAATTAGGTTATGAGGGTGGAGCTCTCATGATTGGGATTAGTGCCCTTATAAAAGAAGTACGAGGGCTGGGTGCAGTGGCTCATGCCTGTAATCCCAGCACTTTGGGGGGCCAAGGCAGGCAGATCACCTGAAGTCAGGAGTTCAAGACCAGCAACCTGGTGAAACCTCAACTCTACTAAAAATATAAAAATTAGCCAGGTATGGTGGCACGCACATGTGGTCCCAGCTACTTGGGAGGCTGAGGCACAAAATCAAGGTGGCTCACACTGCAATCCTAGCACTGTGGGAGGCAAGGAGTTCAAGGCCAGCCTGGCCAACATGGTATAACCCCTTCTCTAATGAAAATACAAAAAATTAGCCATGTGTGGTGGTGCACACCTGTGGTCCCAGGTATTTGGGAGGCTGAGGCACGAGAATTGCTTGAATCCAGGAGGTGGAGGTTGCAGTGAGCTGAGATTGCACCACTGCACTCCAGCCTGGGCAACAGAACACTTCATCACAAAAAATAAAAAAATAAAAAAATAAAGAGACACGAGAGACTCCTTAGTTCCTTCTGCCATGTGAAGACACAGTAAAATGACAGCCATCTATGAACCAGAAAGTGGACCCTCATCAGAAATGCCAAATTTGCCAGCACCTTGATCTTGGACTTCCGAGTCTCTAGAATTATGACAAGCAAATTTCTGTTGTTTATAAGCCACCCAGTCTATGATATTTTCTTATAGCAGTCCAAACAGCCTGAGACAGTGTGTGAACACATAGGTGTTTAATAAATGTGAATTATCTTCCCATTTCCCTTCCAATCAAATTTTCCTTTCTTAGGTTGGGAGTTCTTCAGAATAGGAAGTATGTCTATGCCTAATTTATTATTTTTTAATCTCTAGAATTTAGAACAGTATCTGAACAGTATCTAACACACAGTAGGAAGTTAATGCATGATGAACAAACAGGTGTTAGATATATTAGTTAGGTTATAAGTAAGCTGTTGCAACAAAGAGACTCCAAAATATAATAATGGCTTAAACAAGGTGTTTCTTTCTCTTTCATGAAGCAGTCTGGAGCTTCTGGACAGTGCTTGTTAGGAAGGCACTCTGCTTCTGTAGATCACACAGCTTCCTTTTTATTCCAGCTTCTCCTTGTTTTCCTCGTGGGCATGATCGAAGCTTGCTGACCACCATCACAACTGCATTCCAGCCCAAAGGAAGCAGGAAGATATGCAGGGCAAGCAGCTTCCTCTTAAGAATGTGATGCAGATGTTACACACTCTCTTCTATTTATATCCCCTTGGGGAAAACTTGGTCAACTGGCTACAAAAAGCTGCAAGGAATGCCTCTAACAAGGCAGTCACATGCCAGATAAAATTCCACTAACAAAAAGAAAGATTAGGATACTGGAAAGGTCCACTAAAAAAAGAAACATTAGGGGACTGGAGGTAGGGGATCAATTAGCAGTCTCTGTCACATGCAGCCATGTGAAGTCAAAGACATTGGAACCTTGGAGGAAACTTTGCCTCATTTTCTCTGCATCATTGCCAGTAAAAAACCAACATAGAAGTGACCCTGAATTATATTTAAGTGTTGTATGTAAATGAGCCTCTCCATGTTAAGGTTAAAGACAAGAAGATTAATGAGACTGGATGACTAGTGGATTGACTAAGAAGGATCTTACATGCATTCTAGAAAACACCTATTTCCTTAATCTCAGCCCACCTAATTTTATGATGTCAGAACCATGAACTTAAATTTTATTTATTTGATTTCATTCTCAATGTTACTTCTCTAGGAATGATTCACCCTCATTCAAACGTTTCTTCATGTAAAAGTGCTAAAGAATATAGGAAGCTTTATTTGAGCTAAGAATTATATTTCCAACCAAAGACATATAAAAGGATCTTAATTGATAAATATACTTACAATCTGTTCTATGTTGAAGGGAGTTGTCCCAATTCAGACATGACACGTTTAAGGCAGTTAGAGTCCCAGAAAATCTGGGGCAGTTCAATTTTAGATATCTGATATTGTCATTAATTCCTAAACATTTTTGAGCATGCATCACCAATATATGTATATTTATGTATTAATATATATGTATGCACTAACATATATATGAGGTATTATATATGTTATTATAAAATATATTCTATTATATATTTTATAATATGTATAAAACATACACTAAAACTAAAATTTTAAAATGTGTGCATTATAAAACATACTCCAAAACTGAAATTTTAAAAGGATAAGCCAAAGTAATTACAAATAGAAGTTCTAATATTTAACACCACATACTTTTGGGGCTCATGCATACAAATATGAAAACCACTGTACTAGTTAATTATAGAATCAGAACCAGAACCTAGGTCTCCTGACCTTCTAGTTCACTGGTCTTTCCTCTTAACCTTAATCTTTCCATTCATCTTTCTAATACCTTGTTTTGAAGTACAAGGCAGGGTCCAGTTCCAAATAAGATGGAGTAAATGCATCCCATTTTAATTTTCCTTTTAAATCAACAGCTGCCCTTGACAAAATACAAAACTCACTTACCAGAAGATCCTGAAAGGTGGATAAAAGAAGTTGTATTGAGTACGAACTGTTTTTCTCTATACTCCCAACACTTCTGCTTACCAAAATGCATAGTACTTTTCTCACACCAACCAATTCTCTGACACCTCTGGGTATCTCATAATTTAATCGGACACTACTACCTGGAGTTAGTGCGGACCCCACAGGGTAAGGGCTCAGTTCCCACAAGACTGCCCCCACTTCAGACAACAGTTACAAGTCCAGGTTGTGACCTGTACTTCTGACCAACCAGCTATAAATCAGGCTCTTGCAACAGCCTGCTTGGGTTCAATCATTTGGTAAAATGGCTCACGGAACTCAGTGAAACACTTATTTATGTTTACCAGTTTATTATAAAGGATATTACAAAGGACACAGATGAGCAGCCAGATGAAGAGGTACATAGGGTAAAGACAGAAGAGCAGAAGCTTCTGTCCCTGTGGAATTAGGCTGTGTCACCCTCCCCTCATGTGGATGTGCTCACCAACCCAGAATCTCTCTAAACCCCATAATTCAGGGATTCTTATGGTGGCTTCATTATATAGGGCATGATGGATTAACTTAATCTCCAGTTCCTCCCCTCCTGGAGGATGAGAGTGAGGCTGGGAAGTTTCAAGCCATGGCGAGACTTCTCTGGCAACATTGAATTGCCTCATTACAACAAAAGATGTTCCTATCACCAGGAAATTCCAAGGGGTTTAGGAGCTCTGTATCAGGAACCAGGGTTAAAGACCAAACAATAAAACAAAAGATGCTTCTAGCACCCCTGTTGCTTAGGAAATTATAAGGGTTTTAAGAATTCAGTGTAAGAAAACAAAAAAAGAAAATTTCAGGCCAATATCCTGACGAACATCAATGCGAAAATCCTCTATAAAATACTGGCAAACTGAATCCAGCAGCATATCATAAAGCTTATCCACCACAATCAAGTCAGCTTCATCCCTGGGATGCAAGGTTGGTTCAATATACTCAAATCAATAAATGTAATTCATCACATAAATAGAACCAATGACAAAAACCAAATGATTATCTCAATAGATGCAGAAAAGGCCTTTGATAAAATTTAACACCCCTTCATGCTAAAAACTCTCAATAAACTAGGCATTGATGGAACGTATCTCAAAATAATAAGAGCTATTTATGACAAACCCACAACCAATATCACACTGAATAGGCAAAAGCTGGAAGCATTCCCTTTGAAAACTAGCGCAAGACAAGGATGCCATCTCTCAACACTCCTATTCAACATAGTATTGGAAGTTCTGGCCAGGGCAATCAGGCAAGAGAAAGAAAGGGTATTCAAATAGGAAGACAGGAAGTCAAATTTTCTCTGTTTGCAGATGACATGATTGTATACTTAGAAAACCCCATCGTCTCAGCCCAAAATCTCCTTAAGCTGATAAGCAACTTCAGCAGTCTCAGGATACAAAATCAATGTGCAAAAATCACAAGCATTCCTATACACCAATAATAGACAAACAGAGAGCCAAATCATGAGTGAACTCCTATTCACAATTGCTACAAAGAGAATAAAATACCTAGGAATACAACTTAAAAGGAATGTGAAGGACCTCTTCAAGGAGAACTATAAACCACTGCTCAAGAAATAAGAGAGGACACAAACAAATGGAAAAACATTCCATGCTCATGGACAGGAAGAATCAATATTGTGAAAATGGCCATACTGCCCAAAGTAATTTACAGATTCAATGCTATCCCCATCAAGCTACCATTGACTTTCTTCACAGAATTAGAAAAAAATGCTTTAAATTTCATATGGAACCAAAAAAGAGTCCATTAGCCAAGACACTCCTAAGCAAAAAGAACAAAGCTGGAGGCATCACGCTACCTGATTTCAAACTATGCTATAAGGCTACAGTAACCAAAACAGCTTGGTACTGGTACCAAAACAGATATATAGACCAATGGAAAGAACACAGGCCTCAGAAATAATGCCACACATCTACAACCATCTGATCTTTGACAAATCTGACAAAAATAAGCAATGGGGAAAGGATTCCCTGCTTAATAAATGGCGTTGGGAAAACCGGCTAGCCCTATGCAGAAAACTGAAACTGGGCCCCTTCCTTATATCCTATACAAAAATTAACTCAAGATGGATTAAAGACTTAAACGCAAGATGTAAAATCATAAAAACCCTAGAAGAAAACCTAGGTAATACCATTCAGGGCATAGGCACGGGCAAAGACTTCATGACTAAAACACCAAAAGCAATGGCAACAAAAGCCAAAATTGACAAATGGGATCTAATTAAACTAAAGAGGTTCTGCAGAGCAAAAGAAACTATCATCAGAGTGAACAGGCAGTCTATAGAATGGGAGAAAATCTTGGCAATCTATCCATCTGACTAAGGGCTAATATCCAGAATCTACAAGGGACTTAAACAAATTTACAAGAAAAAAAATACAAACAGGCCAGGCGTGGTGGCTCACCCCTGTAATCCCAGCATTTTGGGAGGCCAAGGCAGGTGGATCACGAGGTCAAGAGATCAAGACCATCCTGGCCAACATGGTGAAACCCTGTCTCTACTGAAAACACAAAAATTAGCTGGGCGTGGTGGCACGCACCTGTAGTCCCAGCTACTCGAGAGGCTGAGGCAGGAGAATGGCTTGAAGCCAGGAGGCAGAGGTTGCAGTGAGCTGAGATCGTGCCACTGCACTCCAGCCTGCCAATAGAGCAAGACTGTCTCAAAAAAAAGAAAAAAAGAAAAAAAATACAAACCCCACCAAAAAGTGGGCAAAGGATATGAACAGACACTTCTCAAAAGAAGACATTTATGCAGCCAACAAACATATGAAAAAAAGCTCATCATTACTGATCATTAGAGAAATGCAAATCAAAACCACAATGAGATACTATCTCGTGCCAGTTAGAATGACGATCATTAAAAAGTCAGGAAACAGCAGATGCTGAAGAGTATGTGGAGAAATAGGAATGCTTTTACACTTTTGGTGGGAGTGTAAATTAGTTCAACCATTGTGGAAGACAGTGTGGTGATTCCTCAAGGATCTAGAACCAGAAATACCATTTGACCCAGCAATCCTGTTACTGGGTATATACCCAAAGGACTATAAATCATTCTATAAAGACACATGCACACGTATGTTTATTGCAGCACTATTTACAATAGCAAAGACTTGGAACCAACCCAAATGCCCATCAATGATAGACTGGATAAAGAAAATGTGGCACATATACACCACAGAATACTATGCAGCCATAAAAAAAGAATGAGTTCATGTCCTTTGCAGGGACATGGATGAAGCCGGAAACCATCATTCTCAGCAAGCTAACACAAGAACAGAAAACTGGGCCAGGCGCGGGTGGCTCACGCCTGTAATCCCAGCACTTTGGGAGGCTGAGGTAGGCAGATCACGAGGTCAGGAGATCGAGACCATCCTGGCTAACATGCTGAAACTCCGTCTCTAGTAAAAATACAAAAAAATTAGCCAGGCGTGGTGGTGGGCACCTGTAGTCCCAACTACTCGGGAGGCTGAGGCAGGAGAATGGCGTGAACCTGGGAGGTGGAGTTTGCAGTGAGCTGAGATCATGCCACTGCACTCCAGCCTGGGCAACAGTGTGTGACTCTGTCTCAAAAAAAAAAAAAAAATTCAGTATCAGAAACCAGGGGCAGAGAGTATATATATATATGTGTGTGTGTGTGTATATATATGTGTGCGTATATATATACTATATATGTGTGTGTGTATATATATATTATTTATATATTTATTTCTTATTATTTCACACTAGGGAACTAGGGACTTGAAGAGTCCCTTTATTTTATATATATTATATATATATGTACATATTGTATATATATATATCACACAAGAACTGGAGACCTGACAGTGAGTTTCTTGGTTTTCTCACCTCCTAGATATACAGGCCTGTGTGCAAGAGATGCCTGCAACCTGGAAACAACAATGGGCACAGACAAAAAAAAGCCCTTCCCCCATCCCCCTTAAATCCCCCTCTTTCTAGCCAGAATACTGGGAAAGGTACAGCCCAACAAGACAAAAACCTTTTAACTATATTTGGCAGGCAAAAGTCTAAGGTGTCTCCTAAGATTTCTCATCACTGATGTACATGCCTCGACCTGGAACGATGTATTCGATGGAGTTTATTCCTGTGATTAGGTTACGCTATATGGTACAGTTGACATTAAGATAGGAAGATTATCCAGGTGGTCCTGGTCTAATCACATGAGCCCTTTAAAAGCTGTTTTCTCTGGCTACTTGCAGAAGAGGAAGTCGGGAGATTCAAAATGAGAGAGATTAGACATGAAGAAGGTTTTCTTGAGCTAAGATAGAAGGGTCCATTTGGCAAGGGCCTGAAAGTGGCCTCTAAGAGCAGAGTGGTCCCCATCTGACAGCTAGCAAGATAATGGGGATTTCAGTCTGATAACTGAAAGGAAATGAATTCTGCCAACAATGTGAGGGAATTTGGAAGGTAATTTGCCTGTACTTGAGACAAACACTATGAAAAAAAGCCATGCCCCTCCCTCATTCCACTAGTACTATTGTAGTAGAGTTGGTTCGTGGGCCTCTGGCTTTCACTCCTCTATTAATTTCCTGTTGCTATTGTAACAAATTACCAAAAAATTAGTGGCTTAAAAGAACAAAAATTTACTATTTTACACTTCTGGAGATCCAAAGTTCAAAAGGGGTCTTATGGGATTAAAATCAAGGTGCACACAGAGGTGCATTTTTTCTGGAGTCTTGAGGGGATGATCCATTTTCTTGCCTGTTCCAGCTTCCAGAGTCTGCCTGTACTCCTTGGCCCATGGCCCCTTCCTCCATCTTCAAAGTACATCATTCCAACTGCTACTTCTGTAAACACATCTCATCTCTTCTATTGACTGTCTTACTTTTCTCTTATAATGACACTTGTGATCGCATTGGGCCTACCTGAATACCCTTCCCATATGAAGATCCTTATCTTAATCACATGTGTAAAGTCCCTTTTACCAGTAAGGTAACAGATTCTTAGGTTCTAGGGATTAAGATGTATAGAACTCTAGGCTGAGGGGAATTATTTTGTCTACTATAAACCCCTACAGAATGGCACTGTAGAAGAAGTTTTATAAACTAAATTAACATTTGAATCACAGCCCACAAAAGTCAGCTAGGATGTGCATTCTGAACAGACAGAGTTAACTACTTTATAAAATACGAGTTCCAAATAGGAGCTAGAGTCTTATAATACCCAGAAGTCCAGGATACAGTCAAAAATGACTCACCATATCAGGAAAACTTCAAGTCAAATGAAAAATGATCAATAGATGCCAACACCAAGATGACACAGATGGACTTTATTATTTAGATAATTATCAGACAATGATTTTATTTTCTAAACTTACAAGTATTTTTATTTATACATGGTAATAACAACTATGCATTTTTTGTGTCAGAGCTATTTTTTGTGTATATTTAAGGTGTACAACATGTTTTGACATACTTATATGTAGTGAAATGGTTACTACAGTCACCATTTACTATATACGTCATCTCACATAGCTACTCTCAGACAAGGATTGTAAACCAACTATCATAAAAATGCTCCATAAGCACTTATAAACACTCTTACATCAAATGAAAAAGTAGAAAAATTTAGCAAAGAAATAGAAGATATATTCATTCTTAGCTTTCCTTCATATTCATTCTTGACGGATATTTTTACTGGATGTCGAATTCTGGGTTGACAGTTCTTTCCTTTTAGGGCTTTCAAAATGTTTTGCCTCTTCCTTCTGTCCTTCAAGTTTCTGATTATAAATCTGCTGTCACTTGAGTCACTTTTCATCAGTTGATAATGTGTGGTTTCTCTCTTGCTGATTTTAAGTTTTTCTTTGTTGTTAGTTTTCAGAAGTTTGATTATGATGTGTTTGAGTGTGGATTCTTTAAAGTTTATTCTGTTTGGGGAACACTCAGTTTCTTGAATCTGTAAGTTTATGTCTTTCACCAAATTTGAGGTTGGGCCATTATTTCTTCAGGTATTTCTTCTACCCAGCATTCTTTTTACTCTCCTTCTGAAGACAATAACCTGTGAGACAATAAGTGTGGTGACTGTAGTAACCATTTCACTACATATAAGTATGTTGAGACATCATGTTGTATACCTTAAATATATACAAAAAATAATTCTGACACAAATAATGCATAGTTGCTTACCATATATAAATAAAAACACTTGTAAGTTTAGAAAACCTAACACAGTTATTGTCTCACAGGTCCTTGGGGATTTGTTCATTTTTAAAAAATCTCTTTTCTCTCCGTTTATATTGGTAATTTCTATCGCTCTGTCATTGAAGTCACTGACTCTTCTGTCATCTTTATTTTGTTATTGAGCCCATTCTCACAGCCAAAGACTCTGTTCCCATCCTGTTTTGAGGCTAGAAGGAAAGGAAGGGCCAAGGCTGGTAAACCCAGTTCTCAGGCTACTGGGAGAAAGAATAGAGAGTTCATTTGGTGTGGATGACTTTGAGGATCCAGTTTGTATAGTGGGAAGCCTTGGTGTTGTAGCTAATATCAGCATTCAGAGTACAGCCTTCTGACTAGGATAGGATCCCTTGGAGCAGATTTTGGCACAGGAGTGGGGCAGCAGCTATTTTCTGTTAGAAAGAGGAGAGGTGGGTCAGGCAGGGCAGCCAAAACAAAAGTGATGTATTACCAAGTCTCTATCTGAGGGGCCAGAATAGAAAGACTTGGGTGATAAGGGCTGGGAAAAATGCCTCCTCACCCACTTAGGCCACATCAGGGGAAGCCATGGAGAAATAACACTCAGAAATTTGTCCCCCTGATATCTAAGTTCATTCATGACTGGAAGAAGGATACATATTCCTTCCTGATCCCCATTTACCCTGATCTCTTCTTGTGTTGAGATTGTGTTGGGTTGAAGGATATGTGTGGACCCCAAAACAGTGTTCCAGACCAAATTTAGGGAAGGCAGAGGGAAAAGGGTTTCCCAACATATATGCTCTCCAGAGATGATCTTGCACAGAACGTGTTCTGAGACTTTAATAGGAATCTGTCTCATACAGAACTCTTGGCAATCTCCATTAGAGATCCAAATGACACCTTGGTTTATTTGGATGTTAGGTTTTGTGTCTAAGCACACCCGAGAAGGAGGAAGGTAATATTCTCTTTGGTCCTTCATATATTCAACTTCCTTTCTTCTCTTCTTCCCTCCCTCTTTTCCATTATTAACTTCACCATCATTCAATGATGGAAAAAAACAAAATAAAAAGAAACCAAAGAAGAGGAGAACAGATAATAAAGTGAGAAAACCGAGGTCTGGTTCCAGTGTTGTTAACGGCATATCTTGGGCTTTTGCATGCATGCTTTAATTTATGACTGCTCAGAAGTGTCTCATGAATAAGCCAGATCTATTGCTCTATAATCATAGTTGTATGATAACCCTCATTTACTGGGTACCGAAGGAGCACTAAGGGGTTGTGTTAAAGGTCACTCACTGTAATTCTTCCGTGTACAGCCAGAGATGGTGACATGACTCCCACTCTGTCACCTTTCAGCTGAAACCAGTAAACATTTATTATCTCACAGTATAGGACAGGAATTTAAGAGTGGCTTAGCTGGGTGATTGTGGCTCAGGGTCTCTCATGAGTTTGCAGTCAAGATGCTGCCCAGGGCTGCAGTCATCCGAAGGCTTTACTAGGGGTAGAGGGTTTACTTCCAAGAGGGCTGACTCAAATGGCTTTTGGCAGGAGGCCTTAGTTCTTTTCTACATGAATCTCTCCCTAGGATTGCTTGAATGTCCTCATCACATAGTACCTGATTTCCTTCAGAGCATGTTATTCAAGAGAGAGCAAGGAAAGGAAGTTGCAGTGTCTTAGAAAAACCACATCATCACTTCTGCAATATTTTATTAATTAGAAGCAAGTCACTATGCCCGACTCACCCTCAATTGAAGGGGAATTAAGCTCCACCTCTTGAAGAAAGAAGAATCAGAAATTTGTGTGCATATTTGAAAACCATCACACATGATATCATCAGTATAGTGGGTTATGGTGTTGATGTGCGGAGTATCCAGACAGTCCAAGTCCCTTTAGGTTATATTATGACAGAGGGCATGAGAATTAGCCCTGCTCAGTGCTGTAAAAGTCTGTGTCATTCCCGTGCTTTTGTTTCTCTTTCTTTACAGGAATAGAAATGAATACATTTGCCAATCAATGCAAGGTACCTGAGGCCAGGTTAATCAGTTTGTTCTAGCAAAGATATATCTCGCATAACAAAAGCAATTGGGGCAACTATTTGGTTGAGTTTATTATCCCCCAGGATCAGACCAATTTTTGCAAGGGCCTGACAGGTGAATTAAATGAGGATGAGTGAGGGCCATCACTCTGCATCCTTTAGGTCTTAAAGAGAAGCACTAATCTCGGCCATGTTTCCCAGGATGCAATATCACTTTCTTATTTACTATCTTACTGAGAAAGTGAATTTTGTTTCAGCTATTCCTCTTGGTCTCCCCTGCTAACATAGCTTTTACCCCACAGTACAAGGAATCACTGCAGAGATTCTACCAGCTACCAAGGATATCTATTCCAATTACACATCAGGAAACCAGAGAAATGACCCTTTCCTACTTTCTTTTTCTCCATAGCACTTGTCACTATCTAACCTATGTTACACTATTCATTTTATTTATTATTTGTCTCCTCAATGAATATAATCTCTATAAGGGAAGGCAGTTTTGTCTTTCCCTAACTGATTTTTTCCCCATGATTACAAATTACCTAACACATCATTGCCATTTTATAGTTCTAGCACATAGCAAGTGTGCAATAAATATTTGCTGAATGAAAGAATGAATATGAATGTTGCTGTCATTGAATAATAATATGAATGTTGTTATTATTGTTCTAATTGTCCCTAAGATTTTTCCGCCTCTCTCAGCAAATGTGAATCCAAGTGTGAAACATTCACTCTGGGGCAAATTAGGGAAAGGTTTCCACAAAGGATCACAGATTGCCATTGCACTTCAAGTCTTTCATGGTGCACAGCACGTATGTTGAAGAGGTAGAAGGCAGATCAGGAGGGGCACCACTTCAAGGTTCTCAGCACCTTTTATATCTCTCTCTTCCCCCAATGTGGATTAAAGTACACATATTTAATCTCCTAAATTTTTCACTGGTAATTATTGGTGTTTTGGGATCACACACACACACACACACACACACCCGCCAAGGACATACATTAATTCTGAAAGACACTATGGTTTAAATCATAGATAGCAACTAGTTTGGCCTCCTAGAATCAAATTGCTTATTTTTAAAGCATTTGAATTAGTCATAAAATATTTAAATACTTTCAGGCTTCTTGTGAAAAAATAGAAAGATCTGGCTATTACCATTTTTACTAGTTCCTAGAAGTGAATGCTCACTTTTGGATGGGCATGTGCTTTCCATTTTATTACAGTCCTCACCACTCATTGTTGTCTCCTTCACACTGAGGCTGAATGACAGCTGCCATTCATCAATGTATGGCTGAGACCATTTTTCTTACAGTTAAGAAGAAAGTGATACCATTTTTATGTGTAAGTCCTTTTCAAAGTTGGAAAAATAAAATATAGACAAAGAGGAACATATATTTTAAGAAAAATGGAAAAAGAGTGTTTTGAGGATGTAAGGGGGAGCAAAGATCATGCCAAAGCATTTAATATATAATATGCAAATGAAGTATGACTGGGTCCATAGAGTGCAATTCAAGGAGTCAGGACCTTGAGTTTGCAATTCTTGCTCTAACCTAATAAAAATAAATAAGTCATATAGTCTACTTACCTCATAATTTGCATGGTACTTCTTTCCCTTTTTAGGGAAAGATTACAGATTTTTTAATCTGTAATTCTCATTATTATGTAAAGCACTTTAGTTTCTTTTCTTCATATTAACTTCTTCCCCCCAACACACATATAGACCCATTCACCTCCCAAATTTTGCCCTTTGGGAATAGAAATACAGAACTCTGTATTTCTCTGCTGTGGTTTGGATGTTTGTACCCCTAAACATCACATTGAAATTTAAGCCCCAATGTTGGAAGGGGGGCAAGGTTTGGGTCACAGGGGTGTATCCCTCATGAATGGCTTGGTGCCTTCTCTTGGTAATGAGTGAGTTCTCGCTCTATTCAAAGAGCCTGGCACCTCCTCAAACCCCCCTTCCTTCTCTGGCCATGGGAGCTCTGCACAAGCTAGACTTCCCTTCTTCCACCAGGAGTCAAAGCCACCTGAAGTTTTCACCAAGAGCAGATGCTGGTGCCATGCTTCTTGTACATCCTGCAGAATCATGTGTCGAATAAACGTCTTTTCTTTATAAATTACCCAGCCTCAGGTACTCCTTTATAGCAATCCAAATGGACCAAGATAGACTCATTGCTAGTTCTATGCTTTATAACTCGAGTCCTTATTTATACAAAGAAAAGCTTTGCAATTCTGGCTCAGAAAAGATTTAATTAAAATCTTAGCTAAGGATCCTCATTCTCTTTACTTTCAATATGGAGAAAAGAAAGAGAAGTATTTATTTTTCCAGTAGCTTTCAGTTGATAATTTTAGGATTTAATAGCTAAATTATAATAGCACAAGTAAAATTTTATGTTGGTAATTTAATTTCTGGGATACCCTTAGCTAATAAATACACTTGGTGATTAGAAAAATGGAACATCAGGCTGGGCGCAGTGGCTCATGCCTGTAATCCCAGCACTTTGGGAGGCCGAGGCGGGCGTATCACCTGAGGTCGGGAGTTCAAGACCAGCCTGGCCAACATGGTGAAACCCCATCTCTACTAAAAATACAAAAATTAGCTGAGCCTGGTGGCACGCACCTGTAATCCCAGCTATTTGGGAAGCTGAGGCAGAATTGCTCAGCTTCTGAGCAATTTGAGAGAGAATTGCTTGAATCTGGGAGGCAGAGGTTGCAGCGAGCTGAGGTCACGTCACTGCACTCCAGCCTGGGTGACAGAGGAAAACTCCATCTCAAAAAAAAAAAAAAAAAAAGAAAAGAAAAAAAAAAAGAAAAATGTAACATCAGGTAGAATTATCCAAGTGTTTTTGTTTTTATTTTTATTTTTATTTTTTTTTAAGGCCAAACACAAATCCATCACAATTCTGGCACTTACTTTAAATGATAGGGTATTGGGCCGTATTTGTCAATCTCTTGTAAAGAAACCAGGGTGTTTTTATATTTACCTGAATATGTCTTTCTACCTCCACCACCTTTTCCATATTCATTCATGTAAATTATAAAAGTAAGGCAGTTACTGAGCCCAATATTCACTGATAACAAAGCAGGAAGCTTATGGGTATGAATCAGAGTGTGGATGACTCATTAAAAGCCAAATGTTTGTACGGAAAGCTCCCCTAAAATGGCACAAAAGCAAATATTTATAAACATGTTAAGAAAGCATTGTGGAACTCTTGGGAGGAGGGGTTAAAATATTGCCACACATTCCTAATTACACTATTACAATAAAACATTGCTTTGCTACCATGAAGTCTGACCCAGGCTCTAAACTCTTTAGCAATGGGGTTGCTCTAATTAGCTATAATAAGACTGATCCTGACTCACAGTGTGTCCGGAATTGGTGGGTTCTTGGTCTCACTGACTTCAAGAATGAAGCCACGGATCCTCGCGGTGAGTGTTACAGTTGGCGCGTCTGGAGTTTGTTCCTTCTGGTGTTCGGATGTGTTCGGAGTTTCTTTCTTCTGGTGGGTTCGTGGTCTCGCTGGCTCAGGAGTGAAGCTGCAGACCTTCGCGGTGAGTGTTACAGCTCTTAAGGCGGTGCGTCTGGAGTTGTTCGTTCCTCCCGGTGGGCTGGTGGCCTCGCTGGCTTCAGGATTGAAGCTGCAGACCTTCCCGGTGAGTGTTACAGCTCATAAAAGCAGTGTGGACTCAAAGAGTGAGCAGTAGCAAGATTTACCACAAAGAGCGAAAGAACAAATCTCCCACAACATGGAAACGGACGCAAGCTGGTTGCCACTACTAGCTCAGGCAGCCTGGTTTTATTCTCTTATCTGGCCCCACCCACTTCCTGCTGATTGGTAGAGCCCAGTGGTCTGTTTTGACAGGGCGCTGATTGGTGCCTTTACAATCCCTGAGCTAGACAGAAAGGTTCTCTAAGTCCACACCAGATTAGCTAGATACAGAGTGTGGACACAAAGGTTCTCCAAGGCCTCACCAGAGTAGCTAGATACAGAGTGTCGATTGGTGCATTCACAAACCCTAAGCTAGACACAGGGTGCTGATTGGTGTTTTTACAAACCTTGAGCTAGATACAGAGTGCTGATTGGTGTATTTACAATCCCTGAGCTAGACATAAAGGTTCTCCACGTCCCCACCAGACTCAGGAGCCCAGATGGCTTCACCTCGTGGATCCCGCACCGGGGCTGCAGATAGATGGAGCTGCCTGCCAGTCCCGCGTTGTTCGCCCGCACTCCTCAGCCCTTGGGTGGTCGATGGGACTGGGCGCCATGGAGCAGGGGGTGGCGCTCGTCAAGGAGGCTCGGGCCGCACAGGAGCCCACGGAGGGGGTCGGAGGCTCAGGCATGGCGGGCTGCAGGTCCCGAGCCCTGCCCCGCGGGAAGGCAGCTAAGGCCCGGTGAGAAATCGAGTGCAGCGCCGGTGGGCCGGCACTGCTGGGGGACCCAGTACACCCTCCGCAGCCGCTGGCCCGGGTGCTAAGCCCCTCATTGCCCGGGGCCGGCAGGGCCGGCCGGGCCGGCCGGCTGCTCCGAGTGCGGGGCCCGCCAAGCCCACGCCCACCCGGAACTCCAGCTGGCCCGCAAGCGCCGCGCGCAGCCCCGGTTCCCGCTCGCGCCTCTCCCTCCACACCTCCCTGCAAGCTGAGGGAGCCGGCTCCGGCCTTGGCCAGCCCAGAACGGAGCTCCCACAGTGCAGCGGTGGGCTGAAGGGCTCCTCAAGTGCCGCCAAAGTGGGAGCCCAGGCAGAGGAGGCGCCGAGAGCGAGCAAGGGCTGTGAGAACTGCCAGCACACTGTCACCTCTCAACAGTACTTCTTATTTTGAGATATCATTCTATTTTGATAACTTCAGCCTCTCTCTATTTTTCCTTTTTTTTTTTTTTTTCCTGAGACGGAGTCTCGCTCTGTTGCCCAGGCTGGAGTGCAGTGGCGCAATCTCGGCTCACTGCAACCTCTGCCTCCTGGGTTCAAGCAATTCTCCTGCCTCAGCCTCCCGAGTAGCTGGGATTACAGGCATGTGCCACCATAACCGGCTAACTTCTGTATTTTTAGTAGAGATGGGGTTTCGCCATGTTGGCCTGGCTGGTCTCAAACTCCTGACCTCAAGTGATCCGCTCGCCCAAAGTGCTAGGATTACAGGCGTGAGCCACCACGCCCGGCCTGTTTTTCTTTCCTTTTTTGAAGACAAGGTCTTGCACTGTTGCCCAGGCTGGGGTTCAGTGGTGTGATCATAGCTCACTGCAGCCTCCAATTCCTGGCCTCAAGCAATCCTCCTGAGTCGGCCTCCCAAAATGCTGGGATTACAGGTGTAAGCCACTGCACCTGGACTATCTCTATTTTGAATGCATCAAAAATACATGTGCTACTTATGACAATTTTAAGTTTTCTGTAGATATTCCTCTTAATTGCAATCTGTACAGAGGACACAAGAAAAGGGCGATTAGAAATGGAAATTTGTTTCTTGATGAGGAAATCTTCAAGTAATGTAAGTATACATTTAAATTCTGCACCAGGATGTTGCCTATTTTTTTAAATGACTTTCTTTGTCCTCCAAGTAAATATAGAATGGCTGTTTGCTTTAATTCTAACACATACTTTTGGCACATTCCAGGTTCTTGCTTAGACTTCTCAGGCTCTAATTTGAAACCCCAGAGTCCTTTACCCAGACTGATCTGGGGCCTATGGTAAGTCAGCTCCTGTTAGAAGCTGTCTTCAAATAGGAGGTGATGATGGAGGTGGTGGAAGGCTAGTGTTTCTCTATCTGGTCCACATTTGAAAAGGCATCAGAAATTCAGGAGGTAATTAGGCCAAGGGGCAAACCCTCCTGCTAAACCAAGCTTTCTGTCCTTTTTCTGTGACTTCTACTGGGGATCTTGAGTTTGTTGGCATGTTTTAAAACGGATATTGAACCATGTAGTTATCCATAATTGAACTCAGCATTGAAGTAGGAAGCAGTACTCTTTCAGAATTTTATCTTGTATGTAAGAAACCAGTGGAAAGTACTTAGGATGGTGGCTGTAAGAGATGCAAGTGTCAAGGAGAGATAATGTCATTTTGGATCTGCATAGTTGGGGCTTGTGTTATCTACTTCTGTTGTAAAAATATGATGAGTCTATGTGGACCATGGTTACAGATACAACCCTGTTTCCTCAGTCAAGATCATGAGAAAATAGGTTCTCTGGATAACTGGATTTCCCAGATTTCTGAAGCTTTGCCTATTAAGCACAACAATGTAAATAAAATAATAAAATAAAATAACCATAGAAAATGGAAGAATCTCTGTGGAGTATGGCAGAAGGGGGTGGGGCAAAAGAGTGGAAGCTTTAACTTCTCTATGCTCTTCTGTATGAATACATTTTAAGTTAATATGTATTACTTTTACTATTTTAAAAGTTTACTTGAAACCATTTTTATATAAGTATATACATAACTTACATAAGTATAAGTATATAAGCATGTAAGCAAAACTTACACTTATATAAGTTGCCTTTCTAAACAGAGCCACAATGAGATTTATTTTGATGATTCACCATCATCATTATAAAAGTCAATTCCTCCCTATGCCATAAAGCAATGGCACCCTCAAACAGTCCTGGAGTATATGGAATGGTTTATTCCTACACTAACTCTCCTTAAATTTTTTATTTGTTTCTCATAAATTTTCTGCTGTTTGCTTTGCTGTGAGATAGTCAGCTGTCATTCCACATGGACAGAATTTGGCCTGTGTTTAGCAGCCTCCCTTAAGAAAAATTTTGTTTTAGAGACAGGGGCTGGCTCTGTCACCCAGCTGTATGTAGTTCAGTGATATGAGCACAGCTCACTGCAGCTTCAAACTCCTGGGTTTGAGTAATCCTCCTACCTCAGCTTCTCAAGTAGCTGGGACTGTATGCATGAGCCTCAGTGCCTGGCAAGAATTTTTTTTTGTTTTAATTTAATGCTCCTAATTAGCTAAGTGGTTGGTAAGTCACATAAACTAACTTCTTAGAAGCAAACAAAATAAAATTAAATGGGCATATAGTGAATACCAAAGGGTCACTCTTGTGAGCAGTGTACCAAGAATATAGCTTTCATGCATTTATTTGAAGGTCTCTATCTTATTCTTTCTATCTGGATCTCAGCTATGTTTTAGTTATTATATGTCACTGGATAAAAGAGTTATAGATAAAGGAAGTGATGTTCTGCTGTCATTTAATAAAATACTTCCAACATTTCTTCCCTGCTTTGTGAAAGTATTCACTGGTGGTCCAGGTAGATGCATGTGATGTTGAACTGGAGTTTTTCTCACTCTCCAGGCTAATTGAGATGATAGACCTGGATGTGCTGCCAGTTCTAGAATAATATTTAAACCAGAAGTAATTGCCAGCATTTGGATAACCAATGATTCATTTATAGTAAATGTTCCCTGGGTTTTATGCTCTCAGTACTCTTGAATATGTATCAGGTTTACCAAGCCCATATGAAAAAAACATACATGTAGGCTCTAGTCTACTAGGTAGATCAGACAAGACCAGCTGATTCACAGATATATGGAAATAGATCAAATACGTAGCATGTGTTTGAAAGGAACACTTTAGTTAGACAGGGAGTGGGGATTTTTTGACAATCCTTCTGAACATGAGTCAGAGTGTAGGTTTGCATGGGTGAGAGCGTGGGTGTATACATCTGTGGGTGTCAGAAAGAGACAGCCAGAGATAGATGGCTGCAGTTCCTAGCTAGTAAAATGACTATAATAGTAAAATAAATTTAAAGGCATAGAGCTTTATGGAGCCCTTTAAAATAGTTTTAGATAAACAATGTCTACAGACTTACCTGAAATACCAATTGCTTCCTGCAAAGAATTTAAATTACCCCTCCTTATACAATACCAGGCAATTTTCATTTACCACTTATTTGAAATTTGGTAATTATCACAAATGAAACCCTATCTTACATTCTTAGCAGTCAAAATTTTTTTAAATGAGAAAATTGAGATAAATTGGCGTATTTCTCATCTAGAAAATGACCTTCAGCTGTTCATAGGCCAAGAAATGACAGCAAATAACTTGCCAAAGAAAAAAGAGCTAAAATGGGTAATAGGAGAAGCAGAATTTTATCTACAGTGATAACAAGATGATTTCTGATACACTTACCAGCATCTAGTAATTGGGCAACACAAAAATGTAAAAAGTGGGAATTGCCTATATAATTACTTGCCTGGTTTTACCTGGGAGAATAATGTAGATGACATGGAGTCTATGCGTAGAAACGCCATTTAACAAGAAATTCCCAGATTCTCATTGTTTTTTGATAATTCCATGATGGCGAGTTTGAATTTATGTGCAAGTTGAGAGTTTACAAAGCTACACAGAATTTCACCTGAAACTAAAGCAAATAACACCAGAAAGAAAGAGGTGATGGATCAATATGCACAGATGGGATCATTCACTATGCTGTTTTGAGCCAGTCTGGTGTGCCTCCTCCCCGTGTTTGTTTCTAGAATTCCGGCCCTGCACCTGTCCTCAGAAAACTCAACCCTTGAATTAACAGTTAAAGAAGCTGATAGACACTGTTTGTACTAAGTGCTATTACACAGATGTCAATGGAAGATGCAATTATTAATTCTTCACCTACCAATGGTGATTTTTTTCCAAAGCAGAACTATTTTTTCTAATTATAAAAATAATGCACGCTCATAAAAATTCAGATATGATAGAAAAGTATCATTTGCTCATGTAAGGAAAATTCACTTAAAGCCATTAGACACTAAAAGGAGAAAAGAATCAGGGCTTCCTTACATATTCCTCCTTTGTAAACGAACCTCTCCACTCCTTGGCATACATCACTTTTCATCATTAACTGGAGGAGAAAAGGTCACGCAGTGTACTTGCCTAGTGGGCCAGAGACCTGGCTCACTCTTTGTTGCTACTACCCTTTATGGCCATGCACTATTATTAGTTTTCACATAATGTAAGCGCAATATAAATTTATTTCACAAGCTACTTTAGACTTGGAAAAATCCAAAACAATTGCATCTGCTTCTTGTGCATTAGTAAGATCACTCCTGCACTCATAAGAAGGAAGTTCTCGCCTCTATTCTAAAGTCCTGATTCTTTATCTCTCCTTCCCTGTCACAGTTAGGAAGTCAAATCCCACTTAACCAGTGTGTGGATGAGTAATGGTAGCCGTGAACCTTCACTAGGTTTGGGGCTCTTAATGTGGAGGATGAATAAGATACAGAGAATGTGAGAGCCTTGTGCTAGTCAGAGCAGGATAGACTTATGTTGCAGTTACCCAATTAATCTGAATCCACAGTGGCTTAACACAAGAAAGGTTTGTTTCTTGCTCATGCTACATATTCATCATGGATGGGAGGGGCCCCACTCTAGGACTCAGGATGATGGAAGTTCTGCCATCGTGCAGCTGCATCTGCTCCCTATTACCATGCCCTCCTTTTTTTTTTTAACCATTAATTCCAATTTGAGTTGGCTGAAAATAGCAACATGCCTGGATTTGTCAGGCCAATTTCTGTAACAATTAGTTGTCTCTGGTTTTTAGAATTCTGGGTACTTTTTATTTTGTTTATCTGCATGTTATAGTTTGTCTATAATCTCAGGGGTTTAAGACAATAGAATTTAAGTCAGGTGTGGTGACTCATGCCTGTAATACCAGCTCTTTGGGAGAGCTCAGGAATTTGAGACCAGCCTGGGCAACATAGTGAAACCCCGTCCCTACAAAAAATACAAAAATTAGCTGGGCGCTGTGGCCTGCAGTCCCAGCTACTCGGGAGGCTGAGGTGAGAGGATCCCTTGAGCCTGGGAGACAGAGGTTGCAGTAAACTGTGTTCATGCCCCTGCACTCCAGCCTGGGTAACAGAGTGAGACACTGCATCAAAAACCAAAAAAAGACAGTAGAACTTATTAATTGCACGTGTAATAGTTCAGTGTGGCTATTCAATGAGCTGCCTTGCATGAGGTGATTCAGGGACATGGGCTCCTCCTTCCTCTGCCATCCCCCAGGCCTTCAGAGTCCTCTGCTGGTTCCTCTATATCAGGCAGAGAGACCCAAGAAGAAAAGGATCAGGGGCCAGGTTTGGAAGCAGCATATATCATTTCCACCCACAATTCTGTTGGCCAGAATTCATGATCACACTTAACCTCAAGGGAGCCTGGGAGCTGTAGTCGTCTGTGTGCACAGGAGGAAAAAGAAGAGGTTTGGTGACAGTCTCAGAAGAGGAACTAAGGAATCTGACTGCAGTTAGATATGTCTGAGGAAAAGAACATTATTTCTATTGCATTGTTCTTATTTCCTTCATTTATACTTAGATATTGTCTCTCACTTGTTTATTTCATTTTCTTTTAAAACCAGCTTTTAAAAATGTTAATATCCAGCTTTGTTGAGAGTATACAAAGGTGAACATAATAACACTTAGCTGGTTGGCATATAAACTGACATAATCTTACTGAAGGGAAATTTGTGTATATGAATCAAAAACCTTTAAAGGACTATAGTCACCAGTTCTACTTCCAGAATTTTATCCTGGGGAAATAAGCAGGTAATAGAAACAGATGTATGGATTTATCATAGCATTGCTTATAGTGGTGAAACACTTCCATGACATAAATGTCCAACAATTGGAAGTAAAATAATAATGCTACTTTTAATAAAGATCATGTGGCCGTGAATGATTCCATAGGTGTCTATTTAGTGAAATTGAATGATATTCCTTATACATTAAGAGAAAATACAAGTTCACAATCTCTATGTCTGGAATATTCCCATTCTGGTTTTTCAAAGGATGATTTTACACACACACACACACACACACACACACACATATCAGGAATATATATGTGTGTGTGTGTGTGTGTGTGTGTGTGTGTGTGTGTGGGGTTTGTGTGTGTGTGTGCATGATTTTTTACCTAATTATTTTTCTCTGGGCATTCTGAATCTGGGTGAGTTTCTTTTTTTTCCTTTTTTGCTCACTTGTGTTTTCCATATAAACAGGTGATGTTGTCTAAAAAAGAAATCTTTCATATTTTAAAGCAAAAAACCCAAACCCTTAATATTTAAAACAAAAACACAGTTTTAACTCATAGACATCTCAAAGGAAAAACAAAACAAAATACCACCTGCTTACCCACACTGGCTTGGATAAAGGGTAACAAACATCTCTTCCAGATGGACCTTGCCTGAACACCTGGAGGAATCTAGATTGGGGTGTGGGGTGTGTGGGGGTGGGTTACATGCCATATTCTTGACTGGGCCCTTGTCTCTGCACCGGGCTTAAGCAGATTGTCGGGTCCATGCATAGTTGCTGTTCATTCCTCACCTCCCTCACTCTGACAATGGTCTGCTTTCTTTTCCCTGAGTAGGAAACCTGCAGAGGCAGCTGGCTTGTGATACTTTGTGTAGGCATGTGAGTTACATGCAAATCACATGCAGAGTCACTCAGAATCCTTTCTCAGATGGTCCAAGTCAAGAATATTTGTCTTAAGTCTGTAGTATGATACCTAAAAACGGGCATGTACTTATGATATTTCTCTTAATTTCTCCCAGAATAAGTCAAATTACTGTAAGAAGAGGTTTCAGCTTTTAAGTTCACTATTCTTTTTGGAGTTATCCATGCATGCATGCTTACAAAAATTAAATTATTTTCAAAGACAGAATAATTTTTCCACCACAGTTAAACTCAAAGTAAATGAAGAGCTAGAACATGATACTTTCCTCTAAGAATAGACATTCTTTATAGTTCAAATTACTTGCAATATGGATTTATAATAGCAGAAAGATGGGACAAAATTTTAATCACTTTCAGTGTTAAGAATAGTGATTTTATGAACTGTAGACTTAACTCAGCAAAATCACACATCTCTGTCACCTACACACACTTTCTTTCTTTCTTTTTTTTTTTTGAGACAGAGTGTCACTGTCACCCAGGCTGGAGTGCAATGGCGCGATCTTGGCTCACTGCAAGCTCTGCCTCCTGGGTTCATGCTATTCTCCTGCCTCAGCCTCCCAAGTAGCTGAGACTACAGGCGCCTGCTACCACGCCCGGCTAATTTTTTGTATTTTTAGTAGAGATGGGTTTCACTGTGTTAGCCAGGATGGTCTCGATCTCCTGACCTCGTGATCCGCCCACCTCAGCCTCCCAAAGTGCTGGGAATACAGGCGTGTGCCACCACGCCCGGCTACAAAGTTCACATCTGCTAAAATTATATTCATTCACAAATTAATTCAAAGAAGTGTACTATTTATTTAGAGACAAGATCTTGCTCTGCCACCCAGGCTGGAGGGCAACAGGGCGATCATGGCTCACTGCAGCCTCAACCTCTTGGGTTCAAGTGATCCTCCTACCTCAGCCTCCTGAGTAGCTGGGACTAAAGTGTGCATGCCATCATGCCTGGCAAAAGATGTGTACTTTTTGAAAGACATTATCTACAATAAAAAATCAAAGCCAATCTTGGTTCTCTATTAAAAAATCAACTTGTGTAAAATCAGTATACTCGTCAGAAAATTATTATAAAACTAAGACAAAACACAACATACCAAAATGTCACTTTGTTTGCTACATTTCAACACCCTATACTTGCCTAGGTTGCCTTTTGGTTTTTCAAACAGGATGAAAAAGAGGAAATGCTGATAATTATATGCAACTCTTGTTGATTTTATTGATTAGCAGTAAGTTGAGAATTTTCTCTTCCAACAGAGGAAGATAAGATGTTAACTCTCATAATCACTTAGGATTTATTTATTTATTTATTTATTTATTTATTTATTTATTTATTTTAGAGATGAGCCCTCTATGTTATTCAGGATGGCCTCAAACCCCTGGGCTCAAGGAATCCTCCCAACTCAGTCTCCCAAGTGGCTGGGACTATAGGTGCTGGTGACTATAGTGTCACCTCTGCTGTGCACCTCTACTGTGCACAGGTGACTGTGTGCACCTCTACTGTGTGGACAGTTGAATCCTGACGGTGCTTCAACTCAGTCACTGTATATACACACTGCAGATTGCATGTATGTAGGCATGAACATGCCAAGAGGTGTGTTGATCTGGGTATCTCTGCTTTAGGGACCTGGGTGGTGTTTGTGTATGAGTCTGCATATAGTCACCTGACTCGCTCAGAATTTTAACAGGGGGTAAGAGAGAATTAGTCCCTGAGGGGAGGCGAAATAAAGTGCTAGTGTTGGGGTGAAAGGTCTAGGAAAGAGACTAGTGGTGGACCCGTTGCCTCCTTCATTTCCCTGGTTAGGCTCAGGCTGTATGTTTCCATAAGCTACTGTCTTGCTAAGATACCTTTGCCACCATGAAGGATGCCGGGATCAACTAAAGGTGTCTTCTGGGGATAGCCTTGAGCTCAGTCCTCAATGTTACTTCTCCTCTCTGAGACTTTATGTCTCCTCATCCTTGGCTACTACCCTTGAGTGCCAGCTCTAAATGCTCATCCTCTGCTCCCGACACACCATTTCCAGCATCTCACTTCCTCAGTTCCATCATCAAACCACTGGTAAAAGACCTTGGTTATTCTGGGACTTTCATCCTCAACCACTGCCTGGGGCTGGCTGCCCAGAGGACATGGTGCTTTTCCATGGCTGAAAATAGATGTGTGGGGCAGGTTTGCTGCAACCAGCAGAAAGCAGAGAGAGAAAGCAGCTTGCTGATCTCACCTGAAAACGACCCTACAACCGTGTAGGGACCAGTGGGAGGGGCTAACACAAGTGTAGAGGTACCTGAGTGTACAATTTGCTCTCTGATAACCAGAGATCAAACAGTAATGGGCAAGAGAAAAGAGTAAGACTTAGCGACTCAAACTTATTTTGTTTTGAATCTATTTGACAAAGAAGCTGTCTGATGTTTTCTTATACACCCACTCATGTTCTCACTAGCCCTCAGCCATCTTCCAATCCCTCCCTTTCATACAATTCTGCCTCCAGCACATATCTTTTGGCTCACTACCCTGATTCTCCCACCTGCCAATCAGTGACCCCATTTCCATGCTTTTGAACTCTTCACTGTTACCCCACAGATAAGCATGATGCATGATGTGCATGATGCTTATCTATGGGATGTCCCTCGAGCATGCAGGCACTGCTGCATCTGGAACAGGCTTTTCTATAGGTGAGCAGGCTCTTCAGTTAACCTGTGTGGCTATACTATTACATTATGGAACATGTAGGTGTGTGTACCTCTACTGTGTGGACAGTTGAATCCTGACGGTGCTTTAACTCAATCACTGTATATACACACTGCAGATTGCATGTATGTAGGCATGAACATGCCAAGAGGTGTGTTGATCTGGGTATCTCTGCTTTAGGGACCTGGGTGGTGTTTGTGTGTGAGTCTGCATATGAGTACACCTGGATGTGTGTCTGAAGGCCCTGCTGATCACTTCCTACAAAGTTTGACTGTATGCTTCCAAATCGCTCCACTTATTAATATTACTCTTTTTTTCTTTCTGAATAATTTTATTGTGGCAAAATATGTATAACATGAAGTTTGTTCTTTTAACAAATTTTTTCTTTTCTTTAATTTTTTTTTTTTTAGAGACAAGGTATTACTATGTTGCCCAGGCTGGTCTTGAACTCCTGGGCTAAAATGATCCTCCTGCCTCAGCTTCCCAAGTGCTGGGAGTACAGGCATGAACCACCATGCATGGCTATTTTCACAGATTTTAAGTGTACAACTTAGTAGCATTAATTACATTCACAGTGTTGGGCAAACAATCACCGTTCCCCGCATTTTTCAACATCCAAACAGAAATTCTGAAACCATTAAGCAATAACTCCCTCTCCTTCTCTCCCCCAAGTCCCTGATAACCTCTAATCTACTCTGTCTCTATGAATTCACCCATTCTAGATATATCATGTAAGTGGAATCATACAATATTTATCCTTTTGTTTCTGGTTTATTTCATTTAGCATAATATTTTCAAGGTTCATTCACGTTGTAACATGTACATAACTTCATTTCTTTGGCTGAATAACATTCCACTGTGTATATATATCACATTCAATTTTTTCATTCATCTGGTCACAGACAGTTGGGTTGTTTTCATCTTTTGGATGTTGTAAATAAAGCTGCTATGAACATTGGCATTCAAGTATCTGTTCAATCCCTGTTTTTAATTCTTTTGGGTATATACCTAAGAACAGAATTGCTGGGAAAGGGAGTAATTCTAGGCTTAGCTTTTTAAGGAACCAAAACACTGTTTCAACAGTGGTTGCACCATTTTACATTGCCATTAGTAATGTATGAGGGTTCCAATTTCACCACATTCTCACAATACTTCTTTTATTTTCTTTTTATTTTATTATAGCCACTCTAGTAAGTGCAAATAGGTATCTCATTGTGATTTGGATTCACATTTCCCTGAGGATTATTGTTGTAGAACATTTTTATGTGCTTATTGGCTATTTTTATATTTTATTTGGAGAAATATCTATTCAAATCCTTTGCCCATTTTAAAATTGGGTGGCTTATCTTTTTTTTATTAAGTTCTTTATATATGCTGGATATTTACCCATTGTCAGATATTTTTTGTTTGTTTGTTTGTTTTTTATGATTATACTTTAAGTTCTACGGTACATGTGCACAACGTGCAGGTTTGTTACATATGTATACATGTGCCATGTTGGTGTGCTGCACCCATTAACTCGTCATTTACATTAGGTATATCTCCTAATGCTTTCCCTCCCCCCTCCCCCCACCCCACAACAGGCCCCGGTGTGTGATGTTCCCCTTTCTGTGTCTATGTGTTCTCATTGTACAATTCCCACCTATGAGTGAGAACGTGCAGTGTTTGGTTTTTTGTCCTTGCGATAGTTTGCTGAGAATGATGGTTTCCAGCTTCATCCATGTCCCTACAAAAGACATGAACTCATCATTTTTTATGGCTGCATAGTATTCAGTGGTGTATATGTGCCACATTTTCTTAATCCAGTCTATCATTGTTGGACATTTGGGTTGGTTCCAAGTCTTTGCTATTGTGAATAGTGCTGCAATAAACATACGTGTGCATGTGTCTTTATAGCAGCATGATTTATAATACTTCGGGTATATACCCAGTAATGGGATTGCTGGGTCAAATGGTATTTCTAGTTCTAGATCCTTGAGGAATCACCACACTGACTTCCACAATGGTTGAACTGGTTTACAGTCCCACCAACAGTGTAAAAGTGTTCCTGTTTCTCCACATCCTCTCCAGCACCTGTTGTTCCCTGACTTTTTAATGATTGCCATTCTAAATGGTGTGAGATGGTATCTCATTGTGGTTTTGATTTGCATTTCTCTGATGGCCAGTGATGATGAGCATTTTTTCATATGTCTTTTGGCTGCATAAATGTCTTCTTTTGAGAAATGTCTGTTCATATCCTTCACCCACTTGTTGATGGGGTTGTTTGTTTTTTTCTTGTAAATTTGTTTGAGTTCTTGGTAGATTCTGGATATTAGCCCCTTGTCAGATGAGTAGATTGCAAAAATTTTCTCCCATTCTGTAGGTTTCCTGTTCACTCTGATGGCAGTTTCTTTTGCTGTGCAGAAGCTCTTTAGTTTAATTAGATCCCATTTGTCAATTTTGGCTTTTGATGCCATTGCTTTTGGTGTCTTAGACATGCAGTCCTTGCCCATGCCTATGTCCTGAATGGTATTGCCTAGGTTTTCTTCTAGGGTTTTTATGGTTTTAGGTCTAACATTTAAGTCTTTAATCCATCTTGAATTAATTTTTGTATAAGGTGTAAGGAAGGGATCCAGTTTCAGCTTTCTATATATGGCTAGCCAGTTTTCTCAGCACCATTTATTAAATAGGGAATCCTTTCCCCAT
Source organism: Homo sapiens (assembly GCF_000001405.40). Lineage (NCBI taxonomy): Eukaryota > Metazoa > Chordata > Mammalia > Primates > Hominidae > Homo > Homo sapiens. The sequence goes on from NC_000002.12 coordinate 190,773,522, forward strand.
TTCTTGTTTTTGTCAGGTTTGCCAAAGATCAGATAGTTGTAGATATGTAGCATTATTTCTGAGGGCTCTGTTCTGTTCCATTGGTCTATATCTCTGTTTTGGTACCAGTACCGTGCTGTTTTGGTTACTGTAGCCTTGTCGTATAGTTTGAAGTCAGGTAGCATGATGCCTCTAGCTTTGTTCTTTTGTCTTAGGATTGACTTGGCAATGCGGGCTCTTTTTTCCTTCCATATGAACTTTAAAGTAGTTTTTTCCAATTCTGTGAAGAAAGTCATTGGTAGCTTGATGGGGATGGCATTGAATCTATAAATTACCTTAGGCAGTATGGCCATTTTCATGATATTGATTCTTCCTATCTGTGAGCATGGAATGTTCTTCCATTTGTTTGTATCCTCTTTTATTTCATTGAGCAGTGGTTTGTAGTTCTCCTTGAAGAGGTTCTTCACATCCCTTGTAAGTTGGATTCCTAGGTATTTTATTCTCTTTATAGCAATTGTGAATGGGAGTTCACTCATGATTTGGCTCTCTGTCTGTTATTGGTGTATAAGAATGCTTGTGAGTTTTGCACATTGATTTTGTATGCTGAGACTTTGCTGAAGGTGCTTATCAGCTTAAGGAGATTTTGGGCTAAGACGATGGGGTTTTCTAGATATACAATCATGTCATCTGCAAACAGGGACAATTTGACTTCCTCTTTTCCTAATTGAATACCCTTTATTTCCTTCTCCTACCTGATTGCCCTGGCCAGAACTTCCAATACTATGTTGAATAGGAGTGGTGAGAGAGGGCATCCCTGTCTTGTGCCAGTTTTCAAAGGGAATGCTTCCAGTTTTTGCCATTCAGTATGATATTGGCTGTGGGTTTGTCATAGATAGCTCTTATTATTTTGAGATACGCCTCATCAATACCTAATTTATTGAGAGTTTTTAGCGTGAAGGGCTGTTGAATTTTGTCAAAGGCCTTTTCTGCATCTATTGAGATAATCATGTGGTTTTTGTCTTTGGTTCTGTTTATATGCTGGATTACGTTTATTGATTTGCATATGTTGAACCAGCCTTGCATGCCAGGGATGAAGCCCACTTGATCATGGTGGATAAGATTTTGATGTGCTGCTGGATTTGGTTTGCCAGTATTTTACTGAGGATTTTTGCATCGCTGTTCATCAGGGATATTGGTCTAAAATTCTCTTTTTTTGTTGTGTCTGTGCCAGGCTTTGATATCAGGATAATGCTGGCCTCATAAAATGAGTGAGGGAGGATTCCCTCTTTTCCTATTGATTGGAATAGTTTCAGAAGGAATGGTACCAGCTCCTCCTTGGACCTCTGGTGGAATTCGGCTGTGAATCCTTCTGGTCCTGGACTTTTTTTGGTTGGTAAGCTATTAATTATTGCCTCAATTTCAGAGCCTGTTATTGGTCTAGTAAAAGATTCAACTTCTTCCTGGTTTAGTCTTGGGAGTGTGTATGTGTCGAGGAATTTATCCATTTCTTCTAGATTTTCAAGTTTATTTGCATAGAGGTGTTTATAGTATTCTCTGATGGTAGTTTGTGTTTCTGTGGGATCAGTGGTGATATGCCCTTTACCATTTTTTATTGTGTCTATTTGATTCTTCTCTCTTTTCTTCTTTATTAGTCCTGCTAGTGGTCTATCAATTTTGTTGATCTTTTCAAAAAACCAGCTCCTGGATTCATTGACTTTTTGAAGGGTTTTTTGTGTCTCTATCTCCTTCAGTTCTGCTCTGATCTTAGTTATTTCTTGCCTTCTGCTAGCTTTTTGAAGGTGACAGCTCTTCCTTCTCTAGTTCTTTTAATTGTGATGTTAGGTTGTCAATTTTAGATCTTTCCTGCTTTCTCTTGAGGGCATTTAGTGCTATAAATTTCCCTCTACACACTGCTTTGAATGTGTCCCAGAAATTCTGGTATGTTGTGTCTTTGTTCTCATTGGTTTCAAAGAACATCTTTATTTCTGCCTTCATTTCGTTATGTACCTAGTAGTCATTCAGGAGCAGGTTGTTCAGTTTCCATGTACTTGAGTGGTTTTGAGTGAGTTTCTTAATCCTGAGTTCCAGTTTGATTGCACTGTGGTCTGAGAGACAGTTTGTTATAATTTCTGTTCTTTTACATTTGCTGAGGAGTGCTTTACTTCCAACTATGTGGTCAATTTTAGAATAAGTGCGGTGTGGTGCTGAGAAGAATGTATATTCTGTTGATTTGGGGTGGAGAGTTCTGTAGATGTCTATTAGGTCCGCTTGGTGCAGAGCTGAATTCAGTTCCTGGATATCCTTGTTAACTTTCTGTCTCGTTGATCTGTCTAATGTTGACAGTGGGGTGTTAAAGTCTCCCATTATTATTGTGTGGGAGTCTAAGTCTCTTTGTAGGTCTCTAAGGACTTGCTTTATGAATCTGGTTGCTCCTGTATTGGGTGCATATATATTTAGGATAGTTAGCTCTTCTTGATGAATTAATCCCTTTACCATTAGTAATGGCCTTCTTTGTCTCTTTTGATCTTTGTTGGTTTAAAGTCTGTTTTACCAGAGACTAGGATTGCAACCCCTGCTTTTTTTTGTTTTCCATTTGCTTGGTAGATCTTCCTCCATCCCTTTATTTTGAGCCTATGTGTGTCTCTGCACATGAGATGAGTTTCCTGAATACAGCACACAGATGGTTCTTGACTCTTTATCCAATTTGCCAGTCTGTGTCTTTTAATTGGAGCATTTAGCCCATTTGCATTTAAAGTTAATATTGTTATGTGTGAATTAGATCCTGTCATTATGATGTTAGCTGGTTATTTTGCTCGTTAGTTGATGCAGTTTTTTCCTAGCCTCAATGGTCTTTACAATTTGGCATGTTTTTGCAATGGCTGGTAGCGGTTGTTCCTTTCCATGTTTAGTGCTTCCTTCAGGAGCTCTTGTAGGGCAGGTCTGGTGGTGACAAATCTCTCAGCATTTGCTTGTCTGTAAAGTATTTTATATCTCCTTCACTTATGAAGCTTAGTTTGGCTGGATACGAAATTCTGGGTTGAAAATTCCTTTCTTTAAGAATGTTGAATATTGGCCCCCACTCTCTTCTGGCTTGTAGAGTTTCTGCCAAGAGATCAGCTGTTAGTCTGATGGGCTTCCCTTTGTGGGTAACCCAACCTTTCTCTCTGGCTGCCCTTAACATTTTTTCCTTCATTTCAACTTTGGTGAATCTGACAATTATGTGTCTTGGTTTTGGTCTTCTCAAAGAGTATCTTTGTGGCGTTCTCTGTATTTCCTGAATTTGAATGTTAGCCTGCCTTGGTAGATTGGGGAAGTTCTCCTGGATAATATCCTGCAGAGTGTTTTCCAACTTGGTTCCATTCTCCCCATCACTTTCAGGTACACCAATCAGACGGAGATTTGGTCTTTTCACATAGTCCCATATTTCTTGGAGGCTTTGTTCGTTTCTTTTTATTCTTTTTTCTCTAAACTTCTCTTCTCACTTCATTTCATTCATTTGATCTTCCATCACTGATAACCTTTCTTCCAGTTGATTGAATCGGCTACTGAAGCTTCTGCATTTGTCACATAGTTCTCGTGCCATGGTTTTCAGCTCTGTCAGGTCCTTTAAGGACTTCTCTGCATTGGTTATTCTAGTTAGCCATTCGTCTAATATTTTTTCAAGGTTTTTAACTTCTTTGCCATGGGTTTGAACTTCCTTCTTTAGCTCAGAGAAGTTTGATCATCTGAAGCCTTCTTCTCTCAACTCGTCAAAGTCATTCTCTGTCCAGCTTTGGTCTGTTGCTGGTGAGGAGCTGCGTTCCTTCAGAGGAGGAGAGGCGCTCTGATTTTTAGAATTTTCAGTTTTTCTGCTCTGTTTTTTCGCCATCTTTGTGGTTTTATCTACCTTTGGTCTTTGATGGTGGTAATGGACAGATGGGGTTTTGGTGTGGATGTCCTTTCCTTCTAACAGTTGTTAGTTTTCCTTTTAACAGTCAGGACCCTCAGCTGCAGGTCTGTTGGAGTTTGCCAGAGTTCCACTCCAGACCCTGTTTGCCTGGGTATCAGCAGCGGATGCTGCAGAACAGCGAATATTGGTGAACAGCAAATGTTGCTGCCTGATCGTTCCTCTGGAAGTTTTGTCTCAGAGGGTACCCGGCTGTGTGAGGTGTCAGTCTGCCCCTACTGGGGGGTGCCTCCCAGTTAGGCTACTCAGGGGTCAGGGACCCACTTGAGGAGGCAGTCTGTCCGTTCTCAGATCTCAAGCTGGGTGCTGGGAGAACCACTACTGTCTTCAAAGCTGTCAGACAGGGACATTTAAGTCTGCAGAGGTTTCTACTGCCTTTTGTTTGCCTATGCCTTGCCCCCAGAGGTAGAGTCTACAAAGGCAGGCAGGCCTCCTTGAGCTGTGGTGGGTTCCACCCAGTTCGAGCTTCCCAGCTGCTTTGTTTACCTACTCAAGCCTCAGCAATGGTGGGCGCCCCTCCCCCAGCCTCGCTGCCACCTTGCAGTTTGATCTCAGACTGCTGTGCTAGCAATCAGCAAGGCTCTGTGGGTGTAGGATCCTCCGAGCCAGGCGCAGGATATAATCTCCTGGTGTGACGTTTGCTAAGACTGTCAGAAAAGCGCAGTATTAGGGTGGGAGTGACCCGATTTTCCAGGTGCCGTCTCTCACCCCTTTCCTTGGCTAGGAAAGGGAATTCCCTGACCCCTTGCACTTCCTGGGTGAGGTGATGCCTCGCCCTGCTTCAGCTCACACTCGGTGTGCTGCACCCACTGTCCTGCACCCACTGTCCAACAGTCCCCAGTGAGATGAACCCGGTACCTCAGTTGGAAATGCAGAAATCATTCGTCTTCTGCGTCGCTCACACTGGGAGCGGTAGACTGGAGCTGTTCCTATTTGGCCATCTTGGAACCGCCCCACTCAGATATTTTTATTTATAAATATTTTCTCTAATTCTATAAGTTGTCTTTTTAATTTCTTGATATCATCCTTTAATGCAAGAAGCATTTTAGTTTTGAGAATGTCCAACTTATCTATTTTTTCTTTTGTTGCTCATACTTTCAGGGTTATATCCAAATCCAGAGTAATGAAGATTTACCCCTATGTTGTCTTCTAAGACTTTCGTGGTTTCAGCTCTTATATTTAGATTGTTGATCCATTTTGAGTTAATGTTTTTATACGATGTGGGGTTGGGGTCACACTTCATTCTTTTGCATGTGAAAATCCAGCTGTCCCAACACCATTTGCTGAAAAGACTGCTGTTTTTCCATTGACTGGACTTGGCACCCTAGTCAAAAATCATTTGGCCATAGAAATACAGGTTTCCACTTGGACCCTAAATTCTACTCCATTGGTCTATGTGTGTCTATCTTTATACCAGTACCACACTGTTTTGATTACTGTAGCTTTATAGTAACTTTTGAAATCAGGAAGTGTGAGCCTCTGACTTTGTTATTTATTTTCAAGATTGTTTTGCCTATCTAGGGTTCCTCATAATTCCATATGTATCAGCTTTTCCAGATTGCTTTGGTAGTATTGGCATCTTAACAGCGTTAAGTTGGCCTACCCAGGAACATGGGATGCCTTTCCATTCATTTAGGTCTTCTTTAATTTCTTTCAGCAATGTTTTGTAGTTTTCAGTGTACAAGTCTTTTACCTCCTTGATTAAATTTTTGTTTTGTTTTGCTTTATAGCACTTTTTTGTCTTGTTTTTAATTGACAAATAAAAATTGTATATATTTACAGTGTACAACATGATATTTTGAAATATGTGTGCCTTGTGGAATGACTAAACCTAGCTAATTAGCATATGTATTACCTCACCTATTTATAATTACTTTTGTAACGAGAAATCTTAAAATCTACTCTTTTGTGATTTTCAAGTAAACAATACATTGTTATTAACTATAGTTTTCATGTTGCACATCTCCTTGGTTAAATTTCTTCCTAGATATTTTATTCACCTTCTCCTTTGAGTTGGCTTGAAATCTTCCCCATTGTGCTTTACTACCCCATAAGACGTCCATAGTACATAGATTAGTGCCTAGCACATAGCAGACACTGAACAAAGGCTAATTGAACATAAGAATCTCCAAAATGATAGGATCTTATAACTTGACAAAAACAGTCATACAAATTCCATTCTTCTATAGACAAGGAAATGATGTTCAGAGAGATTAAGTTGCTTCCCCAAATAGCACTGCTAGCTAGGGGTAGAGCCAGACATTCACATCTCCCGAGAGTTTTCTGTGGATCAAAACGTAATCATTATATGCCACGATTCTGTCTGCTGGAGTAAATAAATTGGTGTGTTTATAAACTTGAGTGCTTGTCTTTGAGGATGGAGATTTTTAAGTGTCTGTTTCTCTATTTTCTGAAATGAATCTTAAAGGATTGGTGTACCTACAAAACTACAAAACTAGTTTCACATAGCTGAGTTAACAGTTATCAACAATTATAACAGATATATATCAATGAGGGTATCATATATAGAAGTCTCTATAGGTGTGTGTGTGTGTGTGTGTGTGTGTGTGTGTGTGTGTGTGTGTGTCTGTGTAGCAGGTAAGATGGCTGAGTGTTTTGGGAATGAATTAATCCACTAGAGTTTTCCATGGTGAGAACAGATGATCTTCCACTAGGCTTTAACTCCTAAATAATTTGTTTCATTATAGAATTATTTCCATTTAGAGAAAGAAGGGAAAAGAGAAGAACTGTGTCCCTGTTTACAAACTGGGGAATTCCTAATACGCTGCTTAAAAAAAAAAAACATATTTATTAGCTTTTAGGCTGACTCCCAAAGTAAGGGTAAATCAACCCGGGGCAGTGTTTAGCCTTGTTTTATTTCAGTCCTTTTCCATGCAGCTGGTCAGTCTCCAGTAATTCTCTTACCTGTCGTGACACAGCCTTCTCTCAGAACCTCCCAAAGGTGTTTGGTAATCATTGGTCTGGATATTGTCTCTGAGCCAATGATGTGAGACCAGAAACTCTCTGTTCCTGGACTTGGAGAGTTGCAGAGGGGAATTTTTAGTGCCTATCCAATATTCTTTTTTCTCCTATCCTTACTAACATCTCCCCCATTTTGTGTGTGTGTGTTTGAGGGGGAGCTATAATGTGCTCAGGAAAAACAAATCAACTACTACAAATCAAACAAACAAAAACTACATTTCTAATTCTCCTTTGCAGCTAGAGGTTGTCATTGAACCCAGGTATAAGCAAAAGTTTTTGGATGGGGCTTTCAGGAAAGACCTTTAAAATGGAGCTGACAGTTAACAAGTGCCTTTTACCCTTTGTACTCTGCCCTTCTTCTTGACTGGATTATAGCCATGACACACTGGAGGTAGAGCAACCCTCCTGTAATCACAGGCACCTGTGAGGGAGAGGTTAAGATGTCATGGAGATATCAACATGGTCTGTCTTCACTGCTGAGCCAATGCCCGCTACCACCTACCTCTGAAATTTTTGTTACACAAGAAAAGCCCCAAATTTGTTTAGGGGAATCTCCTTCACCAGTAGCTCAATTCAATTCTTAATTAATGTAAGAGCTTAAAGAGCTCCCTGAGATAATTTGAGTCAATGAACTCCTATATATCTTATTGGCAAATTAGACAAATTTAGAGTATATGTTATGGAAAAATTCTGAGAAGCCAAGAAAATGGTGGTGATATAAATCTGAGTTTGAACATACTCTCTCCCAAAACAATAAAGAAGATCAAATGAAACTACATAAAACCCATGTCTTCTACATAACTAGAAGACATGAAATGTCCAAATTTCAAATTAACTGTAAATAGAAAAATAAACACCAAACCCCAGCAAGTTGCCTCCTCCACTCCTAATACAAGCCCTTCAGGAACCAACAAAGTCAGCTGGAGAAAATCCGTGCAGAGTAGACAAGAGGGAAGCTAGTGGTGGACCTTAGATTGATCTGAAACAACCACCAGAGAGAGAACGTCGGCGCTAAGTTTGAAAATACTGAAAAGCACACTGGTAGATCAGGCTACTTACTACTGGGAAGGGACTTAACCATATGTGCTGCATGCGAGGAGATGGTCTTGTCCCACTTTTTGTGAGAGGAGATGGTCTTGGAAGGATAAGTAAGGCATCCTGGTAAAAAGGGTCAAAGGGACCCTCTTTTAGAGGCGAGCTCTGGAAATCTTGCAGTGAGAGGGAAATTGAAGAACCTGCAAGAATCTCTTCCCTTGCAAAACTGAAGGTAGCCCAGCCCCTTCTCCCATCATTCCCCTTCCAAATAATAATAATAAATAATAATAATAAGTTCAATTTTAAAAAAGAAAGAAAAAGAAGTTATACTTTGCCACACTGACAGAAGAGGGCGCTCTTGACCTAGGAATTTTGCAACCACCCCAACCCTTCCAGCCCTGTCCACAGAAAGGCGGATCAAAGTCTTCATCTAAGCAAAATCACCAGAATAAAAAGAACCCAAGCAATTCAACTGAGAAAAATTCCTCCCCCAAATAATGGCAAAGTGGAAGAAAACTAACACAACACTGAACTGAATTCAACGTCCTCAAGCACTTGGGAACATGGAAAAACACTTCAAATTACACATTCAGAAACTAGGTACAGAAACAGACATAAAAAAAGAAGAAATAAAATAAAAGTTGATTGAACTCAGGAAAGAAATAGAAGAAAGAATAGAAAAGCCATTATAAGCATTCCTATAAGATTTTAGATAAACTGAACTAAGACATTTTACACACGCGCACACACACACCACACATGCACACTATCCTTCAAGTTACATTTGAACAATTTCTTCACCATGTAGCTTTTGGGGGTTCATCCCAATTGGATATTTTGAGACATGCAATAAATGGTTCTGCTATTATTGCTATAATCACCATTACAGGTAACTGATTGGATGAGGACAGCAAGCGAGGGGAGGGAGTCTCGAGTAAAATGTCTGAGGCAAGATAATAGTTTGTCCAACTCCAGTGTTCACCTAGGCCAATGACTTTACAGATGAGATTCAGGGAGGTTACATAATGACCCAAGCTTCCCCAGAGCCAGTTAGTGACAGAAAGCACAAGGCAGAAAGCCTCCCTCTCCTTCTCTCTCCCCTTTTCCTCCTCTTACTTCAGAGGACAATGAGTGCCTCCTCCACCCTCCAGCAACCTCAGACCCTGTCACCTCACCCCTCAGCAGGATTCCCTCTTTTATATTCACTCTCCCCTTTTCTTCCGACCAATTCTTCCAGGCAGATACTCTCTGTCACCCTCATCCTGTAAAGCAAATACTCCAAACCACCTTCCCTTGATTCTGTCACTGCTGATTTTTCTCTTATCCTTAAACTTTTTTTTTCTTTTCTTTTTTTTTTCTTTTTTTTTTTTTTTTTTGAGATGGAGTCTCACTCTGTCGCCCAGCCTGGAGTGCAAAGGCGCAATCTCCGCTCACTGGAAGCTTCGCCTCCCAGGTTCACGCCATTCTCCTGCCTCAGCCTCCCAAGTAGCTGGGACTACAGGCACTCGCCACCACGCCCGGCTAATTTTTTGTATTTTTGCTAGAGACGGGGTTTCACCATGTTAGCCAGGATGGTCTTGATCTCCTGACCTTGTGATCCGCCCGCCTCAGCCTCCCAAAGTGCTGGGATTACAGGCCTGAGCCACCACACCCAGCCATCCTTAAACTTTTAAAAGAACTTGATACCAACCGTCGGCTCTCCCTCTCAACTCACTCCTGAAATTCTTGCAATCTGTTTTCCCCCATTCTCTCCTGAGCCCACGTGCTCGGAAACTGCTGGTCACTAGCTTCTAGACACTCCTATCCCTTGTTTTCTTGGACGCACAGCCCATTTTCTCTAGTCAATTCCCCATCTACTCATTTTCTTCCTCCCTCTTAAATGTATGCATTCCCTAAAGCTCTCCACTGCCTTTTCTTTTTGCCTGCACAGCTGCAGACTGCAAATATACATTTCCATACCTATCTGTTTCTCAGGTGTCTTTCCCTTATTGTCTTCTAGACATCATCCCTGGAATCCAGGAGGCTACCTGGAGCTCAACATGTCTAAAACTGAACTCCACACCCTCTATTCAGTTCTGTACTCACTCTTGAGCTCCAACTCAGAGTCCTTGATCTATTTTTTTGTGTTCTGTACCAAATCACCCATAAATTCTACTCAAAGCATTTATTGAGTATCTGATATGTGCAGGCACTGGATATGGGCCTGGGAGTATGAGATGAGTAAGACTTGTACTTACAGACTCAGTGGAAAGTCCTGTCCAATCAACACATACAACTTTCTTTCCACATTCACTGTCATCATTTTCATTTCCATGGTCACCCTCCTAGAGCAAGCCAGCTTTACCTCTGTTCTAGACTGGTAAAGCAGCCCCTTAAGAGATTTCTCTGGAACCAGCCTGGTTGAATGGAGTTGATCTCTGCTTTTATGCATTTTGTAGTTTAATACATCTACTTCTGTTTCCATTTTTCCATCTACTTGGAATATCCTCCACTGATCTTCCTATGTCACATCTGATCTGTCCTTTAATGCCTATCTCAAATTCTGGGCCTGCTTTGATATTTTGCCTGGTTTCCTGAGCTGGGAGTTGTGACTTCTTTCTCGGAACTCATGCAGACTTGTCTTCTGCACCTATGCTTTACCAGTTGTCCCTCTTGTTCAAGCTCATGGCACCATCAGTTAGGATTAGAATGTAAAAACCAGCTTTATATGATTAAAAAAAAACAGATCCATGATCAACTTCAAAAGAAATTATTTGTTCATTAGCTTACTATTTGTGTTACACCTTTTTATACCTTTTCTCTTGGAGGTTTGATAAACTAAACTACCAGAGAAGCTGAATATTCTAGTGTTACTAGATTTTGCTTAGCGCAAATAATGTGATTTCAAGAACTTCACATGAGGTCTTTTCAGCTTCATCATCTAGAAAATAGAAAAGTTATATTAAATGTACTTCACATCCTCTTTCAGATCTACCATTCTATAATTAAGGTGTCTCAAGGATTTGACTGTGTGGGAAACTCTGTTGATAGACTAATTTAACACCCATTCCCAGCTCCTCTCCTGTCCTCAGCTTCACTACAAAAGTTGGGAAAGCTGAATATTCACTTTACTATCCTTCTTTGCAGCTAGTGGCAGCCATGTAATCTCATGTATCTCATTCTGGCCAATGAGATATAAGCAGAACTCTATAAAGGAGAATTCTGGGAAGCTGTCATCACTCCTGTATTGGCAGAATTCTAAGATGGCCCCCGGGTATGTGTGTCCTATATAGTCCCCTTCCCTTGAGTATGGCAGAACCATGGGATATCACCCCCATCATTAGGTTACTAATCAGTTGACTTTGAGTCAATCAAAAGGGAAATTATCCTGGGTGGGCCTAACAGAATCTGGTGAGCCTTTGAAAAGAGAGATGATTTTCTATTGGCCTCCAGGAAGAAAGCAAGCAGCTATCTTTCCAATTGCCTTGAAGCAGCCTCTAGGAGCTCAGGGTCTTAGCCCTAGGAACTGAATTCTACCAACCACCAGTGAGCTTGAAAGAGTACCCTGAAGGCTGGGTGCGGTGGCTCAGGCCTGTAATCCCTGCACTTTGGGAGGCCGTGGTGGGCGGATCACGAGATCAGGAGATCAAGACCATCCTGGCTAACACGGTGAAACCCCGTCTCTACTAAAAATACAAAAAATTAGCCGGGCATGGTGGCGGGCGCCTGTAGTCCCTGCTACTTGGGAGGCTGAGGCAGGAGAATGGCGTGAACCCGGGAGGCGGAGCTTGCAGTGAGCCAAGATCGCACCACTGCACTCCAGCCTGGGCAACAGAGCAAGATTCCATCTCAAAAAAAAAAAAAGAAAAGAAAAGAAAAAGAAAGAGGACCCTGAGCTTCACATGACATTCGGCTTCTGCTGACACCATGATTGCAGCCTGGTGATTTCTTAAGCAGAGAACTCAGGCAAGCAGTGACCAGGCTCCCGACTTATAGAACTGTGAGATAGTAAATTCATGTTGTTTTACACTGCTATATTTTATGGCAGTCTGCTACACAGCAATAGAGAACCAATGCAACTAATACAACTCCTTTCCACCTAATCTCAAAAGTCAGGTGCTTAAAAAACTATCTTATAAAGTAAAGGCCAAGTGAATCATAAAGCCACTGCCCTGACCTCTTGCACCTTTAAAACTAAGGTGCAAGTCATCATGCAACCTCCCTGATTCTCATCTGTAAAGTCACTGGCCTAGGTGAACAGTAGAGTTTGACAAAACCTTTTTTATTTAGGCCAGAAAAAGAAATGTCTGCCTGTATGAGCCAATATGAAGTTAGCAAACGTTTCTTTTACTTGCAGTTAAAATAATTTCCAACTGATAAAGCAGACTTCCAAAAGCAGCATGAGCAAATTCTTATTTATTCATTGGCAAACATTTATAAAGCATACATAATGTTCCAGATAGGGGGAAAAATCTCCCAAAAATAAAAAAAAATTATTGCTTTCTATAGGCTCATAGCCTCCTGTAGCATGGAGCATGGGAGAGGGAAAAGGCAGACAAATCAAGATACAACTAAAATATAGAGTGGTTAGGCTATGACAGTTATAAACAGAAGGTCTTAGGGAAGCTCAAAGCAGGAATACCTAGCGCACACATTCAGGGTGGTAGGGAGGGAAGGGTTGAATTGGGAGGTTTAGGATATGGAGCAGAATTATGAGGGAGGCGTATGAGTTACTTGGAAGAAGCAGAGGAGGGAGTTTCTAGGCACAGAAGAGTAGAGGCCAATCAATAATCAACCAACAACCATCAAGCACCTGGTGTGAGGTAGGGGCACCTGCCAGATGCTACAGGGAGACGGAGATGTAAAGAACTTCGTCCCTGCCCCAGGTTTTTATAATCATGCTGCAGCGATGCTTCCCCTCCTCCACCCCAGCCCCCGCTCCCCCCCCCGCCCCTCCTCCCCACCCCCGGGGATGGAGCAGCCTGAGTGCTCTCTCTTGTCAACTAAGGACATTGCAAAAGGCACATGCCACCCTGTCGTGCTGCCTTGCTCCCCCAGATCATGCCCTTGGCAGCTGCCTCAGATATTACTGCTTCCAGAAAGTGGCTTACCAACTACGGTGGGAGAATCTAGGTCAAGGTCCTTCAGGAATGTGCTGTGCACAGGCAATTCAAGAAAAGAGAAATGAATTTGACAGGGAAGACAAGCCCTGCAGGTTTTGAAGTAGAATCTTGGAAGCCTGCAGGCTTGGTGAAACTATGCCATCTCTCTTATCAGATTATCGTTCTTAACAGCCTAGGAATTTGCTTGGAAATTATAGAAAGCCACTGTAAATCTTCTTTGAACAAGTAAAGGAACAAATATGTTGAAATAATAAAATGTGAATTCTGAAATAGGGCCTAGGGAAAAATACTGGAGGTAAAAAGACTAAGGCAGATACCATTGAAGGAAGGTGAGAGCAACAACAGAATGAATCATATTTCACCCAATTGACTTGTTTAATCATATTTGAGGAGCAGGGAGGGTTTATAATGGCTAAAAAGAAGGAACTGAGAGGCAGGAAGAACCAAATGTCATTCTTATCTCAGTGGGCATCTAAACCTCACCTGATTTTCCCAGGATGCTGGGGGAAACTTCCCTGTGGCAGCAGTTAAGAAGCTTGCCCAAGGGCTGAGCATTTTTATTTTGCTTTGTTTTGTTTTCATTTTTTTTTTTAATGTCATTGGCCAGGCACAGTGGCTCACACCTGTAATCCCAGCACTTTGGGAGGCCGAGGCAGGTGGATCACCTGAGGTCAGGAGTTCGAGGCCAGCCTGGCCACCATGGTGAAACCCAGTCTCTACTAAAAATACAAAAATTAGCTGGGCCTGGTGACGCATGCCGGTAATCTCAGCTACTTGGGAGGCTGAGGCAGGAGAATCGCTTGAACCTGGGAGGTGGAGTTTGCAGTGAGCTGAGATCACACCACTGCACTCCAGCCTGGGAGATGGAGAGAGACTTTGTCTTAAAAAAAACTTAAAAAAAAAAAGTCAGATTTACTGAGGTTTTATATATACATATATATATACACATATATATATACACACATATATATACACATATATATATACACACATATATATACACATATATATATACACACATATATATACACATATATATATACACACACACATACATACATACAGCAAATTTACCCCTTTTCAGTCTACAGTTTGATAAGATTTGACATATGCATACAGTCACATAACCACCACCACAAGGAAGGCATAGAATATTCCCACCACCCCAGAAAGCTGCCTTGTGCCTTTTTGTAGTCAACTCCTCTCCCCACCTTCTGCAAACCACTGACAGGATTTCTGTCTCTCTAGTTCCGCCTTTTCCAGAATGTCACATAAATGGAATCATATGGTAGATTGCCTTTTGTGTCTGGCTTCTTGCACTTCGCATAATGCAAGGCCAATTTTTAAAAGCTTCAGTATAAATGTTCTCTGCCAAGGTCATCTTTCCTTCAAATCTAAGGCAAAATGGATGAGCACCAATGTTCATGCTTGTCTTAACAAATTCACTGAAGTATGACTGTAGACCCTAAATCAAACCTGTGAAATGCGAAGCAGTTTCTCTCTGTAATCTATTCTGATGTGTTGGCTCAAGCTACACTTGTACAGTGCAAATGATAATAGAAGTCACAGTAAATGTGTAAATTAATATTGTTCTACTTATTAACATTTAGAAATACATAATTTCATTTTAATCAATCAAGACTATTTATAGGCCTATACTGTTGTCCTTAAGGAACTTGCAAACATATTACAAAGACAGTATACAATTAAATCATAGTATTTTATTGCTGAAAGAGGTTTTAGTGATGATTTAGTTATCACGCCATAGAATTTCACAGTTGACAATGGTCTTCAAGACTATCCAGACCTGCTCAACATCTTAGATTTGAATTTCCCTGCTGGTGGCAAACTCCAGAGCAGACATGCTAGATAAATGCGAAAAGCTGGCCAGTGGAAAGTGATGGGACCAGGGGCAAACTGGAGACAGTGTGACAGTGCCTATGGTCATTCAAACTCAATTTAAAGACAAATGCTGTGAAAAATCAATAAACACATATATTTGGGCTTGATTCAATCCTTGAGTCATCATACCAAAATCTCTTTCTATGTTAGTCCTCCCAGGTTTTGAGCTAGTGTTAGTGAAGCCTAGAATCTAGGTTTGTGTACCCGATGTACAGTAAGCCTAACATTGACACATCAGCATTTAGGAGCAGAGAGAAAGGTTTACTCGATTTAGCCAAAGTGAGAGGGCAGGAGAGGCAGTCTCTCAAATCTGACCTGCCTTGAACATAACTGAGGTATTTTATGAATAAGGTTGGTATGTGGGAGGTGGGATCTCTGATGCTCAAAGTTGTCTGCATTTGATCAGGCCAAGGACACCATCAAGGAGGTCTGCATAACCTAAGAATCATTTTTCTTTAAAAGAAAAACAGGCCGGGCACAGTGGCTCACACCTGTAATCCCAGCACTATAGGAGGCCAACGCAGGAGAATCACTTGAGTCCGGGAGTTTGAGACCAGCCTGGGCAACATGATGAGACCCCCCATCTCTACAAAAAATACAAAAATTAGCTAGGCATGGTGGTGCATGTCTGTGGTCCCAGCTACTCAGAAGGCTGAGGTTGGAGTATCACTTGGGCCTGGGAGGTTGAGTCTGCAGTGAGCTGTGATTGCTCCACTGCACTCCAGCCTGGGCAACAGAGAAAAGCCGTCTCAAAAAAAAACAAAGAAAAAAAGAAAAAGACAAAGAAAAACAAACTCATCAATCTCATGGGCAGCCCTGGGATTAGCATAGGAAGTTAATCAATTACTAGTGACTACCCTCTACCAAAGTGACTGTGTACAAGCAAGCATTCATGGAGGAAGAAAAGGAAAAGGGGGATAGGAAATAAGTAAAACAAACATCTTATGCTCTTTATAATAAAGGCTCAGCTACACTACTATAACAGGTGCTCCTGAGACCCTGGCCCATGTCTTTCCACTCTCACCAGTTTAATGGGTACCAGCCTGGCTTCTAACTGCCAGCAGCATAGCGTTTCTTTGCTATAGGATTTCTTGAACACTCAGCTCCTGCTTTAGTGCACTCTCACTGGGGAGGCAGGAAGTGTCAGGGGATTAAAATGGCCCTCCTAGAGCAGCTTTCCTCAACTGATGGAAATTTGTGTATAAATATTCCAGCTCCCTCCACCCACAGGGAGAAGACTGTACTTTACACCAGCCCCCAGAATTCTCAAGTGGGATTAGGGTTCCTGTTACCACAGTGGACTCTCTTTTGACCATATATCCTGTACTTCTGGGATCCTTTCCTTATCTCTCTTCCCCATTTCCTGCAGCCTTTCCTGAAATCAGCTGCCAGATAATCTACTTGTATGTGAATCTTCATCTCAGGGGCTGCCTCTGGGAGATCTCAAATTCATGTGGCTAAGAACACCCCCAGAAATGAGAGATTTATTGCATCCCAACACCCTTAGATATCTCTGACCCATAGAAATATCTTCCCCTTAACTGCGATGAAAAGTGTCTTTCTACAACTGGCATCTAGAGGTCCTCTTTATGGGATGATGTACTTTGTGTAAATTTGTCTAGAAATCTCCCACTTTAGAAAAGTCACTCAAACCCATTCTTAAACTACTTAAGTTTTCTGAAATATATTCTATATTTTACACACTGATCCATGGAAAAAAAAAAAAGGAAAGTTAACTGCTACACAAAGCCAGGAGTAAGCATCTAGAATGAAACATGCCCAAGGGAAGGAAAACCTCCAGAAATCTGGGGATTGGAGGAAAATTTCTCATTAAGCAAGATGTATTATTCTAAGTAAATCTATTAAGTAGATTTACTACTACTATTAGTTTTTAGTTAAATGCTAAGGGAAAGGTCAACCAAGAGGGCTGCAGAAGATGGGATCATTTTATTTACATAGATAATACACGTATCATTGTATATAATTTATGATCCTAGTATTCACAAGGGGAAGGATTGTAAAAAAATGTGCTGTCTTCATTTTCAACCTGACAGTTTTCAGGCTTGTGTGTTTCCTAGTCAAGTGTTTATGCTTGTTCTTGTATGTGCTATCTAAGAGGGTATCAAACGCTTTGTAGAGGTGCTGAAAAGGTATTACATTCTCAGCTTCTTTCCAAGAGGCATCCTCTGGGCCTCTTTAAGAGGCAAGAAAAGTTCTCAATTGTCTGAGCAGTATTCCGAGAGCATCTCCTACCTACTCCTTCTCATCTTGAGAGAAAGGGGAGTTTCAGGAGAGCCGAGACCTGGGTAAAATGAAGTGCAAAATACTGAAACAAGTAGATTTCAGAGCCCTTGTGAACATCGTTTCTGACATGATGTTTGAAGCAAAGTACTTGACAGACAGTTAAATGAACTAGTTTCTGCATTTTGAGGGTCTTTGTAGGATATCCATGGCCATTTTTTTTTTCACAACCTATTTCTGGGACATACACTGAAAGGACTGATTGCTTGCTAATATATCTTTTCTTATACAAAACCACTCTGTGAATATGCGTTCCTATAGTATTTATAAACAGTTTTTTTATTTGAAAGAGAGATAAACAAGTGATTATTAAATTCAAAGCTACACCTATTCCTCCCACTTCTTCTGCATCTGATATAATTACAACAAATCTGGGTTATGCATATGTGAACATCTTCTGGTTTTGATTGTCAAGCAATCAAATAACATTTCTTGCCCACACTCAGACCCATAATTTACATGCTTCTCTGCAGTGACACTTGATGCGGTTTAATTATAATGCTCTTCAATCCAGAAAGCTATTTAAAGGACGATGGAAGCTGTGCATTTTCAGTTCTTTCTCTCACAGACGATCCAGATATTTGTACCTGTAGCTGATCCCAAATTGAAACTTGATAAGTTGCGCATGACTTTTAACAGCAATAATTTTTCCTTTATAGAATAACTGATATTTTAAAATATGTATTTCTTTCTAAGAAAGCACGTCCTGCACAGTTTTCCATTTTGAATCTGTTTTTCCCCACACCATTAGAAGAAAGCATGGAAAATTTCACAATCATCTGCATTCTGTTTACAGCAAATATTTTTTCATTTCAGAGTGAAATTCTCAAGCCCCAAATGGGTAGGTGTTTTAATTCAGCATGGAAATAAAGAGTTGCTTTTTCTGGACATATTCCCTTCCTTTTCCTGGCAGTTACTGGTACCGACTTGCTCTTAATTATCTCCCATTCAATGCTAGTCATAACCACCCGCCCACTTCACACTTAGGCAGTCCTGCCCACAGCACTCACCCCAGCCCCCTCAGGCTGAATCATCAGCTCCCACCCCCGTCCTTCCTTTCCCACTGCCATTTCCTTTTTCGCTTCAATGCCCTTTATAGAGGGACATTCTTGCTTTTCCAAAGCTTTTTTCCTCATTCCTTATTACATCCCCTTTAAATTTTAGAAAAACCGTAATTCTTATGGAATTTAATTTTCTTCTCATCACTGAGGATGATTTGTGCTTGATGCACCATAGAATCTGTGTTCATTAGTTACCCATTAATTCTTGTGTACTTTAGGGGGACAGTAGAATTTGAGAAACTGGAAATCTATCACTTTCACTAAAACATACATAAGATGAAACTGAGTCACTTTGGAAGTTTCCACCATGGCAGAGACAAAGGAAGTCCCAGGCCTGGGCAATGTAAACAATCAACTTACAGTTTGACATTTCTGCTTTCAACATTCCACTCTCCCTGATTTTTTTTTTAATGCTATAATTAAGTCCTTTCAAATTGCTAACCCTAGAGCCTCTCTTTTTTCTTAGGCATACAAAGTATGGGAAGCTGAGGGCTCTAGAATTTGACACCTGCAGGTATCCTAGCTCTGATCAACCCACAGATATGTTGTACTGATACCAGCCCAGGCCATGAAGACACCATTAAACATTCCACCCCTATGTGGTTTTTACTTAAAGTACTCTAATATTGTCAGGAGGTATCCATGTATGAAGACATATTTCTCCGCATGTTCAGGACAAGTCATTCCTTATTATCTCATGAAGATTCTGCATACAGGTCTCACAGCTACCCCCAACATGCAAATAAAGAAAAGAAGACATCAAGTTCAAATGATCACTGATGGGGTTTCCTTTTGTTATGAAGCTTAGAGTTAAAAGAGATACACTTGGGCCAGGCGCGGTGGCTCAATGCCTGTAGTCCCAGCACTTTGGGAGGCCGAGACAGGTGGATCGTTTGAGGCCAGGAGTTTGAGACCAACCTGGCCAACATGGCGAAACCCCATCTCTACTAAAAATACACAGACTAGCTGGGCGTGGTGGTGCCCACCTGTAATCCCAGCTACTTGGGAGGCTGAGGCAGGAAAATAGCTTAAACCTGGGAGGCAGAGGATGCAGTGAGCAAGATTGCACCACTGCACTCCAGCCTGGGCAACAGAGTGAGACTCTGTCTCAAAAAAAACAAAAAAAAAAAAAAAAAAAAGAAAGAGAGATACACTAGGCCCAACGCCTCATTTTATGTGAGAAAGATGAGCTCCAAAGTCCTGATATGGACATACCAGCTCGGTGCTCTACTCAGCCATCCACCCGTCTCCAAACCTCAGATGCCCCACCCAGTGTCTGCGGCATGTTCCCCCTCTCAGTTCTATGAGCTCATGCCTTTTCAATTGTTCAATCATCCTCTAAAATTACTACCTTTCAACATGCCTTTTTGTTCTAACTGGGAGAGCGGTGGTGATTTCCTTTGGAATATCTGCCTGAAACAACCTTTTCAGGCTGCATTTTTTTCACTTGTAAAATGAAAGTCTGGATTAGATCATCATTAAGGTGGTTTCCAGGTCTTAAATTTTATGGGTTTCTAAGTGTAACGTATGAAATCTGCAAGCATGTATTGAGCACCTATTAAATGTGAGGTTCTGGCCAGAAACTGGGGGGACCAGGGTGCAGGCCTTCCCTCTACCACCTCATTCTATAAGTCTCAAAGAGGGCTAATTATCATTCAGTATGAAAAATGAAAAGATCAAGGTTTGTGTGCAGGGTTGGAGTGATTAATTCTGCCTGGGTGGTTGGTTAAGTAGAACACAGAGAAGACGACATTTGAACTGAAACTTAAGGGATGAGTTAATAGGCCTAG
Organism: Homo sapiens; assembly: GCF_000001405.40. Taxonomy (NCBI): domain Eukaryota; kingdom Metazoa; phylum Chordata; class Mammalia; order Primates; family Hominidae; genus Homo; species Homo sapiens. Next base: position 190,793,620 of record NC_000002.12, read on the forward strand.
ACAAGGAGAAAAATAATTTTCTAGATAGAACGAACAGGATCAGCAACAGCACAAAAACATGTGACTTTCTGCAACGTGAGCATACATAAGAGTAGTAGAGAATTAGGACTGAGTCCATATCCTCCAAGAAGTCATTTGTCCAGTGTATTAGTCAGCTAGGACTACATAGCAAAACATCTTAGAATGGGGGGCTTAACCAATAGGAATTTATTTTCTTACAGTTCTGAATGCTAGAAGCCCAAGATCAAGGTGTCAGCAGGTTTGGTTTCTCCTGAAGCCTCTCTTCTTGGCTTGTAAGTGGCTGCCTTCTTGCCATGTCCCCCCAAGGCCTTTCCTCTGTGCACTCTGACTCCTCTAATGAGGACACCAGTCCTTTGGAATTAGGACCTCAACCGTATGACCTCATTTAAGCTTAATTACTCCTTAAAGGCTCTATCTCCAAATACAGTGAAGTTGGGAGTTAGGGCTTCAATATATAAATTCTGGGGAACACAATTCTGTCTTTAACATCCAGCCACCTATTTTATTTGGAAAAGAGTGAGTAAAAGCCTCAAGGCAGCCACTATGGCCACCATAAGCTCTCTGCCTTAAAACTCAATCACCTCCTTCACAAGAAAATCCTTAGGCTTCACCTAAATGACTGCATATTTTGGTTTTATGTTCAATTTTTGGAGGGAAGTGTATTTGTGCTGCTATTTTAAAACAAAAACTGTACCGTAAGTGTGTGGGAAGCTTAGAGGAGGCAGACAGGTCAATAGCAATAAGAAATGGTTGCTGACGTTTTGTGTTTTCCAAAGATGGTCGCAATAACGTCTCCCATCCCACATGCTCTTCCCCAGAGGAACCTTATCACTTCCCCAGCAAGAAGTGGAGTCTAAATCTTGTCCCCTTGAATCTGTGACTGACCTTATGATTTGCTTGTTACTAACAGAATGGTGCCGTATGATTTCTGATGTCACAAGAAAAGGTCTCGAAGCTCCCACCTATTACTCTTGGAACACTTGCCTTTGGAAAGCCCCTCTTGGGGATTTTCATCTTGGACCTTAGTCATCATGCTGTGAAAATCTGAAGCCACGTGAAGTGGCCATGTGTAGGTATTCTGGTTGATAGTCCCAGCTAAGCCCAGCCTTTAGCAATTTCAGCCCAGGCACCAGACAGGTGAATGAAACACATTATGGAAGGAGCTTGTCCTGTCCCAGATGTTCCAGACCCAGCCATTGAAGTCACTCCCAGCTATCTGTCTTCCTAGCTGAAGCACCAGATATCACAGAGCAGAGAAGAGCTGTCCCCATGTGCCCTTTCCTGATCCACAGAACCTGAGAGCATAATACAATTTTTAAAATTCCACTAAGTTTGAGGTGGTTTGTTATATAGCAATAGTAAATGACTCAGACAGTGAAAACATTAAGGGAACAAGATTTTGAAAATACTTACAATAAGTAAGCAGATGAGTCAAAAATACAAAAATATAGTCTGGGTTATTTGGTATGGAAAAATAGCCCTGCACACCTCAATATTGTTCCTGAAAAGTTTTGTATTTGTAATATAGCATACTATTTGATGCTCACAATGATGTTCTAGTATCGTTAAGAAAATGTTAAATTTGATTCATGATAGGCAGGGAAAATAGATCATACATTTTAGAAAGATACAGTTCAAACTGGTTAATATTTTAATTGCTTAGATGCTTTAAAAGGAATACAAGTTTCCATGATCAGAAAAATGAGAAGATATTAACATTTTTGTTCTTCGATAATATTGGATAAATTAGGCTTCACTATAATTTTTAATTGAATATATTTCATAATTATTAATTTTTGTGTTGTCAAGAGGAAGTCTTGGGACCTAGCATATTATTATTCGTATATATACTTTGTCTTTTTCAAAACAGGATTTGATGCTCTGATGTTTGTTTAACCAGCTTTCTATCCCATAAAGCATATCACATATCATGGAATCATTAAGAAATACACTTTGACAATAGTAATAATGCGAAATTGTAACCTCCTTAAAGACCAGGAGCCATGTCCTGTTACTCCTTTGTGTACTCCCAATGTTGCCTAGCTCCATGCTTTGTATGTAATAGAAGCTCATAAAAGATTTGGTGAATTGAATTGAATTGACTGAATTGTGATCAGATCTTTAAATGACTTAATCTTAAGTCTAAAATTTCTCTCCAGAACACTATTGAGAAATCAGAAAAAAAAAAAAAAAAAAAAAAAAAAAAACTCAAGCAATCATTATCCTTAAGTAATACAAAGAAGTCATGTAAAAAACACCCACTTCTAAAATGGATATACTTATGCATTACAGTAAACACACCACATGACAGGCTTTTCTAGTTTTATTTACATTCAGTTTCACACTATTAAAGTGGTATTATAAAGAGCCCAGTTATAGTTCAGGTCAAAACTAACACTGAATGAGGAAGATTGTGTGTGTGGTTATGTGTGCACATGTGTGTGTGTGAACCTGTTTAGAAGGGAAGATTTACCCCCGGAAGTAGTACTCATAACCAAAACTTCAGGGCCCAAAATCCCATCATAAATATCCTTTGAAAGAGCAGACAGAGACTAGGAAAAGTGGAATATGATGGCCATCTCTAAGACGTAAGATCTCAGTAACCACATTAACAAAGGAGTCCCAGCTACCCCTTTCCTCCCAGAGACCATCATAACTAAAGTCTTCATCCCACCCCTTGAAGGCTGTCACCCTGAAGCCACTGCAGCTCTATAGAGCATGCACACTAGCATTCACCCTAGGATGGCTAGGCCCCCGACTAGAGACAGGTCAAGCAGAGCTTCCTTCCCTGATTTTCAGTTGTACAACTCAGTGGCATGTCTGGATTGCAAGGATGAACTGTTGACTAAAATTTTATCTTTGCAGATAATGCAACCATCTGCAGACAAAGTAATCACAGCTGGGGATTTGACTATATAAAATAATATGGACCTTACCCACCAGAATATATAATCCAATGGGAAAGACAGGCTCAGACATTTCTATCCATAGTCATTTCTGACTATTGAAGTCAGACGGTAAACTCTAAGGTGAATAAAGTGCTGTGTGGGCAAGGTCAGGAGATCGAGACCATCCTGGCTAACACGGTGAAACCCCTCTACCAAAAATACAAAAAATTAGCCGGGCGCGGTGGCGGGGGCCTGTAGTCCCAGCTACTCGGGAGGCTGAGGCAGGAGAATGGCGTGAACCCGGGAGGCGGAGTTTGCAGTGAGCCGAAATCGCGCCACTGCATTCCAGCCTGGGCGACAGAGCAAGAGTCCGTCTCAAAAAAAAAAAAAAAAAAAAAAGTGCTGTGTGGGAAGTCTGAGGAGGGGGGCAATGACTTCTGATATTGTGGGGGAAGAGACAGATCTCACTTGAATCTCACTTTTGACAGATGGTTCCACTCTGAATTTGTAAAATAAATAACTGTATTTATTGAATATATACAATGTCCAAGGTGCTAGCGCTATGCTATGTCTCAAACTGCATTATCTCACTTTATTCTTAACAGAACCCTAGATGTAGGTATTACTATTATTATTCTTGTTTTAGAGAAAAAGAAACTGAAGTTTAGAGAATTGACTTACCTAAGGTTTTACAGCTAGAAAATGGCAGAGCCAGGACAGCAGCCCACACCTATCTGACTCCAGAGCTCAAGATTTAATCACTATGAAATATGCATATATCTTGGGAGGCCAAGGTGGATGGATCATGAGGTCAAGAGATCGAGACCATCCTGGCCAACATGGTGAAACCCCGTCTCTACTAAAAATACAAAAATTAGCTGAGTGTGGCGGCACACAACTGTAGTCTCAGCTACTCGGGAGGCTGAGGCAGGACAATCGCTTGAACCAGGGAGGTGGAGGTTGCAGTGAGCCGAGATCACACCACTGCACTCCAGCCTGGCAACAGAGCGAGACTTGCTCAAAAAAAAAAAAAAAGAAAAGAAATATGCATATATCCCTGTGTGTGTATGTGTGTGTGTGTATAAGATTTAATCACTATGAAATATGCATATATCTCGCGTGTGTGTGTGTATGTGGATTCTATTTTATAGGTGAAGAAAATGGTATAGACAAAAGTCAAATGACTTCTCTACTTCCCTGTCATTAGGATTTTTGACAAAGAAAGTAAAAAGACAAAAACAAACAAACAAACAAAAAACAACTAAACCATAGAACATTATCTTCACAAAAGGTATCCACAAAGTTCAGAGTATTTCAAATCGAATTTTGCATGTCCAATGTCAGGAAAATATCTGTGTTCCTTGCCTCCACAGTATATAATTCTGATGTTTAAAAATATTTATGTGTTCTGATTTCCCCGTACCCTCAAGGAAGAAAAGAAATTTAACACAAGACTTAATTTGTAACTCAAGATTTATCTGCGTTTTTCTATGCAACAGAGTATTAGGTGTCTAGCAGCCTTTCTAGTTAATTGCTAATTAATTATATATTTCAAGTTGCTTGTAATATGTTTCTTTAAAAAGGGTGGCGAACTTTATGGTAGGTTACAATTATAAGATTACACAGTTTCCACCACTGATTTAAAGATAATTAATAAAAGCTTAAGTTTCAGAATGGTGAGGACACTCTTTCAAAAATGTTAACTTTGGGCTTATTAGGGGCAGTAAGAACTCTTTCAAATATTTTCTCTTCAAAAGCATTAAAATTTCCTCTACCAAAATACACAGATCACAATTTTTGAACAAGATTTCTATGCACCCTAGTGGCATAATGAGTTACATCCCATCCCATCCCATTCCATACCAACTGTTCTACCCACCTGGGGTAGGAGCAGGGAACCTTCTGTAGCTTGTATTATTCCCTTTGAAGGTCAGGAGAATATAACCTCTCTCCACTTGAGAACCGAATCACAATTGTCATCTAGAAGGTTAGTGTATCAACTGATGACTGGTTTTCAAATCAACTGAAAAGTATACAAGTAGGGCACAATGCCAAAGAAAATTTACAGATGGACATTTGGTATCGCAGACTAGACTAAGCAAAGAGCAAACTAAGTATGTGCTTAGGGCATCATAAAAAGCCAAAAACCGCCTAAGTAGCTATAAGAGGGAAAAGCAGACTTTAATGAACAATATCGCACTTATTTTATAGTTCAGGGTTTTTGTTTTGTTTTGTTTTCTGAGACAGGGTCTCACTCTGTTGCCCAGGCTATGTAGTGCAGTGTGCAATAGTCTTGACCTCCTGGGCTCAAGCAATCCTCCCACTTCGGCCTCCCAAAGTGCTGGGACTACAGGCGTGAGCCCCATTCCTGGCTGATTTTTTGTTGCTGTTGGTAGAAATGAGGGTCTTTTTATGTTGCCCAGGCTGGTATCAAACTCCTGGGCTCAAGCAATCCTCCTTACCTCAGCCTTTCAAAGTGCTGGGATTACAGGCATGAGCCACCACACCCAGCCTTATAATTCAGATTACAAAAATTGTTTTTAAATACATATGAGAGGCTGTTGGGGAGGCGTCACAGCCTTTTCAGTGGTTGAGGCTTCTAAAGGCAATCAACCCTTCTTTATATCTCAGAATAGAACAAGTTGACATAGTATTTAATTAATCAACCACAATCCCTAAACAAGTCTTTATTTGGATACTGAAAACTTTTAATTCAGTTTATAAAATGGTTTTAGTCAATAATAGGGCTGTTTTCCAAGTAATTGTCTTCACATGACTCAGTATTTCAACAATGGGTTGAATGGACTGCAGTTTTAATAGGAGAAATTGTGAGCTAATACTTCAGTGGCTGTTCACTCAATGAATGGACTAGAAGCAATACACCTGAATTCAAATCCAGTTTTTTTTTTTTCATTTCTAATCTGTGAACTTGAATTACTTACCTTGAACTTAGGTTTCTATATGTATAAAATGGAAATTCTGTGATAAACTTCAGGAGTTGTTGTGATTATTAAATGAGATAATGTGAGATTATCTCATTAAGGTGGCTGAATCTCTTATTTGGATGTTAGAAGGATTAGAAATGAGACATTTATTTGAAGAAGTTTATTAAAATTCTTCACAACCTCCCTGTAGTGATCTATTGCTCTTCTGTTACTACAACATATGCTTCTACTAAGTCACACCACTCATAGATCCATGGATTGATGGGCAGTTGATAACATTTATTTGGATCTTATGTTAAAAAAATACTCTGCAGCAATAGTTGGTGTAGAGTTGTTTTTTTAACCATCATACTCTGCTTAATTTTAGGAGCACTGCAGATCCTTAAAAGTCCTAGAATAGCAGTTCTCAAACATGGCTGGAAAAAGACCTATGCCAGGGATCCACCCTAGGCCAGTACTGGTATTTCAAAACCGGAGATTGATATTAAAAAAAAAAAATCCCTACATGATTCTAATTGCAGCCAGGATTGAGAATCACTGTCCTTAATTTTTTTAATTAATTAACTTTTAAAAATTAAAATTATTTTAATTTTATTCACTAATTCTTATCCATTTTCCAATCCTTTTATCTACATCCCCTAGTTTCTCCCCAACACCCCATTCCATCATTGACTAGCAGTCACAAAGAACATAGAGTTCCTCATTTGGGTTTTCTTAATGACCAGTGGGAACTTTCTAAATTAGTGAAGTTCAATGCTGACAACACTGAATTTACATTAAATGCAAAAGACATTATCCCTCACTGGGAACAAAACACTACTGCATTAATTTAGACAATAGGTTTTCATAGAATCACATGATCAGCAAGAAGTATATAATTATTCTTCAGCCACCTGAGAAATCTTTACCTATAGATTCATGCCCTCTATGGCCAAAATCTCCAAGAAGTGTTTCCTACTTTTATTATTCTTAGCCATATTGTTAAGAATGTTCTTTTGTTTAACTAATTTAAGCTGCTGTCTTCAGTGGAAATGGAGAACAATACATGAATTGCTTGCTTACTGATCTTTTGTTTAGTTGTGAAGGCTCACAAATTCACAATTAAGCCTTCTTTTCATCAGGTTAATAATAAATAAGTTGTCATTATAAACTACGTCTCATAACCATTTGCTGTATATTTGTCATTCTTCTTCTCTGAACACAATTAGACCACTGTATGATAGAATAGTTATTTGCCTTTGCTTTAACATGTTATCTAAAGATAAAAGTGCATTGCTTAAGATTGAGGTCATCATTTTAAGGTATGATTACATTCACATGCAAGCACTTTCCATTTTTTTCTTACTTTATAATTTTAAGATATAAAATGTAGTCACTGGGTTATTAAATATAATTACCTTGCCTTATATCTGAAAGCAGAATGCAAACATAAAGCTTTTTTGCTTTGGTAATTTCCATAATTTCACACATAGCATTAATAAGGCCCTGGGTGTAATTCAGATGTACAGATTGCACCCACAATACCTTAAACATAAGCTTTTCTCAGAGCAATCGTCACTGAAGCACCAATTCAGATAACAGAATTAGTCATTAACTCTTCAGGCAGCCTTTATATTTTCTTTATGTAGTATTTTCTATACTCGTCGTAATATTGTGCCATTTTTACTAGCTAGTTAAGATTTCACTGCATAAACACGAGCTGAATATATTCATGTCAAAGATAATCATTTCTTTAAAAGGTTTCTTTGTCAGGTATTCATTAAAGTACGTTTCACATCAAAATGATAGTCACTAATATAGAGCAAACATCTTATCCATTTGGCAGGTTTCAAAAAATTCAAATTTTATGAGTACTATATTAAATCCTCGGCCTATATTGTGTCTCCTTAATAGTATAAAGATCTGTTTTATGAATGCATACATTGGTGGGCATACAAAGCGGAATAACCTGTGTGTTATACACAAAGATAGGAGACCACAGTAGAGATGATGTTCATGTATGCACTGGAAACTGCCTATTGGAAATATCTGCTTGCACCAATGCTATACTTACTAAACCGTGCTTCCACTTTCTCAGTATTAATCTTCAGAAAGCCATTTTGTGATAAATTCCCTAAATAAAGGCTTCTCCCCAGCTGATGTTTACCACTCCACGCTGCATGAAGCACTGGCATTTTGCTTCAAGACAGGAGGTAACAGGAATAAAAACAGTGCCAGCTACATTTCCTCCGGATCAAATATGTGAATGTTGTGAGCATTGTAATGGGTAGCGTGGGTGACACAGAATTTCACAAAAGCACCCACACAAAGAGCAGCCCTTCAGAAGGCAAAGCAGATACCATTTTATCTCATTTTAAAGCAGCTCATAACCATCTCCAGGATTTCTATGGAAGCTTTCGGACACAAAGTTTTTTACCTAACCCGTTGGGATATGATGAATTTTTAGGAGGGCAGTTTGATTTCTAGATAGTGGGAAGGAAAATAGAAACGGGCAAGAATTGAGATCATAGCTGTACATATCTCCTTCTCTGAAGGAGTAAAATGAGAACAATAGCCTTTATGTATAGTGATATAGACACTGAGAGTCATTAAATTAATGCAAGTATAAAAATGAATCCCCAATCTTAGATTACTTCATAGGAGAGACCCATATCTACTCTGGGGGCTTGGTGGCTTTTGGGGGTGTCAAGCTATATGGGTAAGTCACAGACCCCAATCCATGTCTTTCTGTGGTGATGTGTGAGACCCTAACCAGGCACTGCTGCTGCAGAAGCCCCGCCTCCCAGTTGATCTCTTGGGACTCTGACTGGCCTGACTGTGAATATGTCAATCACAATTATGTATGCAGCTCTGTGGTTGGTTGTCTGATTTTAAGTGATCTTTGGCTTTATTTGGTTTTGTTTTTTGGCATGTGCGTGTGTGTGTGTGTGTGTGTGTGTGTGTGTCTTTGTGTGTGGCGGGGGGTTGTTGCTGTTGCTTTGTTTTTCTGGCAACATAAAGCATATATCTAAAGTGAGTGTTGGCTTTCAAAAATTGTAACCTGACATATCCCCCACTTTAGTGTCACTTCTTGGAATATTTTGGGGCGTATCTTTTAGAATTCCTGAGGCACATTATTTTCTATATCCTGACTACTATCAATCTTCATTATTTGAAAGGAGATTTAATTTTATTCTATTTTATTTTCTATTTTGTGTATGTATGTTTTGTAAAAATTGTGGTAAAATACACAATACACAAAATACAATATAAAATGTACCAATTTAACCATTTTAAAGTGCACAATTCAGAGGCATTTAGTACATTCACAATGTTGTGCAACCATCACCATGATTTAGTTCCTCAACATTTTCATCACCCCCAAAGAAAACCTCATACTCACTCATTAAGCAGTAGTCACTTCACAGTATCCCTCCTAGCCCCTGCTAACCACTGCTTTGCTTTCTACCTCTCTGGATTTGCCTATTTTTTATATTTATCATAAATGGAATTTACAACATGTGTCCTTCCGTGTCTGGTTTCTCTCACTTAGTGTCATGTTTTCAAGGCTCATCCATGTTGTATCTGTATTTATTTTAAAGCAATAGGAAATTATCTGGTGTCTAGTCTGGTCAATAAGCTGGATGTATACTGTTTGAAAAAAGTTTAAGTGATATTGCAAAGTAATGAGATTATTTATCCTATGAGACTCATGTCTTGAATATACAGATTCTATTTACACTAAAAAAAACCCCACACACAACAAATAAATGCTACAATACATTATTACCTACACTCTATGCATATTGCTTGATTACTGCCAAGTAGATTTTACAAGGTCTTCTTTGGAAGGGGAAAGGTTTGGCCAAAGGATGTTAGACTCAACATGTTATAGTAAAATTATGATACACTCCCTAATGAAAGAGGTGAAATATATGCAAATCAGATCTTGGGTGACTGTAAGGTAAAATATGTAAATTAGGCCTTTGTAGTCTGTGTTTGTAATGTCCCTCCCTTTTAATTGTCCACTCTTCTGTTCTCCCCTGAGAGTGAAATACCTGTTTAATAAAATAAATCATCCTAAAATATTTGTGAATTAATGAACTTAAAAATTAATAAGGACGTTCTTGCTTAATTCTACAAAATTAACTGACTTTTGATCAAGAAATGGAGAGAAATGTTCAGAGAAGGATCCTTCCTTGTCTCCTCAAATCATACCACATGGACCAGTGTGGTTCTCAAACTTCTATGTGCCTAAGAATCATCTTGATATTTGTAAAAAATAGTTTCCTAGGCCCCAGAGATTCTGATATGATATGGGTGAGGATCAGAAATTTATACTTCTAATAAATATCCTGGGTCAGTGGGTCTTATCCACTGGTGTGCATCAGAATTACCCTGAGGACTTGTTAAAACACAGATTGCTGGATCCCACTCCCAGAGTTTCTGTTACAGTAGGTCTGGAGTAGGGCCTGAGAATTTACCTAACAAGAACTCTGCTGATGTTGATGATGCTGGTTGAGGATCATGCTTTCACAACAACTGTCTTAGGTAATTCTAAAATAATTGTGCCTTGGCTACACTTGAAGACATATTGATAAACTAATCACACTTCTGCAAATCAGGTTAAGTCTATGTGGTAGCCTGCAATGAAGAAGCGTAGATTTTGACAATAGTAGAATGAAATAAAACTCTATTCCTAGCTGTGGAAGCATCAGTAATTTTCACAACCAATTGTAATAGGGCAGTATTTTAACGTAAGAAATCAGTTAAGTACCTAAAAACAATGCATCAAAAACAATATTTTCTTTTGACTTTCAGTTGTACCTGTGAAAGTTTGTAAATTATTGTTGTAGATTTAATTTAAAATAATATACCAAAAAACCCAACGACAACCGAAGCACTGAGAAAATCATTGTTTAATGGCTTCAATTAGAAAACTGATTCAGGGGTACAGCCTGCTGGAGGTTTCTGATATTGCAAAGGAGAAAATTGTTAAGGAAGTTTTATCACTTAATATCTTTTATTATAAACATTTCTTTTCATGTTTTTTACAAGCATGACATAATGGAAACATCGTGAACTTTAGAGGGTTCAAGATCTTCCTTTGCCTTGTGATCTTCCTTGCTATGTGACCTTGGGCAAACTACTCAAGCTTCAGGTTTTCAGTCTGTATAATGGGGTAACGTGAAAATTTCTACTCAGCAGAACTGCTTTGAGAATGAAAACATTTAAATTCCCAGAACAACAACACTGGACTAATTGCAGAACCTGTGTTCTTTACATACACATATACATATACATACATACATACATACATACACACACACACACAGACACACACCCCAACAAACAGAAAATTACTTTCTGACCATCCTTCTACACAAGTTGCCCAAACTGAATTCTGCATCAAAGCAACATTTATCAAGACATGCAGAGACTCCGTGTTAGTGCTTCTCTGCATGTTGACTTCTGATGGCTGTATGCTTTAGCAAATTAGAAAAGATTGGAATCTGGAAGAGTCACATAATTTTTGCAGGTATTAAAACTTATGTGAAGTTAACAATTAACTTATACGGTGAAAGCTGGGTGCAGTAGCACGTGCCTGTAATCCCAGTTACTGGGAAGACTGCATGAAGATCTCTTGAGTCCAGGAGTTTGAGGCCACAGTGAGCTATGATTGTGTGCCACTTCACTCCAGCCTGGGGAGAGAGACCCCTGTTTCTTACAAAAAAAAGAAAGAAAGAAAGAGAGAGAGAGAAAGAAAGCAAGCAAGCAGGGAGGGAGGGAGGAAGGAAGAAAGAAAGGAAAGAAGAAAGAAAAAGAAGAAGGAAAGAGAAAGAAAGAAAGAAAAAGAAAGAAGAGAGAGGGAGGGAGGGAGAGGGGAGGAAAGAAGGAAGGAAGGAAGGACGGAAGGAAGGAAGGAAGGGAAGGAAGGAAGAAAACAAGAAAACCTTAATGATGAAGTGAAACATCCCAGCTGAGTAACTTTCTGTAAGTAAAATTGTACATTTTTTTAAGTAAAATCTATACTCAGTGCCCAGAGTCAGTTCCTTGTGCTGGGAGAGGACACTTGTCAACTGGTTCCTACCTAAGATAAGCAACAGAAAGGAAGAGCACATTAATGCCAAAGCTCAAACTGTGGCGTCTCTGGCCCCCAACCATGCTAAGGAACTCACATCTTGAGGCCCTCAAATCACCCTGGCGATGTGTGGGGCATCCGTGGTGGTCTCATGGATGGCTGGCAACAGGTTCATTTGTGTTTTCACTATGGCCTCCTGTATCACAGAGATGTGATACAGTGATCTACATTGGGCCTGGGAATCTGCATTAAAATAAGCACTCTAGGAGATTCTGATAGGAATGAATGACGAAAGGCATATAAGGGTTGCACAATGTAGGAAAAATCATGCGTTGAGAGACCCAGCAAAGATTAGTTTTTCTGCTCCAGCTTGCTGCACTTATTGGAATGGAGTCAAGTAGTACATCTATACTCAGTGGGAACTCTGATTGAATATCAGTTATGATTGCCAGGAGACACTCTGATTCAAGCTAAGTGTGCCCTTAGGGTTCTGGTGTTGCAAACTCGGTGGTTTATTGGCCATTGCTGCAGTAAAAGACCATTATGAGGGTGAACTAATTCTGCCTTCTTATCTGCTGCCCACCATGAATCAAATCAGGTTGTTTAAGCTAGCCCAGGGTCCAGCACAGAGTGTTGCACAAAGAAGGTATTCAGTAAATATATATTGAACAGAATCCTTGTGGCACCACGATACCAGTTACATCAAAGGTTGGAGTTTAATTGAAAGATATATTTACTGGGCCCTGTATTGAGGACCAAGCAGCCCTTCCAAGCACTGGATGCCCATCTGCTGTAGCTTTTCTCCAGGTAACTCAGGAGTAGGAGTTTTAGGAAGTTTGAGTCCTAATGTGCCCCCCAAAAAACTAGCTGCATTTTCAGATTATAACTCTGGCTTACCACCATTTACTTATGGCAGCTTGTGAAAAATCACATTCTATTGATATTCTTAAAGTAGAGCTACACTGGCACTTGGGCAAGGTTGGGGTGAAGAGCAAAAAAAATTAGGATTCAATATATTGGATAATTATATGGGGATTAAGCAGGTTCTGTCATTGATGGTCATTAGTTTAGTGGCCAGGCGTTAAAGAATGGTGTTAGATCTCTCTCTCTCTCCTTTTTTTTTTTTTTTAACCTTGAGCAATACTGTTTAGCGTTCTTAAAGTGATATGGACTGACTTACCCAGGTTACATGATAGTTCCCTCTTAATCAATGAATATGGATTGCTTCACTTTTAATTGCTCTAAAATCTGTAGGAGACAGATGACAGTGCCTTGTCTTCCAGGGTCACAATAACAGAACTATTGACTACTAAGAATTAATGAAAAAAATAGTTTGATAAAAAAAGAATTGTTTTAATCTGTTAAAAATGGTTTGAGAAACTTTTTTTTTTGAGACAGAGTCTCACTCTGTTGCCAGGCTGGAGTGCAGTGGCACGACCTCGGCTCACTGCAACCTCCACCTCCCGGGTTCAAGCGATTCTCCTCCCTCAGCCTCCCAAGTAGCTGGGACTACAGGAGCATACCACGCCCAGCTAATTTTTGTAGTTTTAGTAGAGACAAGGTTTCACCATGTTGCCCAGGATGGTCTCAATCTCCTGACCTCATGGTCCGCCTGCCTCGGACCCCCAAAGTGCTGAGATTACAGGCATGAGCCACTGCACCTGGCCTTAAGAAACTTTTATAATATTCTCCTATTTACTATGAATTTTAAACCACATGCATTTTTCTGTCTACTTTAAGATAAATTATTGTTAAAGAAAAAATAAAATTACAGAGATGTTATTTATATTTACTTTTAAGAGAAAGTAGTCAGAGTCATGTGATCATAGGAATAGACATTTTCTATCTAGCCTAGCCTGAGAATTAGGTGATATGCCATATTCTTCCTGTGCCATCTAGTGGGAGACTCAAATGGTTTTATGTGAGTTTTGTATAGATTGTCATTAATTTTTTAAACTTTTCATTTGTAGCAAATCAACCAGATTAATAACTGGTATATATCAAATTAGAGGTGGAAACCAAAACTGAAACAGAGAAAACAAAGTACAAACTATGTCTTCTGTTACAAACAACTTTATGGCAGGGTGTGCTCAAGCTTCCAGCTCTCATCACTAATGATGCCAATGGAGAGTCCATGGATAAAATCTAGGCAATAACCAGTATTGGTAAATCATGATAGTATAATATGATGATGCATCTGATTTAATCAGCCAAGAACATCCTAAAGACAGTATTCCTAGATTTAAATAGAATAGAATGCCTTTCACATGCTGTTTCCTGTCTTTACACTTCCCTTCTCTGCATGATGAAATTTTGCTCATCTTTCAAGAGTCCTCAGGCCTTTGATAGCTGTATGCTTCAGTGAATTAGAAAAGATCATGTATCATCTCCTCTGTGAAACTTGTCTTTTTTCACAATCTGCCTGCATATAATACATAGATAAACAGACACAGACACACACACTGCAGCAGGTCTAAATGGTCCCTGCCTGTTGTTCCAGAGTACTTTGTGCGCATGCTTCTGTTACCACATTAACTCATATGATAGTTTTCACAGATTGAGCTGCTTGAGGACAAGGGTCATGTGTTCATCTTTGGGTTGTACACCACCTTGAATGAATGAAAGGACAAAAGTCTTTATAGAGTCATCACTGCTGCCCATTTCTCTGCCTCACTTGGTTGTAGAAGCCACTTACATCCAAGTTCCAATGACTGGGCTGCGGACAGATGAAGAATAACAGTGTGTGTGTAACAGGGAAAGACAAAGCATGGAGGGAGAAAAGGGAGTAACAAATCAGTAGGAATAGTGTTCCAAGGGATCTATGATGAGCTTCGCCATGCTGTACCTTCTCCCTCCACCCTTAGCCCTCATCTTCCCTAACCCTAAGAGACAAACTGTCTCACAGTTGAGGCGTTGGCTTTGTTCCACTTGTGCATACTGCCCATGGACAGCAGTGATGGTCACAGAGGACTCAAGTGCTGATAATGATGGTTTAGGTGGCAGTGAAGAAAAAAACTATACAATTGTCCGTAAACCAATGCATATTTGTATATGAAGCCTGTCACTTAGGTCCAATTCCAAATACCTGGCCTTTCTGGACATTCTCTTTTACTGGCTTAAAGTAGGTATGAGGGATTTTCCCATGACCATGTTCCAGAAAGAACAGTCACCCCTCCTGGGACCTCCTGAGAGAAGCACCATCAACAGACTACTGCAGCCTCAAAGAGCTACTTCATCTTTAAACTCCTACAGCACTTACTGGCATGGTCTAGTCCTGTTAGATAGTATCTTGATTCATTGTTCCATTTGCATTGGGTCTCCTGATTGGACTGTAAGCCCCCTGAGGTTAAGAGCCATATCTAATGCTTCCCTCCAGAGCTCCTAGGACAACAGAGTAGAGTGAGGGTCTTAGAATAATATATATTCTGACATTGGTTAACTGAAAAACAAATACTCAATTTATTTTTTATATTATTTCATATATGACATTATTTTATATTATTATATCTTTTTTTTCCCATCCATTCTCACATCTTTCATGCCCATTGCCTCTTTTTTCCTATACCCCATTCCTCTTTCACAGGGCATTATCTTCCAAAGAGTCCTAATGACCCAGCTCTGCCACAGCCACCATGGTAAGTGAAGTCCAGTGCAGAACAAGGTAAACAGACACAATCCTGCCCTGGAGAGACTGTCATACTGAGTAGACCCACAGTCAGAGGACACAGAGAGGAGAGGAAGCAATAAACAAAAATTCCATTGAGCTGGTAGGGTCATAAAGTGTGTTGCAACCATACTTCAAACAAGGTCAGCCCAGAACTAACAGAAACTCTATGATTAGCACCATCTCCTTCACTTCCTAATTGCAAACACGAAAGACACATTCCTTCTCTATTTGTGCTCTGGCCTGGTAAGAATGGGAAAGCAACTTAAACCCATTTGAGGTTATAATTGCTTTTTTTTTTATGTTTACAAATCTTATTTTATCAAGTAGTCAGTTGTTCAGGCCGAGAGAGTGTAGGACAAATTTTTCTTTCAGCGTGAACACGTGAAGTACACGTGAGGTCTGTAGGGTATGGAGGAGGCCTCAGGGGATGAATCATGTGGTCTAAGGTCCACAACTAGGAGGTTGTTCAGGGCAAATTGCAGAGTGAGAGAACTGCAGGCAGGAGAAGATTTCAAATATTCCAGTCCCCACTTCAGAAAATGGCATCTCTGTATTTTCAGTGAGTTCAAGCTGAAAACCTTGCACTTTTGATTTATCTCTCCTGTCACATCCCCATTTAATCTAATGGCACATCTTGCTGGTTTGGGGGAAAATTCTTCCAAAATATATCTAGTATCTCCAGTTTCCACCACTCTAGTGCCACCCAGGTAATCTATGCCAGCCCCCAGTCCCATTAGAACTTCTGCAGTAGCCTCTACCTTGGTCTCTCTGCCACCCCCTTCCACCTCCACATAGCAGCCAAAATGATGTTGGCAAAGCATGAGTCATGTATCATTTAAGGTAATAGTAGCTACTGTAACAAGGAAATCCCCACATTTGAATAATACACATTTTGTGTTCCATTTTTTATTGCTCAGGGAATAGTTCATGTGGGGACTCCTTGTCAATGCCAGGCTGGGAGAGGGAGAGCCCAGTCATCTTAATACATGGAATCAACACCCAGCTGGTAGAAGGGCGGAGAGAACATGAAGCAGGCATATCTGCTCCTTCAATACCTCTGCCCAAAAGTCACCCATAAATCACTTCTGCTCTCCTTCCAATGGCCAGAATTCATCTATGACATCTCTAGATGCAAGGAAGTGCGCTGGCTGGGCAGCTGCTTCCCTACAACAACTTCACAGCTTCACAACTCCACAATTCTATAACTCTACAACTCCAAAATTCCACAACTCTACAACTCTTTAGTGACAGCTGCCATCTGTTCAAATGTGAGGTGGGTCTTATCGCTCGCCTGCTTACCACTGTCCAAGAGCTTCCCATCTAACTAAATAAAAAATTAAAATCCCAGCACTTTGGGGGGCTGAGGCGGGAGAATTGCTTGAGCCCAGGAGTTTGAGACCAGCCTGGGCAACACAGGGAGACCACCCCCTAACACAAAAGTTAGTCGGGTGTGGTGGCATGCATTTGTAGTCCCAGCTACTTGGGAGACTGAAGTGGGAGAAATGCTTGAGCCCAGGAAGTCAAGGCTGCAGTGAGCTGTGATTGTCACTGCATTCCGCCTGGGTGACACAGTGCAACCCTCTCAAAAAAGAAAGAAAAAGAGAGAAAGGAAAGGAAAGGAAAGGAAAGGAAAGGAAAGGAAAGGAAAGGAAAGGAAAGGCAAAAGGCAAAAGGAATGGCAAAAGGCAAAAGGAAAGGAAAAGAAGAAAAGAGATCCAAAATCCGAAGCCTCCGGACCTCATACCACCCTCCTGGGCTCATTGTGCTCCAGCCTCTCTCACCCTTTTTCTGATCCTTGCTTATTCCCACCTCAGCAGTTGCTGTTTTCTCTGCCTTGAATATTCTTTCACCAGATCCCTTTTCATCAGGTAAGTAGATAGAAAATGGGACCCAGGAATTTGCACTTTAACAGGCACCCAGTGACCCTGGTGCCGACGGTCAGTGGTCTATACTTTGAGAAGCACTGGTACAGTGGTTAAGAATGTGGACTATGGGATCAGAGGGCTTGGGTTCAAATATTATGAACCCAAAGACTTGCCGAATCTCTAACTTTGGGTACTTTATTTGCCCTCTCTAATGCTCGATTTCCTCACCCATGAAATAGAGATAACAACAGAAATCACTTGGTTGCCGTAAGTAAACAGAAACTTGGTTGTTGCAAGAAACAAAAACATGGTTGCTGTAAGCAAAATGAGGTCAAATCAAGATACCAGGTCTGACACATAGTAAGTGGTACAAAGGAGTGCCTACAGATGCATCATGCAGCTTTAGAAAAAGTAGGGTGGAACTGGACAAAAGAAGATTTGAGCAAGTGAATCTTAAATGAGAAAGTGATGTGACTCCTGTGCTTCCTGGGGCTAAGGGATGCCACCATAGAGTCCTAAGGAGTGGAGGGGTATGTCGGATGGTTTGAGATGCCTGTGTCACAGTCACTCTGAGCAATGATGAAAGAAGGTTAGATCTGGGAAAGGGGGCCCTACCAGGAGCTTGTTTCACTAGGCCAGATGGAAGAAGATTCAGTTGTATGAATTGAACAGAGAGATGAGTTAGAGGGAGAAGAAAGCAGCAAGAAGCAGCAAAAGAAGGTTAACAACATGAAAACAGACCAAGGGAAAAGATTGAAGGGAAATGTGTGTTGTCTCAGGATGGGCAGGACCTACTGCAATGGAAGGGCACTAATTCCTAGATTATACCCAAGAATGCCAGTAGATACCAGAAAGTGGTAAAATAGCAAATGAAGTCATAGAAGCCAGAGTTAGTGACAACACTTTAAGGAAGTCATTATAATTACAGTTGAAAAGGGTGAACTGGTGGCATCCAGTCAAAGGTTGCAAAGATAATGGCACTAGAAATTGTCCTTTCAATTTTCCTGAAGTTGCCAGAAATATCCTAGTTGAGGGTAGCAGCTTCTAGGGATAGAAGAAGTACAAGGGGAAGGAGAACAAAGTTGATTAAAGAAAGTCAATGTCCTATATGTGGTTAAGAAGTAGATGCATTTAGTATAAAGTATATGTTCAAGGAACACAAATATACAAGAAAGAAATGGAGCAGTGGCCAGGAGTAAAGTTTGAGTCCATGTTAGTACCACATGCACATGCACTCTTTCTCTCTCCTATGAAAACTTTCCGTGGCTTCCATATAAAGTCCCTTTTACTGTCCCCTACCCCTACACTTTAAACTGACTGCTGACCTAGTTTGAGTATGATTAAAGTTCCATGTAGGTTGAGTGATCCAGGTTTTGTGGGGGCTAAAACGTATATTATTTGGCTGATCCTTCTCAAGAAAAAGAACATAAAATTAGAAATATAAAGTTAGGTACAAAAAAGAATATTTATTAAGGATAAGAAAAGGATTCATAATAAGTTACTGGAGCCTTGAGAGTCCAGGTCCCTTTCTTCTGACATGTCTCTAAGCAATTTACCCAAAATATTTACATAGAAATGCAATCTGACTTCTCTCTCTACTGACAACATTCTACAACCCACACCAACTCCCAATACTCACGGAGGCTCAAGCAATTAAGGGGTCCAAAGCTTACGTTTCTTACTTCATGGTAAACTTGCCTTTCTGTTTAGGTGTTTCTCAGCTTTATTCAGCTCTTCTTGGCTCCAAAGTGGGGCAACTGTAATATCCAATTAAGATGAAAAATTTCTGTATGTCCTCCTTTCTGTATATTAAGTAGGCATCGTTTTCGTGAAGGTGGAAAGGACTAAACACTGAACATGAGGAAAAAACCCTGTAGAGGACAGTGACTTCGGCAGACATGGCCTCAAAGCAGCTAGCAGAGGATTGAGTCCCTGAGCTTTTCCAAAATATGTGGCCACATTCCTGTCAGTACAAATATTGCCTAAGCACCAACTGTATCTCAGGGAGGAATTTGCTTTCTGTGGTTTCTTCCATTAACCCCTCCAGATTCACTCTCTTCTCAGCTCCACTCTGCTCTGGGCCCCAGGAAGCTGAGCCATATAGCTGTCAGCTAGCTCCCTTCATGCCCAGCTCATGGTTGGGTTTGGCCATTGAGAGGCAACAGCAGGAGAGTGAGGATGGATTATTTATTCCCTGGCTTTCTTGTGTTGGCTACAGCCTCTTCTTTCAGATAGTCCTCTCCATACAACCACCCTCTTCAGGGTCTGGAAATAGCTCCAGCCTCTTGATCTTCAGGCTGGGGGATGGTAATGACTCCCCTGATCACAAGCCTGGAGGACTGTGCCATCCTTTAGTGGCTTCCTTAAGCCACTGTCCACATCTTTGTAAGCTGTTGCTTTATTAAACTCTCCTCAAATTACCTAGTTTGAATACTCTTCTAGTTTCTGCTTGGGTGCTGATTGATATCATGTTATAATTAACAAAGAAGAAAAAAGGCCTTTGGAAACTTTCGCTTGGGGGCCCGGAATTAATGAATTAATAGAAGTAAAAAGCCATAGATGACACTGAATGCACCAGCCAATTTATTGTGACAGAAGGGTTGTCATAACAAGCATATCTCACCTCCAGACAGGCGGGAGTGCCAGAAAACAGTCCCCAAATGAAAACCAGGATGCAGCACCGTGAATGTGAGAACCTGAGGTCACTGACCACAAACTACATGTTCCTCCATCTGATAGTACCTTAGAATAAAAGAAACCCTTCCAGTCGTTAGTTGTATTATTGACTATTCTCTGCTTGAATACTTGGAAAGATGGGAGAACATTACTTTACAATAGCGCACTCTGTTACAGGGCACATCTAATTGTTAGATCATTATATTGAGCAAAATCTGCCTCCTGACTTTCTTTGGGTCTGTTTCTTTCTTTTAAACAATGCAGAGGCATGTGATCTTTCTTCCTTATGACAGATCGATAGATATGAGGACAGCTGCCATGTCACTCTAACTCTCTGGTAGAAGCACTATTAACACACTTCTCACTACCCTGGTGTCTTGAATGACCTGGTTCATCAACATGCCTATGAAAGTATGGTGTCCAAAAATGGACATAATACTCCAAGTGGACTCTTACTTGAGATAACCATAAAACACTCAACCAGGTTTATCTCATTGTTCCTCCCCCACTCCTCAAAAAAATATTTCTCTTACTTCTGGGACACATTTAAAATTAATCCGTTCTCTTCACACCTATAGCTGCTACCTCCTTTAACTATACTAAAATTATCTTCTCCTCTCACATCATTTCCTATTTCGAATGCCCCTTTTATAGCTACCCGTGGTTTTTTTCCATCAGATTCAAGTTTCTTGATGTTACCATTACCACCTGACCTCAGTCATCATTTTTACTGCTTCCTGATTTTCTTGTTCTCTTTTCTCCTCCACAGCTTTTTTCCCTGTCACCTCTACTGAATATACTACTGATTTCACACTGAAGTTTGTTTGAAATATTTAGCCCATTTTCATCCTCTCCCAATTTAGAAGTCCCCTTTATATAACCACCTCATGTTTAAAACTTAGAGGACACACACACACGCGCACACACACACACACACACACACAATCTAAATGATATTTTCTCCTTCAGAATTCATGGACATCCTAATTTTAGTGGTTTGATAATATACCTTAAATTAATTCTGGGTATTCTATACTGGTGTCAAGGATAACCTGTTAGAACCCAAATCATATCATACAATGTTACATGAAAATATGAAGCCATTTATAATTACGTAAAACATACAGAACTAGAAATAGCATGGAAATAACACTTGAAATAATATTGGTTGACAATCATTTCAATGAAAGATGCAGCATATCAATCATTCAAATTATGTATAAAACTCTCATAGAATATGTGCCACTCAGGATTCACCTATACTTAGCTTTACTTCTCATTGTGAGGGAAGCCTACAGTTCAGGTCCTGAGCTCTGATGAAAATCTATTCATCCTTGCTTTGAAGCACAGGATTTAGCTAAACATTCAGCACTGAGCATTTGCTATGTATATCTGTGCATACTTCTGGACACAAGCCAAGTTTTAAAAAAACTAAATGGAGATACAAAGACTGATATGCATTATTACAATGTTTGTCTACCAGAATTTCTTGGATTATATTTATACATTTTTATTGTAGGAGCTCAAAGTCCCCATAGATATTATCTTTATAATTCACATAACAGACTCATTAAGCATGTAGAAACCATAGGGACTATATTGTCTCCACTTTGAAGACCCATCCTTGAGGTGGAGACAGCAAGGCCTTACCCCTGGGGGTCATTACTCTTGACAGGTTGATGGCCTGCCTTAGGCCTAGGTCATATATTACCTTACTGTAACGTGTGCCAAGAAAATAATTCTAGCTTAATGATCCACTCATGAGATCTGGCTGACTTCCATATGTACAAAGTCAGCCCTAAGATACTGCAGAGTAGGTTATTGACTAAGATTCTGGCTACGTAAACTCATTGAGTTTGCTATTGAAACATTTCTGGAGGAAGAATCAAACATAGAAGCAATATATGAAGACCAGTCACATAGTAATGACCTCTCAGGCGCCATCCTTCCTTGATCATAATAGAAGACTAAGTTGGCCAGCATACCCTGGTAGATTTGTTCCGTTGTCCCAATCTGTCTCTCAGTTCCTGGCCCAGATTCTGGTCCTGCTCTGGATGTTCTTAACAGACAACTAGTTAGCCTGCTGCTGTCTCTCTCCTGGAATTAAAAAAAATAGTCAATACATTTGCCTTAATAATCTTTTTTCATTTCACACATCAATGGCGTTTGCAAATAATTACGCTCATCTGTGATCATTGAAAAACAGTCTTCCTCACCTACCCTAATATCACTGTGAGAAAGATGAGCTACCTCTCTGGCATCTTCTGCCAGGGGTTTCTCTGTCTTTCCCAAGGTCACAGGTACTCAAGGAGGAACTCTCTTCTTTTTTTTTTTTTTTTTTTTTTTTTTTTTTTTTTTTTTTTGAGACGGAGTCTCGCTCTGTCGCCCAGGCTGGAGTGCAGTGGCGGAACTCTCTTCTTTAACTTCTTCTTGACTGATGTGTTTTTCCATTTTTCATTCCTGTTTTTCTTTTTTATAGAGATGGGATCTCACCATATTGCCCAGGTTGGTCTTGAACTCTTGAGCTCAAGTCAGCCACCCACCTTGACCTCCCGAAGTGCTGGGATTACAGGCATGAGCTACCATGTCCAGCCCCCATTTCTTATTTTTATCAACGTTGTAGTCCCTTGGCACTGGGTCTTCCCTGTCTTCCTGCCCTGTTTTCTCAAAGATTTCTTGGAAATGTCCTGTGCTGCTTGACTCTTCCATACTGTCTGCTCTAGACTTCTGAACATGCATCATCATTTACCATCCTGCCAACCTTGAATTTAGCCTCTCCTTGGATTACCAATGTCTACTCATAATTAGTCTGAATTTACTACTCTCTTGTTGGGACTGGCTCTCTGAAAGCAAACCTTCTCCACTTGTAGGCCACCATGCCCATTTGTACCAAGTTCCTGTTAAGTTTCTTGCTATCCCCGTTTTTCTCCTGACTTGCTTCCTCTTCCCTCTTGCTCCCTTAATGCCCTGTGGCAAATGTCATAAAAGTGTATCTGTCTCTTTGCTGGTGACTAGAATTGGCATTGCCTTCCTTTCCATATAATTTCTTATTTTTTCTAGACAGATACACTTTGGAGCTCTGCACAGTGGCTGTAATATATCTATGCACTACAAGTAGTTCTTCCCTAACCATGGCTGGACTAACATTTCTGCCTTAGAATAAGATTCATACTTTAGTACTCATTGCTGACATACTGACCTGAGTCACTTACTGCCTGAATTTGGGACGGTTTGTTTCCCCTGAACTCAGATATTTCCTACTTAAAAATTGTTTCTCCACTGGGAGAAATATTTGCAAAACAAATATTTGATAAAGGACTTCTACCCAGGATATATGAAGAACTCCTATAGCTCAATAAGGCAAACAACTTAATTAAGAAATAGACAAAAGATTTCACAAAGAAAGATATTCAAATGAAAAATAGGTACATAAAAAGATGCTCAACATCAGTAGTCATTACAGATATGAAAATTAAAACCACAGTGGGACACCATTGCACATACATAAGAATGCCAAGTTAAAAAGACAAATAATACCAAGTCTTGTCAATGATGCAGAGTGGTTTGGCAGTTTCATATAAGATTAACCACATACCTACTGTTTAAGCCAGCAATCTTACTCTAGGTATCTATTCAAGAGAAAAGAAAAAATATGTTCATACAAAGATCTGTACTTTAATGGTCATCATAGCTTTATTCAGAAGAGCACCAAACTGGAGACAACTCAAATATCTATCAACAGGTGAATGGAGAAGTAGGCTGTGGTATATCCATACAATGGGATACTACACAGTAATACAAATGAAGGAACTACTGATACAACCAACAACATAGATGAATTTCAAAAATGTTGTGCTAAGTGAAAGAAGTGAGACACAAAGAGATATACCATTTATATCAAAGTCTAGAAAAGGCACAACTATAGTGACAGAAAGTTTTTCAATGGATTCCAGAGGCTGGTGGAGAGGATGGGACTGACTATAGAGGAAAATGAGAAAATTTTTTCAGTTTTGCTATATAAATATTCTATATAGAACTCACTAAATAGTATGCTTAAAACTGGTGAATTCTATTACAGGTAAGTTATACTTTAATGAAGATGATTTTTTAAAAAACAAGCAAATGTGTCAAATGAAAAGATTGTTAAATAGTGTTTTAAAATTTAGATTTAATTATTATTCAGGTATGGTGAGGTCAAAAGATCAAGATATGCTTGCCATTGAAATGACTGTTTGTTACTCACAGTTCCCAAGAGGAGAGGGCACATACCACACCACGCAGGGCCACATGGAGAAGCACCTGGGTTGGTTAGGAGGCAGAGAGAGCAAGGGGAAAACATAGAGAAGAGCTCTTATTGTGGTTTCCCTAGGAAGGAACACGTGAAGCAAGGTAAGCAGGTTTAGGATTGGTTATTTTGAATAATTTCAGTTGGCTCTGGGGTGTAGTGGCCCTCTCTAGTTGCCTGACGTCTAGCTGTGGGGAGATTAGGACAGGGGAATAGTGGCCTTGAGTGTGACAGCCCCATAGAAGAAGTCATGGGGTATAAGACCTGGACTGGTTAGTCTGCATGTGAAAGGCATGATTGCAGGCAAGTCTTTTATTATCTTTAGGAGTTGGTTAGTCCTGGGAGGGGCAGTCCCTCTAGGTCAGCAAGGAAAGGCCCCAGATGCCAACACCTTAGAAATATGGAAAATAAAAAGTCATGATTAATACTGATAGAGGAATGGATAGATTGATAGATACGTGATCAAACAAATAAAGCAAAATGTTAATTGTAAAATTTAGATGTTGGGTAAACTGGCTTCACTGTACAATTCTTTCAAATTTTCTGTATGTCTGATAATTTTTATGATAAAATAAAAAAATTTATAATAAAATTTGAGAAAAAAATATTTCTTTGGATATCCGACCTCTTACCTAGTCATAGTTTCTAAAAGCTCTGTTTTCCACCTGTCTTATCTGCTTGGATTCCTGGCCTCCTGCTTGCTCTTGCCTGAACATTACTATTGCCTGAATCTCTTAGTTCTGATATTCAACTGGTCCTCCTGATCAGGCAAATTTCTTGATTCCATAAGATGCACCTGAACTAGCCAAGGCTTCTTATTGCACAAGGTCACTAAATGGGGATGGCCAGCATAAGGCATAATGAGAATTAGATGAGTTCTATATTCAAGTGCCTTTATATCTTTATATACATCCTCCCTCAGACCCTTGCTCAACACACACACACACACACACACACACACACACAAGCACCTCTGTTACGGAATAAAATGTGTACCAACACACCTGCCCCTATTCATATGTTGGGGTCCTAACCCCTAGTACTTCTGAACTTAATCTTATCTGAAGATAGAAGCCTTACAGAAGTAAGTTAAAATGAGATCCTTAGAGTAGGCCCTAATCCAATGGGATTCGTGTCACAAAAACTGGAAATTTGGGGGTCAAGGGAAGATGACATGCAGAGACACAGGGAGAAGGCAGCCATCTCCAAGCCAAGGAACACTTGAGACTGTCAGAAGGTAGAAAAGAGGCCTGAAATAGATTCTTCTCAAGTGCCATCGGAGGGTATGTGATCCTGTAACACCTTGATTTTGGATTCTGGCCTCCACAACTGTGAGACAAATTTGTTGTTCTAAACCACCCGGTTTGTGGTATTTTATTATGGCAGCCCTAGAAAACAAATACATGCCCTCTAGGTTCTCTCCTAGTTTTCCTAGTCACCCAGTGTCCTTGTGTCTTCTGTGATGCCCCACCCAGACGTGCAGTCATGGACAGTGTCTGAAGCATCCACCCATCAAAACTCTAATTTCCACGCCTGTAATCCCAGCACTTTGGGAGGCCGAGGCGGGTGGATCATGAGGTCAGGAGTTGGAGACCATCCTGGCCAACATGGTGAAACCCTGTCTCTACTAAAAATACAAAAAAATTTAGCTGGGCATGATGGCTCATGCCTGTAATCCCAGCTACTCAGGAGGCTGAGGCAGGAAAATCGCTGGAACCAGGGAGTCGGAGGTTGCAGTGAGCCGAGATCACGCCATTGCACTCCAGCCTGGCGACAGAGCAAGACTCCGTCTCAAAAACAACAACAACAAAAACCCTCTAATTTCCAAACTGCCTGCACCTCTGAGAGTTCTCAGGGATGAACTAAGATCATGAATAAGCTAAGCTAAGCCAAAGAGTAATGACCAACACCACTGTAATGTGTCATAACTCTTCTGGTGATTGGCCTGGATGTTTGTTAATTCATAGGAATGAGTCTATAAGGATAAAATCCCAGGCAGTAAAAGAGGTTGGCAAGGAAAATAATCTTAGGTGGAGTGAATATTGCATTGTTTCTCAAATCACAGCTGTTGAATGGCCATCTGTTTTTACTCAGGAGTGTCCATGCTGGCAAGTGAACAGCTTCTCTCTCAGAAAAAGATATAGAAGATTAACAGACAAATGCCTGAATGCCTCCAGGATGGCGCTCAGTGTGTATTTTACTCGATAGTAAACCACCCAAAAAATTCATAGCAAACTTCTGACCCCTTTTGCTTCCACGTTAACACTGGAAATGCTGAGACCAGAAAGTCAGCTTGCAGAGAGGTGAAAAATGTCTGTATGGAGGGTTGGAAACACATTTGTTACACATGGCCAAGAGAAAGCATTGGGAGAAACAAGCAACAATAGTACAAAAATATAGGAGCAACTGTTTTATTAGCTAAAAAAAAAAAGTATTGTTATTAGTGGGAATTGACATCGAATTTTAAAGAAAGTGTTTACCATTTTTAACTTTAAAAAAAAAAAAAAGACAGCAGTGTCCTAAAGAGAAAAGATGAGTTTCTAATTCCCTTGGTGCTTTCAATGAAGAGTTCTTGCCTTTTTGCCTGGGGGTGAAGAATAAGAGACAGTGTGTAGTCTTGTCCTTTTGGGCAACCATACTGGATTTGGATCTTGGATTTGGATCTTGGACTTTTATGGCCTCCTGGGATAGATCTGTGAACACAATCTAGCTATTATGGTCTTTTAAAAAGAACAAAGGGAGATGCATTTTATGAGAACACAGCCTTTTTGCTTTATATTTACTTAAAGATAATCTAAGTAAAATATTTCTGTCATTTTCCCCATTACTTTCAACACCTTATTATTTGAACATTATTCAACAATTTATTCAGTTTTCAAGACAATGGTAACTTTTGTCATTGGACAATGTTATTGTTTAATTTTTACACTTACACATATCTGACACTATTCTACTTGAGGATGGTGTCAATTCACAATTGGAAAAGGTGATTTCTTGGCCATTTGCATCATTCTTTTGGCACTCATCAGATGTGACCGTATTTCATTTTGTGTGAAGTGCGGAGCTTGGGACTCTACGGGGCCTAGTGAGGTCACCAGAGTGATCCATCAGGTCAGCTGGCACCTTTGTCCTCTTTGCCTAGAAATCAGAGTGACTGGCTTCTCTCTGTCTCTCTTTTTTTTTTTTCTAACCTTCCTTCCTCTTTCATTTCAGTCTGCACCAGGCATGGGGATATAGGAATATGAAAAGACAAAACTCCTGCTTTATAATCACTTATTGCAGAGATTCCGATCTGCTCTGAGGATTCAGTTAAAAGAGTTTTGTCTTCCTCCCCACATCCACGTGTCCAAATCCTATCTTACCTTCAGTGCTGTCTCAAATGGGACCATCAGCCAGAAACTTTTCTTTCTCACCTGTGTTCTCCTCCGCTGAACAACCATGGTCACTAGTTGTATTACTCTTCTATCATCGCCTACTATGTGTCATATTTTTTAAAGCTCATTTCCCTGGGCAGACTGTGAGCCGTCTGGGGACAAGATTAATCTTCATATCCTCATATTGCCTACCATATTGATTTCTGCTTAAAGAAATACCTGCTGCTTAAAGAATACCTGCTGAATGATTGAGTTCATTCAGACATTAAACATGGGTGGGTAACATATTCCTTTGGTAGACTATATCTTTAGTGCTGCACCTTGCTGATTCTTAACAGTCTTTGAATGAAAGGCACCAGGTGAAAATGTCTGCTACAATTGGTGTGTAGTAATTTCAATGCAAACAAATATCTAGCACTTTGGATTCACCTTCTGAAATCAGGTCAGTTCTGAAGCTCTGGGCCCCTGAGTAGGGATAGATAACTCAAACCAGGAGTGTTCAGGCTAGTGTTACATGCATTCTGCTAGAAATCAATACTTAGTAGGGAAAGCTTCCCAACACATAATGATGATAATAATGTTCAATTACAAGACATTCCTTAAAGTCACTCACTCCTCACAGAGCTTTATTTTTCTCTGTATTTTGCAGAGAACAATGTTTCAGTTAATAGAACAAATTTAGCATTATGCTTCACCAGTTCTCCTAAAGTATTCTCCAATACTTAAGCTCTTTTCATTAAAGACAAATTTGAACGATATTACCCTGCTGTGGTTAAGGATTTTGCTAAGCCAGGAATGGGAAGTGTATTGTATTCTGTTTCATAGTTTACTCTTTGATGAACAAGACTGAGAAGCTTAGTGTTTAAATTTCCTGGGCTCTGTGCCTTGTTGCCTGGATTCACATCCTGATCCAGTGCCTTTCCAGCTTTATACTCTTCATAATCTAGGTAGCCTTTCTGTCTCAGTGTTCTCATCTTTGTGTAGCTAAAGCTCTTAGAACAGTGCCTTGGGCATAGTAAACATGTGAGTTACAGTTAAGGTATACGAGTAGGACAATAAGAACTTGAATCCCTTCTCTTCAAATTTGAGGAATGCTCAGATGAAACAATCTCATTTTAAGGTAAGTAACTTCTGGTAAGGCCTTTTTCTGACCTATGAACAAGGCTACCTGGCCTAAGGCTTGAAAGCTATTTTAGCCATTGGAAATATTATCACTGGTATCTCTCCTTACTTCCTTTTAACTCTTTATGACACCTCTTTCCAAAGTGCCATGCTTCCTCAGAGTCAAATTTCTATCCAGAAGGAACAGAACTGCAGTGTCATATAACAGATTTGTAAACCTAGGTGACAGATCAGATCACCTCCCTCATCTCCTGTGACTCCCATTCAGAGGTGAAAAGTTAAATTGCAGCTATTCTTTGATCAGAAATGCCCATATGGCTTAAGTGGAATTAGCAGGATCTTTTAATATTCCAACCATTCACTCTATGTATTTGGCATATAAAGAGAAGCAAATTGATGGAGATATTAACTAACTTCTAACTTCTAAA